>NC_000023.11:150233181-150536212 GCF_000001405.40 Homo sapiens
TAAGAAATCCAATAAAATCCATAGACAAACTATTAGAATTAATAAGTGAATTTAGCAAGGCAGTGGGATACAAAGTAAACATATTTAAAAATCATTTGCATTTTATATATTAGCAACAAAAAGACAAAATAAATTTATAAAAGATTTCATTTATAATAACATCAGAAAACACCAAATACCTAGAAATAAATCTAAGGTGTGCAAGATCTCTACACTGAAAACAAGAAAACACTGAAAGAAATTAAAGAAAATCTAAATAAAAGGAGGGATGTGCTATTAGTCATGTATTGGAAGACTAAATACTGTAAAGATCTCAATTTTCTCCAAGTTAATACATAGATTTGACACAATCCCAATAAAAATTCAAGCAGGCTTAAAAAAACTTTTAATACTAACAGATATTAAGAATGCTGTAATAAATAAGACAGTATGATATTGGTGCAAGGACATTCAATTTGAAAATGTAACAGAATAGAGTTCAGAAATGGACCCACATATATATGGTCACTTGCTTTATGAAAAAAAATTACATTTTCATAAATTATTGTGGGTCAATTGAATATCACATAGAAAAAAATATATCGTGACTCCTAGTTCATATCATACACCCAAACCAATTCTAGGTGATGTGTAAAAGGTAAAAAGTAAATATTTTATAGAAAACATAGGAGAATATCTTCATGACCTTGAAGTAGGCAAAGACCTTAAATGAGATGCGAAACACATTAATAATATTTTTAAAAATGCATTAGACTACATTAAAATCAACAACTTTTATTTATCAAAAAACATTGAGTGGAAGAAGGTCATCCTTAAGGGGAAGAAGACATTTATAGTATATATTCAGATTCCTTGCCAAATTTTCTATTGGGATTTCTGTCTTTTTCACATTGATTTGTAAAAATTCTTTATATACAATATATATTATGTATTCCAGATAGTTATTTGAGATGTATGTCTCTGGCAGTGCCTCCAGAGACATATATCTTAAAGAACTATTCAAACATGTAAAGAATTCCTACAAATAAAAAAAAGACTGACATCCCAATAGAAAGCTTGGCAAAGGGCCCAAACGAACATTTCTCAAAAGAAGTTATCTAAATGGCCAAAAGATGCTTAACCTCAGGAGTCATCAGAGAAATGCACTTTAAAACCACAATGCAATACCACTACTGTAGTGAATTCTGTAGTGTGCTTCCCAAATTCCTCCTCCACAAATCAGGACTGAAGTACTCATCTCGCTGACTCCTGTAAGTGTCGATTACTGACAGCTCACAGCCTAGTTCCTCCTCCTGCTGGGGAGGTCTGCATCCAATGACTGGTTGATATGAGGTATAAAGGCTCAGTCCCCTGCCCAAATCTGAGGCAATTCTGAAGGGTCATCCCAGCTTCAGAGTTCTCCATGGCACTGGCCAAGGTCTTTGTTATGACTGCATCATGGTCCAACCTCTACGCCTGCCTAATCCTGCTTTCTCCACTTGCTCAAAGATACTGTTCCTAAGAGCACTCCCCAGTAAACTTTCTGCACACTAATATTTATCTTATAGTCCACTTTCCTAGGAACGCAACCCAGGGTGACTACATATCCGCCAGAAAGACTAAAAGAAAAAAGATAGACAATACCATGTGTTGGTGAGGATGTGGACCAACCAGAATGCTCATATATGAATGTAGACTAAGTAGAATGCTCATGTACTGTGGGTAAATTGTACAACGGCTTTGGAAATCACTGTGGCAATATAGCTGTATCTACTATAGCTGAACATACATACATGACCGAACAATTCCACTACTAAGCACTATAACACACAGAAAGACATATATATTCACCAATAGATATGTACACAAATGTTTGTAACAGCATTGCTCGATACAATGCCGTCCAAACTAGAAGCAACTCAAATGCCCATCAAGATTTGAATGGAGCCAGGCACAGTGGCTCACACGCCCATCAAGATTCGAACACAGCCAGGTGCAGTGGTTCACACCTTAATCCCAGCATCTTGAGAGGCCGAGGCAGGAGGATTGCTTGAGCCCGGGAGTTTGAGACCAGTCTGGGCAACATGGCGAGACCCTGTCTCTACAAATAATAATAAAAATATTATCCAGGCATAGTGGCATGTGCCTGACATGTCCCAGCTACTCAGGAAGCTGAGATGGGAGGATTGCTTGAGCCTGGGAAGTCACAGCTGCAGTGAGCCGTGATCATACCACTGCACTGCAACCTGGGTAACAGAGCAACACCCTGTCTAAAAAAAAAAAAAAAAAAGTGGAATGGATAAATAAATTGTGGCATATTCACATACAAATCTCACAAACATAATATTGAGTAAAAGAAGCTGGACATAAAAAGGGAAGTTCTGGCTGGGTGCGGTGGCTCACGCCTGTAATCCCAGCACTTTGGGAGGCCGAGGCGGGTGGATCACGAGGTCAGGAGATCGACACCATCCTGGCTAACACAGTGAAACCCCGTCTCTACTGAAAATACAAAAAAATTAGCCAGGTATGGTGGCGGGCGCCTGTAGTCCCAGCTACTCGGGAGGCTGAGGCAGGAGAATGGTGTGAACCCGAGAGGCAGAGCTTGCAAGTGAGCCGAGATCACTCCACTGCATTCCAGCCTGGGCCACAAAGCGAGACTCCGTCTCAAAAAAACAAAGGGGGGGGGAATTCTGTCTGATTCTGATTCCATCTACGTAAAATATAAAAATAAACAAAACCAGTAGAAATCAGGATAGTGGTTACTATCGTGGGGCAATAGTGACTATGAGGAGCACTCTGGGGGTTTCTGGAGAGTGCTAGTTTTCTGTTTGGTGATCTGGGTTCTGGTTACAGTGTGCTCACATTGTGGAATTCATCAACTTGTATGTGCATGATCTGGGCACTTCCTTGCATATAACACTTCAATAAAACAATTTCCCAAATTGCAAAGAACACATGTACACACACACACACACACACACACACATCTAGAAACTAGCAAAGTCAGAGTCCCTGAGGTTGCCTTTCAATTGTTAACATCCAATATGGTGTCTCTTCTCCTTCCTTCCCTCCTCCAGCCCTCATTCATTTATGTAGCTAGTTGAGTTGTGGTTAGGCCAAAGTTTTAAATGTATCATTTTTCAGGACAAGCCAACTCCAGCATCTGAGAATGCCTAGGCTCCTTGCTCTATGCACCTTGACTCCTGGGGCCCGAATTGCACTTTGGCAGTGCAGTAGCCTGGCTGCATGAGGGTTGTGGAGGACACTTGAACAAAATCAGAAGTTTCATACTCATCTGCCTTGGCCTATTGATGGGCAGTGTGGGGGCAGGCATGGCTTTGTCATTACTGAGTGGGTGGCAGCTTGGGAGGGGAGACAGTTTTCCTTGATGAGTCAGTTGAGATACAAACAGGGCACTTGGTGTTGATGAAAATAAAAAGCCTTCTTCCCTGCCTGTTATAAAGGTTCAGCGGGTATGCTCCTTGATAAATGGTCACAGTAATGAAATTCACACTCTTTAATCACAAGGGCTATAACTTAATTAAAAACACATCGAGGATTGATTTGGGTTGGAGAGTTCTCCTGGTTCCTTGGCTTTATTAAATTCAGTGTTTCTTTGCTCGGCCTCATCTGACATGCTTATATACAGAAGTCGATGGCTGAGGAGCTGTCACTGTCCTAAAGGGATGAACCTAGCTTTGGGGCCCTGAGCAGACCAGGTTGAAGGGAGATAGGGGCCAGCGTACCCAAAAAGGGGGCCCAGACCTGCAGCCCTTCTGTGCTTTTGCCTGCAGCATCACCAGGCTGACTATAAGGAGTCCTCACTGTTCTGAGTTCAAGTTGGGGCTCTCCTTGAGCCAACTGACTCAGGTCTGTCAGGGGAGATCTGATGTTGGGGTAGCCTGGCTGGGAGAGAAGTCCCGGTGAGACCACCAGCACCACTGGGCACATAGCAGAAGCTCAGGAATTACTGGGTAATTGAAAAAAGCAGTAACAATAGCTTCCATTCATCTCATTGAGTGCCCACAGCTGACTTGTGAGATAGAAACTGTTGTTGTCCCCATTTTACATATGTGGAAAGCAAGGAAGAAGAATGTGGCGTTAAATGAATTACCCAGAGGGCTGTGGGATGTGAGGGCCTTGGCAGACACCATGCATGCATCACTCCTCCTCCACCCACACACACATAGATGTACTTCCATCATGTCTGCACCTGTGCAGATATACCCAGACACAGGCACACGGAGAGACATCCATCTGCACCAATAACATATGCAAACGTATTCCTATGCATACACAGCAGATATGCACACACATCCACATACTCGACTTTACTCCAAACACACGTGCATGCACATACACACACACACTCTGAAATATCTACACCTTCACACACCCAAATATACGTACATACACATTTGTAGCCATGTAGATACACCCGGATGCAGGCACACATCCACAGACCCATACCTATACACACTCCCCCAATGCCCTCCCTACAGCCACACTTGTGCAGTTACACCCACTCACAAACATACAATCAAATACCCATATACATCCACACCCCCCATTTACATACACAAACATCCTCACCTGTGCAGATGCACTCAGCTATGAACACACATCTACACACATGTACATATCTGCATCTGACACACTCATAGATGTACACCCATGAAGATATACCTGATATAGACACACATCCATATGCCCATACACATCCAAATCACATCATACATACACAGACACATAGATGTATCTCATCTGCACATCTACATCCACGCAGATACATCCAGATGTAAACACACATCTGCACATCCATGCACATATACATATACCTACACACACATACACATACATTCACATCTATGCAGACAACACCCAGACACAGACACAAATCCACACAACCATGTATACCTGCATCCCCCAAACACACACACACTCTCATATACATATACATACATACACCTAAACATATATGCACCTTTGCAGATGAACCTAGTTATAGATACAAATTCACACATCCGTTGATGTCCACACTTTCTGCATACAAATACACATATATCTATATACAGAGCTATGTATGTACCTACACACACATGAACATGCACATATATTTTATACACACAAACACACCCCCAGGCACGTATACCCATGTATACACATACATCCATATTCACACATGAACACACACATAAACACACCAACATGCACATAAATATACACACCCACACGAATATACATGCACACATAATATATGCACACGTACATGTGGATACACTCACAGATACACATATACATACATACACATGTGTACATGCAACATACACATATACATACACACAAATACATGGCATGTAGGAGTGTATGTGTACATATCCCAATGTTATATACACATAGTCGCACCTACACACCCAGACGCACATGCATACTGGACACCTATGTACACTCATGGACATGTACACACTCACACTCATTCATCCCAGAGGCCATCTGTCAAAGTCAAGCTCAATGAGCCCTTTCCAGAAATCAGTGCCTGAGGGACAGTCCTAAGGAGCCAGATCTAATTAGCATAATACGAATCTCCCCACCCACCTCAACCCTGGAAACCTTGCTGCCAGCACAGCCAGCCAGTTGGGGAACTCTCCTTGCTCTCTTGAGAAAGCAGTGAGGTCAGTGGCTCCCTCAGCTACACAGCCTACCTGCTGCACCAGTGCTGCCTCCTGCACCAGTGCGGCCTCCTGCAGGAGAACCCATGCCTCTGTTGTGGGGCCCTGCAAGGTTTCCTGGATCAAGGGCAGCAAATATTGTAAATCAGAAGGCAATGCAGGAGAGAACAATGGGGTTGCAGTCATACAGGGCCTGGTGGCCTTGCTAGGGAGCTGGGCCTTTGTGCTCAGGGCCACCAAAATGTTTGAAGAAGGGGAGCGACGTGGTCAGATTTGTGTTTGCAAAGGATTCCTCTGGCTGCCACGTGGACAATGGTGGGAGACATGCAGTTTGGAGGCAGAGGGTCCAGGGAGGAGATTGGCACAGCTATCCAGGGAGGAGCAGAGAGGGCTTAGGCCAGCGTGGGGGAGGGAGGTGGAGCAACCAACAGTGAGCTGGCTGAGAGTCTGGCCAGGACTAAGGCCACAGGTTGGATGGGGGCATGAGGGAGAGAGAAGGAGGGGCAAAACATGACATCCAGATTTCTGGGGTAGGGGACTGGCAGGGCTATAGAGATGGACAGGGACCAGACCAGGCAGGCTCCATGGGCCACAGGAGGGAACTAGGGCTTTATCTGGGGGCCATAAGAAGCTATTGAAAGGCTGGAAGCATAGGAAAAAAAATGTATTGTGCTTATGAGTATCAGGTTACTGGGAGGGGCCAGATGGATGATCTGGAAAGGCGAACAGGACCCTCAGGAACAATTTGCACCAGGTAGAGGGAGGCATGTGGCTATCAAACCAGAGCAGGCAGAGTTAGCCCCTGCCCAGCACCTCCAGGCAGTTCACCAGGACTGCACAGGTGAGGTTGTCCCTGTCAAACTCTGCCTGGAGGCCAGAAGTCCAAAACCAAAATGTCAGTGGGGGGAGTTCCTTCTGAGAGCTGTGAGAGAATCAGTTCCAGGCCTCTCTCCTACCCTCTCGCAGCTTCAAGTGTTTCTTTGCGTGGAGATGGCATTCTCCCTGTGTCTCCACATCATCTTCCCTCTATGTTTGCCTGTCTCTCTGTCTAAATGTCCCCTTTTTATGAAGACATCAGTCATATTAGATTAGGGCCCACCCTAATGGCCCATTTTAACTTGTTCATCTGCAAAGACTATTTTCAAATGAGGTCACATTCACAGGTTCTGGGGGTTAGAATTTTAAGATCTTTTGGGGGAACACAATTCCAATCATAATGTTCATCTAGGCTTAACTATGAGCAGGAGTTCACGGGACCCCTCCTGGGTCAGGGCAGCAGCTGTGGAAGGAAAGCAAACTACTCAGTGCAGGCTGGGCCTGGGCAAGACAGGATCCCAGGTCCTAGAACAATACTCTGCCTGGGGCAGACATTCATTCTAAGACCTGGGATACCAGTGAAGGGCAGGCCTCAGATAAGGAGAGAGAGCTGCCCCAGGAGAGTATGGAAGGGGCACAGAGGCTGTCCAAGGGTGCAGAGGCAGAAAGACTTAGTGTTAGTCACCCTGCCTGGACAAGAAGAGGTGCAGGCAGTGCCTAATTAGTGTACAGAGAGCCTTGGTCAAGCGCTGGGGAGCAGGGGCTCACTGTGCCCCAGGGTGGGGGACACAGCAGGAGCAAGGCCTGAAGCAGTGGCAGCAGCAGCACTGAGAGTGAGGCATGCAGAAGTATTTCTGACTTCCCAGCTCTGAAGCCTGAGAGATCCCTATTTCAGGGATCCAGGTACCTGGTCCCAGGTAATCTCAGTTATCTGACGCTCCCTCTCTGGGCCTTTTTCAGAAGGGACGTAGGGCACTTGTGCTAGGGATGGGCATTTGTAGGTCTGTGAGCTAAGGGATCCAACGGGTGGAAGCTCAAGTGGTACGGAAACTGAGGAGTGGAGCCCAACACGGATGGCATGTGGGAGCATGCATGCTTGTACATGACTGTGTGTGCCCATGTACACGTGTGTGAGCGGGTGTGCCTCTGGGTGCACTTGTCTGTGTGTGCATCATTGTTTACAGGGATTTCTTGTGCCTGTGCACATGGTGGGAGGGAGGCACAGGTGGTCAAACAAGGTTTGCCAGGGAAACTGCTACCTGAGCTGTAGCTAAGCTTGATTTAAACCTATCATAAAAGTATTAGGTGGCCTACTGTGTCACCCCTCAGCCACCATAATCCATCTCCACCTGTCCCAGGCCTCAGCACCCCATCTTCTACAGACACATCTTTTCTGTTGCAGCTAGCAAGGGGCCCGCTGGGTCCCCTGACCGCCTGTGCACGTGCAGTTGCTAAGCTTTCACAGGCCACATTTCAGTCAGGCACAGGCTAGAAGCTTACTTGTTATTTGTTTTATCACTCATAATCCAGAAACAATCTAGCTGCTAAACAGCACATGCTCATTTGGTAACTGAGGTTACCTGGGACCAACTGAGGCCTGGGGTCTAGGCTGGCTAGAAACTGCCAGCAATGGTGGGAACAGCTCTGATAGTGTGGGGCTTGCTTTCTCAGTAAAGAGGAAAACATCTGGGCACATGCCTGTCAGCCCAGGCCTGGATGCAGACAGACAGAGTCAGAAAGAGACAGAGACAGATACACAGGGAGAGAGGGCAAGAAGGAAAGTGAATTGGCATTAGTGAGTTTTTTGGATTTGGATCATGTGCTTTGCCTCTAGGTAAAAGTCCCTTACATGTTAGTGGTTAGGTGATAAATACTACAGGGGCTGAGAGACCACCCTTGGATTGAAGTCCCTTCTCAGCCAGGGGCCTCTCTCTAGTTGTGGGACCTGGCTGCACCTGTCTTCCCCCCATAAATGGGGATGTAAGAGCTGGGCTGTCCAGCTCCCTTGGCTGTTGGGAGGGCCAGATGCAATGCAGCCTGGAGAAGTGCTTTGGGAACTGCTGATCTCTGCCCAGATACAAGAGCATTTTATTGATTTTAAAGGAAATTGAGATTTTGGAAAAATAAGCATGAAGCCCAAAGAAGCAAATATTCACAACAGTAGCAATTAGCATCTATACCTGCAGTCTACACCCTGGCTCACCTGTGCCCAGGAGCGTGGCCCCTTATGCATCTTATATCTTCCAAGTAAATGAATCCTCAGGTACCATTTGCCTCAAACTTACTGTGTAGCCTGGAACCTCCTAAAGCAAGCTGGCTCCATTTTGAATTTCTGCCTTCAAAGTCCTTTAAAACCTCAGCAGTATTTCCCTTCTTCCAATGACAATTTAAAAGTCCCACCTGGGTGCGGTGGCTCACGCCTGTAATACCAGCACTTTGGGAGGCCCAGGTGGGTGGATCACCTGAGGTCGGGAGTTCGAGACCAGCCTGACCAACATGGAGAAACCCCGTCTCTACTAAAAATACAAAATTAGCTGGGCCTGGTGGCGCATGCCTGTAATCCCAGCTACTCGGGAGGCTGAGGCAGGAGAATCGCTTGAACCCGGGAGGTGGAGGTTGCGGTGAGCCAAGATCACACCATTGCACTCCAGCCTGGGCAACAAGAGTGAAACTCGGTCTCAGGAAAAAAAAAAAAAAAAAAAAAGGTCCTTTACATTGCTCAGAAGTCTGGAGGGAGGCAGCCATTCTGAGTGCTTATCCTATTGCCTATGCTGAATTTAGCACAATTATATACAAGATCGCTAACAAGCACGTGGCCTTCCTGCACCATTGCAAAGATCACATTGCTATCTCTATTTGAAAACATCTTATCACCCTTCAAACTGTTTATGTCTGATTGAAATGCTCCATGTGATTCTGCCTCTCTCTGTGTGTATATGCATGTATTTATGTGTGTGTTTATTACACACACAGACAGGCGGGAGAGGAAGAGATAGAGTTAGAGGTAGTTGTTCTGGTAGAAAGAATCATAATCCATCAGCAGGTAGAGCTCTCTTAGGCTGAAGCACTTTGGGAGTGTCTTTCAGGGTTCCACGCTTTTCTTCCACACCTTCCATCCATCCCCTATACTGGCATCAGAAGTGGTGAGGATGAAGCCTCATGCTCATAGGGAACCAGGCTAGGCTCCTGGTGGTGAGATTGGTGGATAAAAAGCCAAAGGTCAGGGTAGGGGAGTGATCTTCCCCCACCCCCAAACTGGCAGTCACAGATTCTGCCTTTTCTCTGCCCTTCCTCCAGGGAGTAGCACCCACACCCTTCCCTTTCCAATAGCCACTGGGAGACAGGCAGGAGGGAGGCTGATTGGCCCTTTTCCTTTATATCTCTGTGGCATATGTTCCACCTGGGACCCTTTCTCCCCCAGAGTCAGCATATATGAGTTGGATGTAAACATTTATATACAGGATTAGGCTTATTTTTAGAAATGTATTCTTAGAAAGGGATCAACTGTAAAGGACTATCACAGCCCTGCAGGGTTGAGGTCAATGGGTGAAGAGGCTCCCTAGCCCTTTCCTCTCCTTAATCGGGTTCCTTGAAGCAGAAGAAGACAGGAATGAAATGCAGAGAATAATAAGGGATGATAAGGCCAAAGGGTAAACAAAAAGAAGGAAGGCTTGACTTTCCATGGTCAGTAGCTTATCCCTATAAGGAGGTCCTGGGCAAGCCTGTCATCTGTGGGTTTCAGTTTGTCCATTTGTAACATGGGAGAGCTGGACTAGCTGGTCTCTAAGGATGGTTCTAGCTCTTAAATGCCTTGAATTGAAATATTGAGCAATTGGCAAGTGCCCAGGCCTCTGCTAGGCTATGCTGTTGGGGAAAAAAGGGACAAGGAGACAAAGCCTGTTCTCCTGTTGCTGGCAATCCAGTTAGGAGGCAAAAACAGACAATGGCCAGGAAAGCCATTGGTGCTAAACTGTGGGACTGCACCAGTGTAGTCAGACCATTAAGATGTATTAGTCAGTTCTCACACTATGGATAAAGACTTACCTGAGACTGGGTAACTTATGAAGAAAAAGAGGTTTAATGGATTCACAATTCCACATGGCTGGAGAGGCCTCACAATCATGGCAGAAGGCGAAGAGGGAGCAAAGGCATGTCTTACGTGGTGGCAGGCAAGAGAGTGTGTGCAGGGGAACTCCCCTTTATAAAACCATCAGCTCTCATGAGAGTTATTCACTATCACAAGGACAGGATTGGAGAAACCGCCCCCATGATTCAATCGTCTTCACCTGGTCCCTCCCACGACATGTGGGGATTATGGGAACAACAATTTAAGATGAGATTTGAGTGGGGACACAAAACCTAACCATATCGAAGGGTGTGCTTCGTGAGGTTAAACCTCATCAATTGCCCAGAAGAAGCTTAACTGGCTTGAGTAACAAGAGCAGTGGGAAGTTTCCCTGGGAGCTTTAGAATGAAAACAGAAGAGATATGGTGAATGGCCTAGACAACACTCATGTCAAAATTTAAATAGACCCATCTTTCCAAAAGAGCTGATCTCCTCATGCCCCAGGTCAACAACTTGAGTTGAAAGTAACCTTATGATCTAAGGTGAATGAAAATACAGGAGATGGCCTGATAGGCAGAAGGCAGGCAGCTAGACAGCCTAGAGAGTTCCCATTGGTCTCCCTTGGTAAAAGCCCTCTGTCTACCCCCTCAGTTTTTCCCCCAACCCCACCATCACATGTGCACAATAGCCCTACCAATTTCTTGATGCCTAGAACTTTTAAACGATAGAAAGATTTTCAGTCCATGGGGATATATTGTCTTAAAATAGTATTTCTCAAAGTGTGGTCACAGGGCTAGAATCATCATCATCTGGAGACTTGTTAGGAATGCCTACTCTCAGGCCCCACCCAAGACGTAATGAACCAGAAACTCTGGGGGCAGGTCCCAGCAATCTGTTTTTCACAAGCCTCTAAGAGATTCTAATGTATGAGAACCACTGACAAAGTATCTCTCCCTCAGAAGAGCCAAGATGATAACCAAAATATGGACTATAGTGTAAGAGGCTCTCAGACCTCTCCTGTGAGCATGGTGTTATGGAGGAGAAGTGTAGATACAGACATAAAGTACTGGGAAGGGATGGGGGCACTTCATAACAGCTTCTCAGGCCTGGATTTGGGAACCTACTTAGGTGACATTGAAACCACAAGGTCTTTGAGAGCATGAGCATGATCATAGGTCTCCATGAGCACACACTGTTATTCAGTTCCTAGGACATCCATTATCCTTTATTCTCCTCATATCCTTTATTCTCCACTGGGAGATGGGAATCATTTGACCCAATTTGCAGGAAACAGGCCCTGTCCTATGCTACCATGAGGGCTAAGTTTTGAGGGACTCTGTAGATGGAGAAGAAACCAACTGGCATAATCTACCTCCTGCCCACAATTGAGTCTTCATTGACATAACCATGACTGCAAGCATACACTCCATATCTGCTGTCTCCCTCTCCTAGAGTGTTCCCTAGGGCTTTGCAACCAGTCCCTGGCCCAAGGATGGTAAATACAAGGCACAGGTACTGCCATTCTCCCATCCCCTACCTATGTCAGATATCACTAATCAATCACAGTCTCCCCCTGAGCTTTGCCAGGACCTCAGAATCCTTTCAAGCTCAGTAGTCCCAGAAGTGGCCCAAGGAGTGACTTATTGAATGAATGAATGACTCAAAACTGTACCTCTGAGCTTCCCTATTCCAATCTTTGGGAAATGCCTGATTCTTGACAGTATGTCTGTGAGGCAAATACTTCAGATTTCCGGTAGTATAATCTCTAATATTCAGGATTTAAGTTGGATTTAAGTTGGCATATATGCACCAATTAAATAGAGAGCTGCCAAATACTGCCACAGGGTCTGCATGCAGTCATCTCACTGCCAATTCCTTCAGGAGATAATAACGTATGCATATTTTATGGACTCAAATAAGAGATTCACTTATTTCTGTAATGAGATTCCATTACAGCTGGTTTGCAGAAGCCCCCATAAAGTCAGGGAAATGCACCATAGAAAATAAACTCCAGAAATTTCCAGGCTTGGCATATCTATGTATGTACATTTGGGGTTGGGTATGGCAAGAGGGTCATACATGTGGACTAAAACGAAGGTTGATAAATGAGGGAGGGAGAATGTATTTAACCCCATTAACTTCATTCAGGTTTTTCTTAATGTCATATATATTGTCTTAATTCTGTAACTGCTGGTGGAAGATAGGGCCATAAACCATTCTGAGTACCAGGGAAAAGTCAGGCTTCAGTAAAAAAAATTGCCTGCAGAATATAGGGATGGCTTTAAAGAAACAGAAAAGTGTGATTCATAAACAGGAAAAAACAAGCAGTAGAAATTGTTTTTAAAGGAACTTAGATGTTAGACATAGACATAATCTTCAAAGTAGCTATTAGAAATATGTCCAAATAACTAAAGGAAGCCATATTTAAAATGTTAAAAGAAAGTGTGAAAATTACCTGACAAATTAAGGATCTCAGTAAGGGCAAACAAATTAACAAGAAAAACTAAATGTAAATTCTTACTTTGAAGTACAATAACTGAAATAAATTCACTAGAGGATCTCAATAGCAGATTTCAGACAGCAGAAGAAAGAATTTGAAAATAGATCAATATTATCCAATTTTAAGAACAGAAAAACAAAAGATTGAAGAAAAATAGAGTCTCAGAGATTTCTGTGTCATATTGGAGTTCCAGAAGGAGAGGAGAGAGAAAAGAGCAGAAAAATTATTGAAGAAATAATGACCAAAAATTTCCAAAATTTGATGAAAACCATTAATGTGAGCACAAAAGAAGCTCAATAAACCCTAAGTAGAATTATATTCTCTAATAACAAATTATCCAAAAAAGAAATTAAGAAAACAATCCAATTTACAAATTAATATCAAAAAATGAAATACTTAGGAATAAACTTCAGCAAGGAGATGAGAGATTTCTAGACTAAAAACCACAAAATATAGATGAAAGATATTAAAGCAGACACAAATAAATAAAAAGACATCCTATGTTCATGAATTAGAATAATTAATATTGTTAAAATGTCCATACTATGCAAAGTGATCTACAGGTTCAATGCTTTATCAAAATCCCTGGAGGATTTCTTACAGAGATAGAGAAAATATTTCTAAAATTCATATGGAAGCATGAAAAGCCCCAAATAGCCAAAAAAATCTTGAAAAAAAGGAACAAAGCTAAAGGCATCACACTTCTTGATTTCAAAGTATACTACAAAGCTACTGTAATTAAAACAGTATGGTGCCATTGGAAAGCCAGACATATTGACCAATGGAACAAAAAAGAGAGCCTAGAAATAAATACACACGTATATGGTAAACTAATTTTTGACAAGGTTGCCAAGAATACAGAATGGGGAAAGGATAGTCTCTTCAACAAATGGTGATGCGAAAACTGGATATCCACATATATAAGAAGAAAATTGGACCCTATCTTACACTATATACAAAAATCAACTCAAAATGGATTAAATACTTAAGCATAAGACCTGAACTGTAAAACTCCTGGAAGAAATATAGGGGAAAAGCTTCATGACATCAGTCTTGGCAATGGCTTCATGGATATGACACCAAAGCCTAGGGAACAAAAGCAAAAAAGAAAAATGGAACTACACCAAACTGAAAGGCTTCTGGTCAGCAAAGGAAACAACGGAATGAAAAGACAACCTATCTAACAGGAGAAAATATTTGCATATATCATAAACCATATATCAGATAAGGAGTACATTTCCAAAATATATATGGAATGCCTACAATTCTATAGCAAAAAAATCTAACAACCTGGTTAAAAGATGGGCTAAAGACTTAAATAGACCATAAAATGTACAAATGGCCAACAGGTATATAAAAAGATGTTCAGCATTACTAATCATCAGGGAAATGAAAATCAAAATGTGTTAGACATTACTTCACACCTGTTTAGGATGGTTATTATTAAAAAAAAGACAGCAAATGTTGCCAAGGATGTAGAAAAATTGGAACCTTTGTAGAATGTTGTTAGGCTTGCACAATGGTGCAGCCACTATGGAAAAAAGTATGGAGGTTCATCAAAAACTAGAACTACCATATGATGCAGCAAACCCACTTCTGTGTATTTATGCAAGGGAATTAAAATCAGGACCTTGAAAACATATTACCAATCCCATGTTCATTGCAACACTATTCACAATAGCCAAGATGAGAAAACCACTTAAATGTCTATTAACGAATAAATGGCGTTAAAATGTTATACACACACACACACACACAAAAAAAAAAAAAAAAAAAATGGAATGTTATTCAGCTTTACAGAAAGAAGGAAATCCTGCAACATGTGACATCATGGATAAACCGTGAGGACATTATGCTCAGTAAAATAAGCAAACAAGGACAAACTGCATGATTTCACTTATATGAAGTATCTAAAATAGTCAAACTCATAGAAGCAAAGAATAGAATGGTGGTTTTCAAGGGCTGGAGAAAGGGGGAAATGGGTAATTGCTAATCAACATGTATAAAATTTCAATCATGCAAGATTACGAAGTTCTAGATATTTGTTGTATGTACAACACTATGACAATAGAGAAAAATATTAGATTGTACTTTTAAAAACCTGTTAAGGGGGTAGGTCTTGTGTTAAAGTGCTCTTAACAAAATGTTTAAAAAAGAAATACATGCATATACATGTATAATTACATTAATAACAAACAAAATAGACTTTAAGACAGAAAATATTACCAGAGACAAAGTGAAACATTTCATAATGATAAAAAGGTCAATACATCAGAAAGATATGACAATTATAAGCAAATATGCACCCAACAACAAAGCTCAAAATTACATGAAATAAATTTTGAGAGAATCGAGAAAAGAAATAGATAATTTTACAATAGCAGCTGTAGATTTTCAACACCACAAACTCAATAATTGATGAACAACTAGACAGAAAATCAGCAAGAATATAGAAGATATGCAGAACGTTATCAACCAAGTTGACCTTGTATTTATATATACAAACACTCTACCTAAGGACTACAGGATACATAGTCTTTTCAAGCCCACAAGAAAATTCTCCATACCATATGTTGGGCCACAAAAGAAAACTCAGTACATTAGGATAAAAGACTACACATTGGGTACAGTGTTCACTGCTCAGGTGATGGGTGCACCAAAATCTCAGGAATCACCACTAGAGAACCTATCCATGTAACCAAAAACTGCCTGTTCCCCAAAAACTATTGAAATAAAATAAAATAAAAAAGAAATATTGAAATCATACAATGTATATTTTCTGACCACTGCAGAATTCAACTTTGAGATATACAACACCCTGGGAAAACCCACAAATATTTTGAAATTAAACAGAAAACTCTTAAATAACTCACGAATCAAAGAATTAATCACAGGGGAAACTTTTAAAAAATCGTGTTAAATGAAAATGAAAATATAACCTAGAATTAATGGAATACTCCAAAAGCAGTGCTTAGAGGGAAATTTATTACCATAGATGCCTATATCAAAAAAAGCAGAAATTTCCCAAATTAACAACCTAAGCTTCCATTTCAAGGAAAGAGGGTAAACTATGAGTAAATTCAAAGCAAACAAAAGGAAATAATGAAGATTAGAACAGAAATCAATGAAATGGAGAAATAAAAACAAGAGAGAAAAATAAATGAAAACAAAAATTGATTCTTTTAAGAGATCAACAAAGCAGATAAGCTTAAATTAGAATAAGAAAATAGGAGAGAATACCCATACCATACAATTCATACAGAAATACAAAAACCCAGGATAGACAAAACAATTTTGAAAAGAAAGAGCAAAGTTGAAGGGCTTACATTATCTGATTTCAAAGATTAACTACAAGTGGATCATAGACCTAAATAACTATAACTGTGAAACTTTTAAAAGAAAACAGGAGAGAAACTATATGACCTTGGGTTAGGCAGAGTTCCTACATGCAACACCAAAAATAAAAGCTTTAAAAAGAAAAGTAAATAAATTGAACTTCATCAAATTTGAAAGTTCTACTCTTCAAAAGACACTGTTAGGAGAAGCAAAAACAAGCCATAAACTGGAAGAATGTATTTGCATATCATATCTCTAAAAAGAGATTTGAACCTAAAATATAAAAAGAACTCTTACAAGTCCCTTTTCTCATCTTTCATTTCTTCTTTTAGATTGATTTTTAAGAATTATTCCATTCTTCCTCTCTCCGCTACCCTGGTTAGTTGGTAGTACGTTGGTGCAAAAGTAATCATGGTTTTTATCATAAAAAATAATGGCAAAACCCATGATTACTTTTGCACCAACCTAATACTTATATGCATATATTTTCACTAGTGGTTAACTTAGAGAAGGGTTTCTCAAATATTTTCATCTCTGGACCCCATTTACATCCTTATGGGCATTATATCTATTGACACTTAATATATCCAAGAGTAAAGCTGAAACAATTTAAAATATTGCAAAAATTTTCTCCCATTCTGTAGGTTGCCTGTTCACTCTGATGGTAGTTTCTTTTGCTGTGCAGAAGCTCTTTAGTTTAATTAGATCCCATTTGTCAATTTTGGCTTTTGTTGCCATTGCTTTTGGTGTTTTAGACATGAAGTCCTTGCAATCTACTCATCTGACAAAGGGTTAATATCCAGAATCTACAAATAACTCAAACAAATTTACAAGAAAAAAACAAACAACCCCATCAAAAAGTGGGGGAAGGATATGAACAGACACTTCTCAAAAGAAGACATTTATGGAGCCAAAAGACACATGAAAAAATGCTGATCATCACTGGCCATCAGAGAAATGCAAATCAAAACCACAATGAGATACCATCTCACACCAGTTAGAATGGCGATCATTAAAAAGTCAGGAAACAACAGGTGCTGGAGAGGATGTGGAGAAATAGGGACACTTTTACACTATTGGTGGGACTGTAAACTAGTTCAACCATTGTGGAAGTCAGTGTGGCGATTCCTCAGGGATCTAGAACTAGAAATACCATTTGACCCAGCCATCCCATTACTGGGTATATACCCAAAGGATTATAAATCATGCTGCTATAAAGACACATGCACACGTATGTTTATTGCGGCACTATTCACAATAGCAAAGACTTGGAACCAACCCAAATGTCCAACAACGATAGACTGGATTAAGAAAATGTGGCACATATTATACACCATGGAATACTATGCAGCCATGAAAAATGATGAGTTCATGTCCTTTGTAGGGACATGGATGAAATTGGAAATCATCATTCTCAGTAAACTATCGCAAGAACAAAAAACCAAACACCGCATATTCTCACTCATAGGTGGGAATTGAACAATGAGAACACATGGACACAGGAAGGGGAACATCACACTCTGGGGACTGTTGTGGGGTGGGGGGAGGGGGGAGGGATAGCATTGGGAGATATACCTAATGCTAGATGACGAGTTAGTGGGTGCAGCGCACCAGCATGTCACATGTATACATATGTAACTAACCTGCACAATGTGCACATGTACCCTAAAACTTAAAGTGTAATAATAAAAAAAAAGAAAAAGAAAATGTGGCACGTATACACCGTGGAATACTATGCAGCCATAAAAAGGGATGAGTTCATGTCCTTTGTAGGGACATGGATGAAGCCGGAAACCATCATTGTCAGCAAACTATCGCAAGGACAAAAAACCAAACACCGCATGTTCTCACTCATAGGTGGGAATTGAACAATGAGAACAGTTGGACCCAGGAAGGGGAACATCACACACCGGGCCTGTTGTGGGGTGGGGCAAGGGGGGAGGGATAGCATTAGGAGATATACCTAATGTAAATGACGAGTTAATGGGTGCAGCACACCAACATGGCACATGTGTACATATGTAACAAACCTGCATGTTGTGCACATGTACCCTAGAACTCAAAGTATAATAAATATATATATATATTTAGAAAAACAAAAAAATTTATCAATTCATTTACAAATAATAAATCTGTTTGTGATGGTTACTTTTATGTGTCAACTTGACTGGGGCACAAGGTGCCCAGATATTTGGTCAAACATTCTGAGTGTTTCTGTGGGGGTGTTTCTCGATGAGATTAACATTTAAATCAGTAGACTGAGCAAAGTAGGTTACCTTTCCCAATGTTAGTGGGCCTCATCTAATCAGATGAAAGCCTGAATAGAACAAAAAGGCTCAGTAAGAGGGAACTCCTGCTGCCCAAAAACCTTCTAACTAGGACATGAGCTTTTTCCTGCCTTTAGACTGAAACTGAAGCATTGGTTCTTCCTGGATCTTGAGCCTACCAGACTTCAAACTGGAACTACACCATTGATTCTCCTGGTTTTCAGGCCTTTGAACTCTGGCTTGAACTGCACCATTGGCTTTCTTGGGTTTCCAGCTTGCTGACTCACCCTGCAGATCTTGGGACTTGTCAGCCTCCATAATTGCATAAACCAATTCCTTATAAAAAAAAATCTCGATCTCTCTCTCTCTCTCTCTTTCTGTGTGTGTGTGTGTGTGTGTGTGTGTGTGTGTGTGTGTGTGTGTGTGTGTGAGGCCCAGAGGGAATGCAATGTATATACATATATACACACATACACATCCTATTGGTTTTGTTTATCTAGAGAACCCTGGCTAATACACAATTATGTGTCAAGATAGGTAACATTTTTTATGAAAAATAATTATATTCTTCTAAACAAAAAATGTAGTGAGGAGATTCACATTGTTTTACATTTTTGCAAAATTCTTCAACGTTTGGCTTCATAGAAAACAGCTGGATTTTTGTATCTGCTCCTTCATTCAATCTATTGTGATATTACATGTCATGTAGCCTCTAGAAAGCTCCACGGTATACTTGTGAGAGGAGAGTTCAAAAGGCAACTAACATCTCAGTGTAATTATGAAAATAGTTTTTATCTTTCAGACCCATTGAAAGTTCTCGAGGAAGGACCTCAGGGATCCTTAGACAGCATTTGAGAACTACTGCCCTAGAGATTACAGTCATCCTTGATTTCTCAAGGTCTAATGTTAATTTCTTTCCCAGGCAATGAGAAGACCTAAAATGCCTCAATTCTACGTCCCCTCTTCCCACTTACATGCTTTTGTGCTAGTGTATTTTAATTTTATCCATACTTTAAGACCCCCCACAATATATCATTCTTATTATTTTATAGTCTGTGTTCATATTCATTTGTTCATAAATTTACACCTTTATCCTGCTTTTCTAGTTGTTTTTATTGAGAGGAATGACCCAAATTACCTAGTCCACCATTATCAGAAATAGAAATCAATAAAGTTTTTGGTTTATTCATCCTTCAACCTGAAATGCTGTTTCCTACATTTACTATTTGTCAAAGTTATATCCTTTCAAGTCTTTTTATTCATTCTATATTAAAGAGAGATCTTTTTAGTGCCAGGCATTGTTCCAGAGCAGAACTGTTCAATGGAATTTTCTGAGATCATGGACATGACTTATATCTGCACTGTTCAACATGGTAGTCAACAAACAGCTCTTGGGCACTTGAAATGTGGCTAGAGCAACTGAGGAACTAAATGTTTAACTTTATTTAATTTTAATTAATTTAAGCTTAAATGGTCACATGTGACTAGTAGCCACTGTGTTGGGCAGCACAGTTTTAGACAATAGGTTGTGAGAATGGGCAAAATTGGCAAAAATTCTTGTTCTCATGGAAAATACTCTAATATTGCTCCCCAGGCCCTTGCCTGTACAGTATAGAGACTCAGTAAGTGTGGGTAAACTATTAGTAAATTGAATGTGTTAAATAGGTGCAGACTGCCAGAGGAAGTTTGATGGGGAGTGTTTGAATTATACACCCAGGAATATTGGGTAGAGCAGAGGAAAGAATGTGAGCCTTTGAAATTAAAGAGTCTGGGTTAGAATCCAGCCTCTGGCCACTTGCTAGCATTGTGACGACTTTGGGCCGGTTGCTGAACTTCTGTGAACTTTAGTTATTGCATTTGGGAAATGGGTTAATGATAACTGCCTTGCAAAATAAGTGTGAGAACTAAATACCAGGGTGCATGAAATGTAGGGCTGGATACTCCAAAGGGACTCAATGCCTATTCCTCTTCCCCTCCCCCAAGCCCATGCTGTTACTTATGGCCTCTGTTGTTAGCTGGTGGGCCTTCTGTTGTACTTAAATCTCTATCTGCTCCCCCACACTCCCCACTAGCCTGCCACCAGAGTATGGACAAGGCACACATGCTTTCCCTCTTCCAGCCCACATCTTGGTGCCCAGGTCTGACACTGCCAACAGCAGACATTCAGAGGCTAAAAACAAACTTTCCTCAGCCATCTGCCTCCTAGAAAGGAGGACTGGGTGCTTTATCTTTTATGCATACTTGTGTTATGCACTTATTGGGTGTGAGGTTTGGAGCTCCCACAGAAGGGAGGGCACAGCCGCTGACATGAAGGAATTTCAAACCAGCAGGGAGGTCGCCACATCACAGTATGGTGTGTGGCAGCCACTGCCCAGGATTCCCTAACCTGGAAGTGCCTCAGAAGAAAGAATCTGGGTTTGTTTCACTTCCTGCTGGATCCCCAGTGCAACACTTGGCAAAGGCAGGCAGGAGCTGGGGCTGTCCAACCTCGTTCCTATGTGGGAATGCACCTCAAAGATCAAGAAGCAGGGCTCTGGCAAGATCAAGGTTGTAGGAGGCCATTCCCAGCCTCCTCCTGCTCTTCAGCCCACTCCATGAGCAGTGCCTCTGGCAGCTATTGCCTCCGGCAGCTGTTGCCTCCACCACGCCCTTCTTCCACATTCAGCTGAAGGGCTTCCCCCTGGGAGCAAGACATACATACCCAGCCGTGGGCGTGGGGGCACATATAACAGTCTGGACACCAATAAGCCAGATCCAGAGGGCTTTATGATCCTTTCATATGTGTTCTTTCAGTCTCATAGCCATTCTGCCAGGCAGAGGATATTAAACCTCCACATGAGGAAACTGAGGTTAAGCAAGGCTAAGCCCCTCACTCCAGATCACAGGGCTAGAAAGTGGTGGTGGAGGACTGGAATTTGAACACATGTTTGGCTGAGTCCTGAATAGTGCCTCAGTCATGGACTCCCATGGGACCACTTCCTTCCAATTTGCCGGGGTAGCTAAAGCCCCTGGGAGGACCCAGCAAGTGCCAACCAAATAGGCAAACATCTTGGTGATGCCTAAGGGAGGGAAGATGCAGCAAGCTAGGTGGAAAGGTCTGAGAGCACCTAGCATCCATTTCTTCTTAGGTCAACACTGGTCACCAGAATTAGCCTTCCAGTTGCTTCGTCACATGGAGGCTAAATAACTTTATGGCTCTCTTCTCCAGCTGAAGAATGAGGATGGGGCAGATCTAGCTGCGGTGTCCTGAGTGACTGCCTTGTCCAGGACAGGGCCCTCTCCCAGGCAAGGATATCCTGGGAGAGCAGAACTTCCTGTGTGATGAACCCTTTTCCCTCTCCAGAGACAGCCAGGCCCCAAAGCCTGAGAGTGCACAGGGCATGCACGAGAAGCACCTGGGGCTTTGGATTGAGGGCAAAGATTCCATGGGAGGCTCCTCTCTCTCCCTGTCTCTGGTCCCAGCTTCCTTGTGCTTCCTCACTGTTCAGTGCAAACCTTAATTGAAATCAAGTTCTCTTCTTTTTATCAAGTGATGGAGCAACCTGGCTTTTCAGCCACTCATTTGATTTGTACTGTAAATGTTTGTTTTAATGAGACCTGATGTGAAGTTGGAATTGATAAGGATGTAAGCTGACATTTGATTTATAAGGGCAGGGAGCAGGACACACTTGAAAAATAACTAATTGAGGCTACCAGGGACTGCTGGCTTGGTGTCTTGGCCTAGCTGCTGCGAGGCAGAGGTCAGACTAGCTCACGTGTAGTCCAAAGCCACTGAACAAGGGGCTATTTCTTGACAAGTGCCTGACACATTGCACTTCCACGAGGCTTCCCCCCTTCCAGCTGTGGAACAAGGAGTCTATTTGCACAGGAATTCAGCAAGCTGTGGGCCATTTCCACTGTCTCGTGTCTCCTCACAGAAGGTCTGTAGCATGGGCAAATGGGGATTTCTCTCAACAGGACAAAGCATTTCTTTGCCATCCTTGACTGTAATCAATCAAAGGGAAACAGGAAACTATTGTAAAGTGACAAATATCAATTTATGGATGTGGTATTGGTTTTGGAGATCAGACTCTCCCACTTCCTGACTTGGGGTTGTTCTGCACGTGGGTTGGTTTGCACTTCAGTGGCACCTGTTGATAGCTCAAAGTGTGTCTTGCCCATCTCTGATTTTGCAAACATCACCTCTGCTGTGTGGACACTGAGCTGGCCGGGCCAGAAACCCGATATGATGCCAAATCCTTTTCACTTTTTGAGAGTCAGTGAAATCACTTTCCCAAAATGTAACTGTTACCTCTCTTGTCCCCATGTCGCTTCACATAACAACTTAGTATCTTTCATTGACCTAGACAAATGGCCTCAGGCATCTTAGGAGCTCTCTCTTGCCCTGGGCTGGGTGGGGAAGTGAATTCAGGTGGTGGCTTATGAACTTTCCTGACTTTTAACCCCAAGTCGGACCCCAACCCTCCCCTTGGGTTGTCTATGAGTGGCCAGGAGAGGTAACAAGGCTCAGGTGTGCTCTTTGCTGTGTGATTCTCAGGAAGGTAGAGGCAGAGAATCAGGGTGAAACCAAAACCAGCCCCACCTGGGGCAGGAAGCAGGGGCCCACCACATATGCGTGGGCACCAGGGCCAACCAGGAGAACCAAATATGCGCCTTTAACACAGAGGGGAAAACCAAGAGGGCAACTCAGTGTCATTCAGTGCCAGTGGGAATTGGAAGGAGGAGAAGGTGACATAAACAGAGTGCCCCAGCTGATTTAGGTGTTAAATGTGGCAAACAGAGACATGGTCACTGAGATTTTCTTTTGCTTTTTTCTTCTACTTAAAATGCCAAAGAGATTATAAAAATGTGAAAAACAGGCAAACATAGTCAAGAACTAGTGTGCTTTATTTTGTCTAAGAAATGTATGTTCTCTTTTAGGTATTCATCCCCAGGGTCCACCAAGGTTTGTTACATTACATTGGTGGAGATTGTGGAACTGATTTGCACGGGACCTTCATGGCTGGGAGACAGAGTGATGCCACCTCTGGAGCCACCCATATTTCTGGGTGTCCCAGTGGCATGTTCTTTTGGGAGGACAGGTTTAGGGGATGAGAGGCCATATGTATGTGAGTAGTGCTAGAATTTTCCAGAGGAAATAAGAATACCTCTCAAATTATTAGAATATTTGACTCCACAATCATTTTTCTCCATTTTCAATATCAACTTTGACAAGGAAGATTTGCTTATACTCTCACATAACTCAGCCTCAGTAAATTAGAACTGTCAAATTGACTGTCGCAGCACTATGCAGTTTGCTGTATTTTTGACACCTGTTCTGTGACAGGGAGGGGACTGTTGTGTGTAAATAGCTGGAAACACCAGTTATTAAGCAATAGATCAGTGCTGTCTTCTAGGTGGCATTTGGCTTTGTGGGTGGTGGGTTTCTTGAGGGTGCACAGGCTGGATCCTGGATTCTCCCTACTCGCCCTTACTGCCAGCCCCACCACCATCATCTCAGAGAACCCTCATGATCTCTTGTCTCTCCGCCTGCTCCAGCCTCCTCACTGGTTTCCTTCTGTCCAGACAGGCACTCTGAGAGCAAGGTTCCTTGAGCCCACATCTGACTGTAATTTCCCTGCCTAGAACCCTTCCATTGCTTCCCACTGTTGATGGGATAAAGGCCCAACCTCCCTGATCCAGTTCCCACCCACCCACCAGTCAGGACACACCCCCTACTTCCTCTATGCTAACTGCTGCAGGCACTGCCCTTGGCCACAGTCACTTACAGGGCTCATCCAACTGAGCACCCCTGTCACATGCACCCCAAGGGGTCACAAGAACCATGACCCTTCTCCATCTTGTTCTCCAGGGAGGGGACTCAATCTGATTCCAACAGGCCAGGAGCAAAGCTGGATGTCCTTGTCAGCTCAGAATTGTCCCTATATTTGTCATTACAATTCTGATCAGAGCCAAGTTAATTCCTTTCTCTGTGTCCCTGTTTCCTCATCTGTGGAATCAGAATACAGTAATAGTGTTTACTTATAGAGGTTGTTGCCCTCTCCTCTTCCTGGACTGTTTGGGTGGATAATTGCTAAGGCTCAGGGATTTTTTTTCCATTTACTTTATACTACATTTTTGTTAATTCAGCTTCTGCCTGTGCATGCAGTCAGAACTTCTTGTGTCACTGCAAATCTTTTTGATTCATCACACGCTGAACTGGATACTTTGTCATTTCACTACAGTCCCTTAGCAAGAGAACTGGGTTTTTCCCACAACCCAGCAACTACTGGGGCCCTGGAAGGCCCATGGAAGGCCCTTTCTTCAAGATGTATATGGTGGTCTGCTCCTTGGGGGATGTGGCTGGGGCATCTAAGACTGAGGACAGTGCAGGCACATGTGTGACCAAGGCTTGCTCCCCTCCCCTTCCTGGCCCTCTGGTGCCCTTGAGAGAGACTCATTTGGAAGACACTGGACTGAGCTCATGAGACAGACACAGCCTTCTTGGTATAACCCTCCAAAGCCAGGCTCAAGGTAAACTGCTGTTGGGTCTGTGGGATTTGGATCACTCTCTCCAATCTCTAATCTTACCTTCTCTGCTGCCCACAGAGCATTCCTCCCCCTGCCGCTTGCTCTGCCCTCCTCTGGGGTGCCTGCTGCCTTGTATTATTTCCCTTGGTCCAGTGGTGCTGAGCCAGCTCGGGTGGAAACTGCTGGCTTCCTGGGGGACACAGCATTGGAAATGGGGAGCCAGGGAACTCCAGGGGAAACTGCATTGGTGGAATATGTGTATGCAATAATACACACGCAAAAACATGCACAGAGGTGCACACACATGCTCATACACACAAACACACGCATGCAATCAGACACATGCCCACACGTGCACATACCCTCACGCCCATTCACTTTTACACTTGCACACATGCACATACACACATATGTACACAGGCACATGTGCTCACACCCCCAGCCAGCCTCATCTTTGCATTTCTGTGCTTTTGTGAGCTGGCAGCTGCTGCTCCCCTTATCCTCCAATCGAACATCCCCTGCCGTAGCACCCCAGCCCAGCTCCTCCAGTCTACGGGAGCTAATGGTTTCTTCTACCTCTTTGCAGGCCCAATCCCAAAGGGTCTGGCCTTGGGCGTGATTTATCTCTGCTTTCTTTGAGCATTGATATTGTTCTACCTCTGCCATCAAGCTGAGCCCCACTGGGCAGAATCAGGGAACTGCCTGAATGGTCTGATATCATCTCATAGCCTCACCAGTAACCTGGCCTTGTTGTTTCACCATTTGGTGCCACCTTTGAGCCTGAGTCGGGGGTGGCACTGCTCCCTAGGCAGTTGGCTGGAAATGGCAGGCTGCTCCTACACTCACTCCTGCCTACTGAAGGAAGCCAAAAAGAGAAACAGTTCAGCAATTCCTAAGCCATTGTGTCATTCTTGCAAATGTAGTCACCATGCCCATTTGAGCCCCCGACTCTTGGTCTTTTCCTTTTTGTAGTCTGGAAAAATATTTTGGTTTCCAAGCAAAACATTTTTCTTACTGCTGTCTTTGTGAAGCACATACAGGGTTGGTTTTTTTGTTTGTTTGTTTTGTTTTGTTTTGATTAGTTTGTAGTTTGTTCTAGCTTTTTTTTTTCTTTTTCTTTCTTTCTTTCTTTTTTTTTTTTTTTTTTTTTTGCAACTTCATGGCAACATCCAACACCCTTAACTTTTCTGGGGCTTTGGGAGAGATGTCACTGGTGGCCTGGGAGTCATGAGAAGGACTGAGTCTGAATTCAGACTCTGCCATGTGCCATATGATCTCAGGCAAGCCAGTGAATGGACAGTACCCACCTTCAAGGCTCCTGGAGGATCGAGCCACAGAATTTGGATGAAATCATGTTGCAAAACAGCAGTCACGACTCAGTTTTGGGTTGTCATTATCACTTATAATAATGCTTACTTGAGGTGAAGTGACTGTGTTTGGGGTCTGGCCCTTTGGGTCCCATCAAGATTAGCCTTCTGCTATCCTCATGCAGAGAGGGTACATTTTTGGTTAGGGAGGCAAGTCATCCTGGTCTGTTGTCTCATTTGTGTGGCTGCTCAGAAACCCTGACCTGGCTCAGGTAAACACTCTTGATGTCCCAAATTTGAGATTGTTTTTGCAGGGAGCAGTGAGAAGCTGAGTCCCACTTTCATGGGTGCCTATCTGGTTCCAGTCCACATAGTTCTATGCTGGCCCAGGTTCCTAAGAGCCAAGCCTTTGCCATGAGCTTTTATATTCCATGGGATCCTATGCTAGTTGTCCCTAATCCCCTCTGAACCCATAAGGAGCACTAATCTCAGGCCCAGCCCCCACAAAGGGGCCCTGCTCCCATTCCTTGCCTGGCTTGGCCTGAAGTCCAGTTTGTCATATGACTCGATGGCTATACATTTCTCATTTATTCTTATTTCTTTCAAAAAAAAAAAAAACCAATGAGTGATTTCAGATGCCTTTTAAAAGAGAAGGTAAAAGGAGAATTGGATTGCACTTTATTATAAATTTGAGAGGCACTTTGACATTTATTCCAGAAAATTCCTTTTGATGTTTAATACCCACCGTATGGCTGTCATAACAAAGAGGTTGCATTAATTTGCTAGGGCTGCTGTAGCAAAGTATCACAAAATGGGTGGCTTAAGCAACAGACATGTATTGTCTTTTATAGTTCTGGAAGCTGGAAGTCTGAGATTGAGGTGTCAGCAGGGTGAGTTTCTTAAGAGGGCTATGAAGGAAGGATGTGTTCCAGGCCTCTCTCCTTGGCTTTTAGATGGCCGTCTTCTCCATGTTTGTCTTCATATCATCTTCCCTCTGTGTTTGCCTGCGTCCGAATTTCCTCTTTCTATAAGGACACCAGTCATATTGGATTAGGGCCCACCCTAATGCCCTCAGTTTAATTTGATTACCTCTGTAGAGACCATATTTTCAAATAAGGTCACATTCTGAGATGCTGGGAGTTAGGACTTCACCATATCTTTTTGTTGGGGGAAGAGAGGCCACAATTCAACCCATAACAGTGGCTCTTAGAGCCTGGGCATCCTTAGCCTGAGTAAAGCTTCCCTCAGGTACAGAAGGCCCATTGCCTCCTCAGGGTCCCTGTGGTATTGGTTTAGCAGCCACTCCAGAAAAGGGAAAGACAACATTACTGCCCTCAAAGCCCAAGAGGAGGCCTGGGAGGTGGCTCTGAGGAAAGCACAGAAGTTCAACAACAGGCTGATGCCTGAGATGGTGGGGCTCCCTGTCTGTTCTTGGGGACCAGGAAGTGGCTCTGAGCAAGAACAATGGGCAGGAATTCAGTCCGTGGACAGTGCAGGAAAAGGCCAAAAACCAGCAGGAAGATGGGGGATACTGGATCAAACATGAAAATTCAAGAAAATCCAAATTGGGGGCACTGCTGTTTTTACCACACTGAGTTTCCCAAAGAACACAGAGCAAGTTTAAATGTAGTCCCCTTAGATGTGAAATGCAAAGCATTTGATGAAAAGCTCAGAACAGCCTGGTGACATTCCTGTGGTCTTGAGTCAAGGTGGATGGATTTGGTTTGAGTGAGAAGTAGTAAGATGCTCAATGCAGTGTCTACCTGCAGGGAAGCAGCTGGTGAAGTTTCTCATTGGTGGTGCTGCTCCCTCTGTAAGGCACACCTGATACCCAGCCTATTTTCTGTAGGAGAAGAAGTCATTCTCCATATCCTCCTAATGATACAGGGAAACTAGGAAATAAGCTCTCTGGGACTGACCCAGGCACAGCTAACCCTACTTTCTTTGAAAAATAATCACTTCTTTCTGTGACATGAGTTTACAGTGTTGCTAGAACATTATGCCCATGTAATAGGACCCAAACCGTGGAAGAAGCACATTGAAATGTGCTTCATATTTACTGCAACCAATTTGAAAATAAATTGAAAACGTCTCTCCTAAACTTGTTATATGGTAGTTGAGATAATGGCTTTTCTTTCTCTTAACCAATAACAACGCTGAGATCTTCTCCCTTGCAAGAACTTGGTCTAAATTCAGAAGATAGGCAGCCGCAATAATAGCTGAGTTCTCACATTGATGTTTCTTTTGTTTCTGTTGCTTTTTCCTCTGGGAGCAACTCATTCAGAAGCTCCCCTGGTTCTCTCGGGGTTGAGGCTGAATTCACTTCTGACCTATTCTGGCCATTTAACGTGGCATATGATGAGCACAGCCTACATGGCACTGCCAAACCAAACCAGCAAATACAGTCTTTCAGTGGGAAAGGGATGGCTCAAGATGGAGGATCTATAGGGCATCTTTGGCAAAGCACCAGCTTTAAATTGCCTTTGTATCTGGCAGAGACTGGAGTGGCCCTAACATCCTTCAAACCACAAACACATACTTGTGCACACTCCAGGGACAGACCCAGGCCACAACAGGTCTGTGGTAACAAAAGGTCCAACTCTCTGGCAGATGTGGACACTGGCTGCTTAATCTTATTAGCCAGGGAGATCTAGCTAAAGGCAAGTTTGGGCAGAGAAGCAACAGTCAGTGAGGTAGACAGGTATTTTTAAGGTAGTCCAGGTGCTTTAGAGATTGCAGCATGAAGCTGTAAGAAATATGCTACTCTCCCAACATCTAGTACTATTTGCTAGCTGACATTGACATTGACCAGAGGCTGCGTTTTAGGCACAGTCCGTTGGTACCTTCTTGTCATCATCAGCATATGATGATGGTGGTTTCTCAACTCAGGGTCTTGTTTGGCAACTCGTTTTCAACATAGGCACTTCTCTTTTTCAGGTAGGCACTATCACAGCCTGGCCAATCTTGTGACAGACAAACAAGTCCCCTGCTAGGAGACACATGAACTTGTGAGTCAGTTCACTAACACTTAGCCTATGGGGAATGAACTCTGGCAGACACCCACCCAGCTGGAGTCAACATTCTGTTTAAGTGGACTAAGCTCATTTGATGGGGCTTTGCTGTGATGGAACACGTATGTTTTGAATGTGGTTTGATTTAAATTGAAATCTAATTTGTAATGTCTCAGGGGGTAAGCCTTTCAAGACTAAGGAGAGAAACAAGGTGGTTCATTCTGTGTGAGGGATGGGATTCCTGCTCTGAGTGTTTCAGATTTTGGTGAGTTGTTTGTTTGTTGAAGGTGGCCTGCCTCTGGATGGTTGTTTTGTTTTGTTTTCACCTATTTTCCAAAGCAGATTGGGGAGAGACTGCTTTTGACTAAAAATATTTCTAAGAGCAAATTGCTTTTGCCAGCAGTTTATGTCCTGCCTCCACCTGGTTGCCGTGACAGCAGCTGGTATTCTTGAAGGGACATTCAGGTATTGGGTATCAAGAGATGGAAGGGAGCACTAGCAAGAAAAAATATCAAGTACTTTGTCTCAATTGTCACATTATTTTACTTCAGAAAATACAAATAAATTAATCTAACAGGCCATTGGGTTCAGATAGAAGAAACTGTACCTGCAGTAAGGACACAAGAGCTCCAGGACTGAAAGGGCTCCCTGTTGGTGAGGCTACTTGCTCCTGCTGGAGAAGCAAGGGCCTCTGCAGTCCCTGGGTCTTCCCTCCATGCCCTAGGAACAGCAATGGGCAAATCCTTCAACTTTAAGATCTGAGAAATGGCTGATTCCATGAGAGGATTTGCCTGTGCCAAAAGGGAGCTGCAGGTGGATAGCACCGGGCATTGGGGTGCCCTAGACTGGGCTTCAGAATCATCTGGAGCATCCACAAGAAAAGCAATAAAGAAGGGTTGGAATTCATTGTTAGAATCTTCCCCTACCCTGTGTGTTTGGCTTAAACCATCTGCATGTCCACTGGGGAGTGACTTCCAGCCAGGAGGCAGCATCTCCAAGATCCATTATCTCTGCTTTGCTTCAGGACAAGAATGTCCTCACCGACCAGGCTAAAGATCTGTACTGCCCAGTTCTGTACGCCACAAGTCCTGTAATGTCTGCCTCCCACAACTGAGGGCTGGAGAACAAATTAACCACCAAAACCCCCCACACCTATTGCAATAAGGGCCTTGGATACTTATGGTTAATATAAAATATGTTTAGTTATCCATTTACATTTTGTTTGCTTGAAGTCTTGCACTAACTCATATGATGGTGGGAGTTGAGTCAAGGGGACTTCAGTGACTGTCTTTCATGATATTTGCCATACCAACATAGAAAGGGGCCTGTCTGGTACATCTGTGCTCTTTATTGCCTTGGAAATTGTCTGGCTCACACTGTGCCTTCAGACAAGTCCCAGATTCACCTTGGTTGTTTCCCTGAAGGTACACTAAGGTTAGATAAGAGAAGGGTTTCTCAAAACCGGGGATGCATGCTGAAGATGGATTTTAGGTTGCATAGAAGCAATAGTCTCTAGTTAAGCAATAGTCAACCAGACCTATAGTAAGAATGTCAGTCTCAGGTCAACTGCTTTTCAGTCCTCAGGAGACAGCAAACCCTCTGCCTCAGGTGGGTGCTACTTGTCTGGAACACTCTTCTAAACTTTGCTCATCTCCTTTTTTACCACAGAGAAAGCAGGGTTCAGGCCCTGGACACCCACAGACACTGGGTTCTCACTGGGATTTAATATCATGGTTTAGTGTTCGTCGTGTTCATTTTTGTGGCAAGTAATATTGGTGCTTCTTTTACACAATAATGAAAAGTTTCCTTTTAAAATAAGTTGAAGCAAAAGTAGTGGGTTGACCTAAAGAATATTTTAAATTAAAAATTAGTACAGATGTGAGCATGTGGAGCCTGAAATTTGGGAATCTCTGGGCCAGGTTATTCCAGCAGTTCTCCCAGCTCTAATGTTCTGGAACTTTATGAACCAAGGGTCAGTTAGTGGGAGAAAATATTTGCAAATTACATATTCGATAGGGGACTTGTATCCAGAATAAAGAACTCTTACAACTCAGCAATAAAAAGACACATGACTCAATTAAAAATAGGCAAAATATCTGAATAGTCATCTCTCCAAAGAAGATATATACATGGCCAGTGAGCACATAAAAAGGTGGTCAATATCACTAATTACTCGGGAAATGCAAATGCAAATCAAAACCACAATGAGATAACACTTCACACCCACTAAGATGGCTATAATTTTAAAAAAGGAAAACAACAAGTGTTGTGAAAATGTGAAGAATTTGAAACCCTCATATACTGCTGGTGGAAATGTAAAATGATGCAGTCCCATTGGAAAACAGTCTGAAACTTCCTCAAGAAGTTAAACATGGACTTTATCATATGACCCAGAAATTCCATTCCTAGGTATATAGCCAAAAGAATTGGGAATACATCCATGCATAAATGTGTATGCAAATGTTCACAGCAGTGTTATGTATAACAGCAAAAAAATTTCCAATAGATGAGTAGATAAAATAATATGTCTATATGATAGAATATCATTCAGCCATAAAAAGAATTAACTACTGATGCATGCTACAAAATGGATGATCCTAAAATATATTTAATAAAAGAAGCCAGTCACAACGATTACCTATTGTATGATTCCATTTATATGAAATGTACACAATAGGCAAATCCATAGAGATGGAAAGCAGATTAGTGGCTAGAGGAGAGGAAATGGGAAATGTCTGCTAATAGGTATAAGGGTTTCTCTTGGGGGTGATGGAAATGTTCTAGAATATAGTGGTTGTACAACTTTATTAATATACTAAAACTTGTACACTTCCAAAGGTAAATGTTGTAATATGTGAACTATATCTAAATTTTTAAAAATACCAATAGCAAAGTGAAAAAAATGAGTAAGGGGTCCTGAGTGCCTATCAAATAAATGCATGTTTGGTATTAACTTTGGAGAGATCCAGGAATCTGCACCCTTTGGCCTCTCTGCTTTTCTGACTTCTAAACCTTGCTTTCTAAGGCCTCCTTGATCTTGATCTCTATGATAAACTGGGAGTGGGGACAGGCACAACATACAGGACTAGGCCTCAATTCTACATTCTTAAAGACGCACAATACTGAAGGAAACATGTCTGTAAAGAACTCTGGAGAGGCTGCCTAATTTCATGGTTAAGAATATGTGTTCTGAAGTCTGGAGTTGGAATTCTGGTTTTCCACTTCATGGCTGTCACCTTGAAGGTGACTTAGGCAAGTCACCTAACGTCTCTGAGCTGCCACATTCTCTTGTATAAAATCAGCCTAATCCCAGCACCCATCTCCCCAGTATCATTGTGAGGATTAAACACATATAAAGCCCTTCATACGCCCAGTGCCTGGCATGATTAGCACTTTAGAAATGGTCTCCTCCAGCTGACTGGGCTGGGAGGATGGTACCACAGTGGGCAGAAAACCAGAGTGCTTGATTCAGGAGGTTCTAGTCCTTTCTCTGTTGCTTACTAGTTGTGACCTTGGGCAATCACCTTCCCTCACTGATCCTCAGTTTCTTCATCTGTAAAATGGAACACTCAGCCTGCTTTTCACCAATGCCAGCCTGCCTCTGAAGTTTTGTTAATGAGGAAAAAGGGCTTTCCTGGCTTTGGTAAAGGGGGTTTCTGTTTCAAGAGAGCTAGACTCCATATGCCTAAAAGTGGTATCTCCTGGTCCAGAATCTGATCTTTTCTAGCTACAGACTGTCCAGTGAAGTCTGACATGGCTGAAATGCTCAAGTAAGGGCTCCCTTACCCAAGGAAGCTCTCTTATCTGTGATCTTGGGCATGATCTTGGCTTGCTTATCTGTTTGGAGAGGAGCCTGGGCTAGATGGTGTCTAGGGTCCTTCCAGCTCAGGCTTCAGTAATTCCTCTATGGTGAGCCCCCATTCCTTACTGCCTCTGCTCTTCTGGATGGGAAGAGCAGACCAAAGGAACAGCAAAGCTTCTCCATTGCAGCCTTGTTGCTTGTTTTTGTTTCTAATCTGTGACGAGGAGCACACTTATGCACCTCTCATCTGGGCATCACCACTTTTCCCAGCCCCTAAAGTATTGAAACTGCTACACTATTGTAGAAGTGTGTCTGGGGCCCTGTTCAAAGTGCTTTCAGAAAAAAAAGTGGTCCCTAGATGAAGTGAGTGTTGTGGGAGGTTGACCTAAATCTGATTTGATTTGTGAGTCCCTCCTTCTTGCCTGCAGGCAGGTCCAAATGGAGCTCTTTCTTTAAAATGGTTTATTGTGGTAAAACATACATAACATTTTACTATTAGGATGGTGCAAAAGTCATTGTGATCTTTGCAGTTACTTTAAAAAAAAAAAAAAAAAATGGCAAAAACCGCAATTACTTTTGCACCAACCTAATATTTTTAGCCATTTTTTTGGCATACAGGTCAGTGGCATAAGTGCCTTCACGTTGTTGTGCAACCATCACCACCATCCATCACCAGAAATCTTCATCTTTCCAAACCGAAACTCTGTCCCCATTAAACACTAACTCCCCATCCCCTGTTCCCCAGCCCATGGCACCCATCATTCTACTTTCCTTCTCTATGAATTTGACAGCCCTTTGGACCTCCTGTGAGTGAAATCACACAGGATTTATCCCTTTGTGACTGGCTCATTTCACTTAGCATAATGTCCGCAAGCATCATCCATGGTGTAGCATATGTCAGGAATGTCCTTCCTTTTTAAGACTGAATAGTATTCCATGTATGGATACACCACATTTTGTTTATCCAGTTATCTGTTGATGGACATTTGGCACTCCTCTGGAGCCTTCCCAAGTGAGGCTCTTTTATATAAGGAGTCTGGTGGTGGGGGGAGAGAGAGCAGATATAGGTAAGAGAAGAGAGGGAAGTAGGGCACCAGTCCACCCAAGCGCTCATCTCCCTTTCCCTGCCTGTCACCCCCAGTTCTGAAGCTTTGCCTTCGCTGGGGAGGAAGGAAGCAGAGAGGCTCTTGGGAAAGAAGGATGGCAGGCTAAGAAGTCAGAAGCCCTTCACACCTTTCTCTCCAACCAGGCAGCAGCAACTCCCTGTGAGTCTTACTGAAAGATAGCTGCTGTGCTCCTCCCCATCCTAGAAGCAATTCCACAAAAACCCACCCTTCAAACCTTGATCTGAGAAGCTTTGAGGAGAGTGATTTGCCTGCTAATCACAGAGCAACTTGGTGGGGACAGGAAGGCTTCCACATGCATGTCTTTGCAAAGGTCTTTAGTGCTTAGCAAGCTGATACTGAGGCAGGAATGATGAGAACAACCGTTCCCAATGTCAGTGCATGTTAAGTACAATTGCAGCCATTACAAAATATGCAGTGGACTTTGAAAGTGACACCCATTGGCCAAGTCGGAAATAGCCAATTATATATCAGCTTTTGTTGAAACACAACCTCCTTGAAAACTATTTGCCCAGGATCTTGAATGCATATATATGTTTGTGGAGTTGTAAAATTCCCCTCACTTTTAATCTCCCTGTCCCTGTTCAGCACAATGCCCTGGCTGCCATATTTGCATCCCCAGTTGAGGGGTCTTCTGAAGCATTTGCGGACAATCCCCAAGTGAAACAAATATTCCGTCACCAGGCTGTCATGTGTCCCTGTGATCACTTTTCCTGCACTGAAAACAGATGGAGAAATGGTGACTCAGAGGACCCAGGGTTACAACCCATGTTTTCATAAAGCACAATTATTCCACCTCGAATATTTCAGTTCATGAACTGTGAGTGACATGAGCATTCACTGGATGGGTTCAAATCCAGGCTTGAACTGCTCATTTTCTGATAAAACCATTAGGGTTGAGAGCTCTTTTATCTCTCAGAGCCCCCACATGGAGTTCCTCAGGTTAATCATACTTGAAAAAAAGGGTCCAAGACACAGATTTGGCAAATCTAGGCTGGGCATTGCTTCTGTGGAAAAAAGAAAGAAAGAAAGAAAAATGTTTCTTCAGAGGAAGTGATCAACATGCCCATCAACTACTCCCATGGCTAGTGGTCTAGATGCTTCTGTCTCCTACAGGGAAGGACTAGAAGTGGGGAGATGCACTAAGGGCCAGAGAGCAGAAATCCAGGTCTCAGAGTGTGCTCTGTGAGGAAGTGGACCATTTAATTCAGTACCATTTCCTGAGACCCTCAGGAAATGGGCTCAGCACCGTGTTGGCGACTGTGGGAGACAAGGCCACCATGATGTACTGAATGGAGATTGGAAAATAGGCACTCCAGTGCCATAATAGGCCCCAGACAGCCCAAAGATGGTGAAAGGACACCTGAAGATTTGATTCAGGAGTGCCCTTTGAGGCAATTCACTTTAATTCTTTGTAGCCCAATGCCAGCACAGGACAGGGCTGACTGGCATGACTGTGGCCTGCTGTTGGGAGTCTCCTCTGGAGACAAGGGAGCCAGCCCCACCCCATGCCTTACCTCTCCCCAACACCATGCCTCCTGCCCAGGACCGTTTTTATGAACACCCTAGGAGCAGGAAATGAGATGGCATGAGACAGCAATTCTACAAAGTGGTCTTTTTCTCCTGGCCACTCTCTAGAGAGGCTGGCAGGGTGAGGGGAGAGGAAATGCAATTTCAATTGCTCCTGAGAGTCATGTAAGAAATTTAAGACTATTGGGAAGTGCTGGGGAGGAGGCTACTGGTTGAATGGTCGAGTTAGGGAAAGGGGTCCTTAAATGGAGCAAAAAACACCCTGTTAGGCTAAAATGTAAATACTAACCTTTTCATTAATAAACACTCAATGAAATGAATAATTTAGTCCACTGGCACCTTTTGTTTTAATCCTGAGTGGAAAGACTGTGGCAGCTCTTAACAAATGGCCCCCAGTGACTTCCTCTGTGGCCAGGACATGCTCCAAATGGTGGGCTCTGCCCCCACCCAAGCCTGCTGCATTCCCAATTAACACTTTTCAAAATGAAATTTAGGGTGCTTTTCTTCCTTCTTCCTAATGAGGTTTCTTCCTTCCCTGCTGTCTCGCTACAAAGCTTGATTCTGTCTGAGTGTGTTCATATGGTGCTCTAGTGCGTTATCTGACCTTGATTGGTGTTTGGGGAGCCGGTTAAATAGATTACATGGGGGTTACCTTGGCAACTGTCTTCACTGATTTAGCAATGCGGTTCATTCTTGGACACAGGACTCTCGGCAACTCTGCGATCCCACTGCTGTGCGTTAATCATTAACACCAAGTTGGACATCGGCTCTGCCAGGCAGCAGCCAGGAGCAAGACTGGGGACGAGCTGCCTTGAAGTCTTTTTAGCTATGACTAAGGAGGTCACCACATGGATCCCTAAGTGTGGGGCCACAGGAGAAGGCGATGGCAAGACTCCATCCTGAGGTCTGTCTGTCCCTTTTCCCATAGTGTTAAAAGGAGTTGAGAGATCACTTGGCTTGTTCCATTGGGTTACAGATGGGCTTGCTGTGGGGATGCTATGCTCTTCTTCCCTCAGCTGGCAAGGTAGCCATGCTAGCTGTGACCCATGGTCAGTTGGTATCTCCTCTGGCCCCATAGGGCTGCATGAAAGCAAAAACAGGCTCTGAGGCATGGAGGCTCTGGCCCCTTGCTCACTGTGTGACTTTGGGTAAGTCACTTCACCTCCCAGAGTCTTGATTTTCTTTTCCATATATAACATGGGAAATCAGTAGTGCCTTCCTTCTAGCCCTGGTGAGGAGACAAAAAGCAGCTGACGCAGAAGAGGCACTCAATCAATGCTGATGGTTATTATTACCTGGCTCCGTGGCTAACCGAGTGAGCTCCTAGTCATTGTGTATTAGATTAAGTTATTTAATCTGAAGCCAAAACTCACCCTCTGTCAAAATAATAATTATATCTATTTTATGGGTAAGGCTGAGACTCTGGCTAAGTAGTTCAGGTTGCATGCTGGTCAGAGCAAAGCCAGCATCAGAATTCAAGTCAAGCTCATCCTTCTCTGAGGCTTCAGAGCTGCATCTACCTGGGAACAATCAGGTGTCAGGGCCAGAGGCACCCACTGCTCCCCTGGAGTGTGCATCAGGGAAGTGGTCTTAGGCAGAAAGCACCTAGAGAATTAGCTCACCATGCCCATAGGCCAAGCTGACAAACGTCAGGTGACAAGGGACAACTGGAGACTTGCACTGCTCCACTGTCTCTGCCTCTCTGGCTGTAGGGCACTCCTTGTTTACCCAGTGCTAACAGGAAAACAAGAAGGTTCTGCCTAATAAACCGACATACCCAGGTCTAAAGCATTTCATGGTTTGCGAAACATGTCCATGTCCACTTTATCCTTGACTGTTCCAACAACCCAGGGAGAGAAGGAAGCAGGGAACCAATCATCTTTCCATTTGGTTAGTGAGGCCAAGAGGGGTTATCTCTCTGACTGCACTTTCTGTACATGCACTCACGTTGCATTATGAAGAGTTCATGCCTCAATATTACCAAGAGCTGGAAACAGGCTGCAAGGAGGACATGTCAGCAGACAAATAGCCTCCCCAGTCTTGAAGTTTGTGACTGTCCAAGCTGGAAGAGCTGTTTGTGTCAGAGGGGGAGGAGGTAGATTGGGTGCATTTTAAGGAAGAGCTTGCATTGCTTTTACAAACCTCACTCACATGCACACTGCTCTCAACCCCTGTGCTATGGGTAAAGAGTATGGGCTTTAATGCCAAGCAGAGCTGAATTCACACCCTGACTTGGCTATTGTTTCCTCCCTGCAAATCAGTTTCCTGGGATAATAGCTACTTTCCTGGGTTGTTATAAAGAATGGAGTTAAGGTATGCTACATTCCTTTATCATGTAGGTAATGGAATACTCTTAAACTTTTTTTAAGCAAAAGTAGCATTTGATCTGTGTTTTAGGAGGATAAAACTTCTACAAAGAGGATAGAATGAGAGATGGGGAGATCTAGCAATAATCCAGGCAAAAATGATGATGACTTGGAGTGGCGTGATAGCAGTGGAGGTGGAGACAAGTGGGTAGATTCTGGACATATCTGGGCCATAGACTGGAAAATGCCAAATGAGGGAAGAAGAGGAGTCAACAATGGCTTTCAGCTTTCTGGCTTGACCCACTGGGTGGCCGGTGTGTTGTTATCTCATGCTAAGATAGGGAGCACTGGGAAAGAGACAGGACTAAGGAAGGGGAAGGGAGATGATGAGTTCAATTTGGGATAACTTGGTTTGAGGAATCTGTGGAGCATCCAGAGAAGATGTCTAGGGGATGACTGGTCATATACATCTAGATGCTTAGAGCTGGAGATAAGGGTGTGAGAGCCATCAGGGAGTACAGAAATGCTCATTGAAACCATAGGACTGGATGCAGGTGCTCAGGGAGAATGAGAGCAGTGGAAAGCCCCAGAAGAGTGTGAAGACAGGGAGTAACACGATTGTATGTTCAATTTAGAATGGTCATGTCATGAAACATGGACAATGGATTGCAAGGAGAGAGACCACTGACAGGCTACCAGTCAGGAGTTTATTGTAGGCCAGAAATGAGGGGATGGCCTGGACTACTGCAGAGGCAGGAGGCCTGGAAAGCAAGAGACAGATACCAGACATGGAGAAGCAGAATGGACAGTACTCAGTGACTGCTTGGCTGTGAGAAATGAGGGAGACGGAAAGGTCAAGGATGACTTGGGTAACAGGCCAGATAAGGGGCCATTAACTGAGATGATGAGCAGTGAATGTGGTACAGGTCTCAGGGAGGCTTGCTAAGTGAGAGGTGCCTGTGGAATCTCCTGGAGGACATGTCCAGTAGCCAACTCCCAGTGCCAAGGAGAGGAAGTAGATGGTAGGTAGAGGGCAGTCTGTCAGCACCATCATCAGTCCTCAGGTGAGGACCAGTAAAGTGCTACAAAGAGAAAGGACTGCCCCATAACAGATGTTGGCAGCATTCAGCCCGTGGGCCAGAGAATCTCTCCAGTGACTCAGAAAGTTCCACCATTTAAAAAACCCCAGTTCTCCTCATAAGGAGGTGATATTGGTGGGATGCATATATTCATTCCTGGGCAAAGGCCAAGTGAATTGGCAAGTGATATGGTTGGGCTGTGTCCCCGCCCAAATGTGCTGCTGTAAAGATACCCAAAAATGTGGAAGCGATTTTGGAACTGGGTAAAAGGCAGAGGTTGGAACAGTTCAGAGGGCTCAAAATAGGACATGAAAATGTGGGAAAGTTTGGAATTTCCTAGAGACTTGTTGAATGGCTTTGACCAAAATGCTGATAGTGATATGGACAATGAAGTCCAGGTTGAGGTGGTCTCTGATGGAGATGAGAAACTCGCTGGGAACCGGAGTACAAGTCAATCTTGCTATGTAAAGAGACTGGCAGCATTTTATCCCTGCCCTAGATGTCTGTGGAACTTTTAACTTGAGAGAGATGATTTAGGATATCTGGCGGAAGAAATTTCTAAGGGGCAAAGTGTACAAGAGGAAGCAGAGCATAAACGTTCGAAAAATTTGCAGCCTGACCATGCAGTAAAAAAGAAAAACTCATTTTCTGGGGGAGAAATTCAAGCCAGCTGCAGAAATGTGCATAAGTAACAAGGAGCCAAATGCTAACAGCCAAGACAATGGGAAAAATGTCTCCAGGGCATGTCAGAGACTTTAGTGGCAGCCACTCTCATCACAGGCCCTAAGGCCTAGGAGGGAAAAATTATTTCCTGGGCCAGGTCCAGGGACCCCCTGCTGTGTGCAGCCTCTGGCCTTGGTGCCCTGCATCCCAGCCACTCTAGCCATGGTTGAAAGGGACCAAGGTACAACTCCAGCTGTGGCTTCAGGAGGTGCAAGCCCCAAGCCTTGGCAGCTTCCACATGGTGTTGAGCCTGCAGGTGCACAGAAGTCAAGAATTGAGGTTTGGGAACCTCCATTTAGATTTCAGGGGATGTATAGAAATACCTGGATGCCCAGGCAAAAGTTTGCTGCAGGGGCAGAGCCCTCATGGAGAACCTCCACTAGGGCAGTATGGAATGGAAATGTGGGGTCAGAGCCCCCATACAGAGTCTTTACTGGGGCATGGCCTAGTGGAGCTGTGAGAAGAGGGCCACCATATTCTAGACCCCACAATGGTAGCTCCACTGACAGCTTGCACCATGCACCTGGAAAAGCCGCAGACAATGCCAGCCCGTGAAAGCAGCTGGGAGGGGGGCTATACCCTGCAAAGCCACAGGGGCAGAGCTGCCCAAGACCATGGGAACCCACCTCTTCATCAGTGTGACCTGGATGTGAGACATGGAGTCAAAGGAGATAATTTTGGAGCTTTAAGATTTATTTACTGCCTCATTGGAATTTGAACTTGCATGGGGCCAGTAGCCCCTTAGTTTTGGCCAATTTCTCCCATGGAATGCCTGAATTTACCCAATGCCTATATCCCCATTGTTTCTAGGAGGTAACTAGCTTGCTTTTGATTTTACAGGCTCATAGGCGGAAGGGACCTGCATTGCCTTAGATGAGACTTTGGACTGTGGACCTTTGAGTTGATGCTAAAATGAGTTAAGACTTTGGAGAACTGTTGGGAAGGCATGATTGGTTTTGAAATGTGAAGACATGAGATTTGGGAGGGGCCAGGGGTGGAATAATACGGTTTGGCTCTGTCCCCATCTGAATCTCACCCTGAATTGTAATAATCCCCACATATCAAGGGTGGGGACAGGTGGAGATAATTGAATCACAGGGGTGAGCAGTTTCCCTCATACTGTTCTTGTGGTAGGGAATAAGTCTCACAAGATCTGATGGTTATATAAACAGGAGTTCCCCTGCACAAGCTCTCTTGCCTGACACCATGTAGGACACGACTTTGCTCCTCATTTGCCTTCCGCCATGATTGTGAGGCCTCCCCAGCCATGTGGAACTGTGAGTCAATTAAACCTCTTTCCTTTATAAATTACCCAGTCTTGGGTATGTCTCTATTAGCAGCCTGAGAACAGACTGGAACAGTGGGTGAGTTACCAAAAATTCGGCTGTGAGGTCCACAGTGTTCTGCTTTAGGTGATGTGGGGAAAGGCCAAGGAAACTGAACATTTGAGTCCCGCACCCCTCCAGAGGTATGATCCAGTATGATCAGAGACAATTGTTCCAAACATCAAGTGTGTTCTGAGGCCTCCATTGTTGAGGCGGCTTGTGTTTGCTCCCCAGAATATTCATATTTTAAATATTGGAACAAGCAGCAAGTGTCACAAAAGTTTGGCTGGCAAGAGAGTGATGCAATTTGCCACCTACAAATGTGGGCAAGCTTAAGAAATGACAGCAAGAGGTGTTGGGGGCACCCAGTGAGGAGCTGGGGAGAAGGGAAGAAGGTGCTCCCATGTTTTCTAAGCACTTCCCTGGCCATTGGCTCTTTTTTCCTTTCTTTCCTTTTTTTTTTTTTTTTTTTTTTTTTTTTGAGATGGGGGTCTTGCTATGTTGCCTGAGCTGGTCTCAAATTCTTGGACAGAAGTGGTCCTCCCACCTCAGCCACCCGAGTAGCTGGAATTACAAGCGTTTACCACCACATCTGGCTGCCAATGGCTTTTTCTTTTTAGATGGAGTTTCACTCTGTTGCCCATGCTAGAGTGTAGTGGTGCAATCTCAGCCCACTACAACCTCCGCCTCCCGGCTTAAAGAGATTCTCCTGCCTCAGCCTCCTGAGGAGCTGGGATTACAGGCATACACCACCACACCTGGCTAATTTTTGTATTATTAGTAGAGACTAGGTTTCACCATGTTGGCTGGGCTGGTTTCGAATTCCTGACCTCGAGTGATCCACCCGCCTCAGCCTCCCAAAGAGCTGGAATTACAGTCTTGAGCCACTACGCCTGGCCATGCTATTGGCTCTTGACATCCCAATGCCTTTGAGGCAGGCAGAGCAAATACTATATTCATCTTTTGACAGCTGGAGAAACTCAGGCCCAGAGTAGGAAATATGAGGGATTACCCAATGAATTCAGTTCCAGTAAAACTGTTCCTGGACCCAGAACTCCTGCCTCCCAGTTTGGTAGAGGTTCCATTTCATCATTTGGCCCTAGGCAGTGGTATGCTGGAGCTGGTCCATACTGGTTCTCAAAGATGTTCATTAAATTTTCAGAAATTCTGGAGACAGTTGACAGAATGTTGGTAGTTTGAAATCAGTCATGATGTGACTATTTACACCATGGAAATTGGCAAATGCTACCAATATACCAGCAGTCCCAAGTCACTGCAGACCCATCTTCCATTGCCAAAGGCTGTGTCCACTGCCCGGGCCTGTGAGTTATGGTTTGGTAGCTGCATGGGAAAGTGGCTACCAGAGGAATTAGATGATAAAGGGATTTGAGGGTCAGCACTCTGGCTTGAGTCTTACAGAGTGTTTCTAGCACTTGTTCCAGAGACACCCAACTGGCCATGCTAATTTACTGCTGTTGCCAATAACCCAAAGAGAATTTCCACTTTTCCCATTAAAACACCAAGTTTTAAATTATGAGTTAGAGCAAAGGGGGACTCATTGGCATGGTGTCTCATTTCATTTCCACTATATTATTTTGGATATTAAACACATCTGTCTTAGCCTTTTAGCCTGACTTAGATCATTATGGAAAAAGGAAAACCATATCACACTAAATCCCAAGAAGGAAGATTCAGGATATGAGAATTCCAAGCAATGAAAGGCACCATTTAAGAAAGAAACCAGAGCTCTACAAAAATAGGTATATTATTTGCTGTACATCATCTTGTTTCTTATGTAAAAGCAAAATCAATTAGGGGGTTCACAGGCTTTTGGAGTGAAAAGAGTTAACAGAGAAGACAGTTTCTGCTATTCACCCTTAAATAAATAGCTGCTGTTCTTGCTTGTTAAAATGTAAAATTTCCAGATCCAAATGTCAGAGAATTCTAGGAAAAATTGCAAAACCATTACTTCATAAACATGTAATTGTGCTATTACTGCTAAATGCGATGACATTCTATAAATATCATAGTTCAGGCCTCATGGTCTATAAATAGACCCAGTTAATCACCGGAAATATATTTTATTTCTTGAATTATAATGGAGTAATTACAGAGTCTCCATTTTCCAGTGGCAGAGTCCATTCCCAGTTTTGGTGGTATCTTTCCTTCTGCTTGGGCCCTTCCATGGGACATAAATACTCTTCAGCAAGTATTAGGACAAGGACATTGCAGAGGATTCATTCCACTTGCCACAGCTCCAGCCTAGAACCCCGGGAAGTGTTTAGACTACACTTGTGAGGCCTTGTCACCCAGCACTGGTATAGATGGGTATTGGCACAGCTGACTGCACTGCATAGGGTGCCATTGTTAGGAGTGCACAGGCAGCTAGCTGATTAGATAAGTATGGGATGCTGTGGACTCAGGTGCAGATGGAAGGGCAATCTGCAATGCCTTCTACTCAGCACCAAGCTAGACTGGAGGACTGACTCAGGTAGTGACTACCAAGTGGTTTAAACTGAAGGCCTTAAATCTGTTGTTGATTCTTTCCCAGAATCCCCAGTTGTATCTGGCTGCTATAAACAACCTCACTAGGCCACCTATTTGGCTATTTTGTAGCTTAAACCACGTCTTCATTTACAGAGTGAAGGCCAGTACACAATTTGCTACAGAATAGAATGTATTTTCTCCTTCCTCCCTTACAGTATACACATCAGTGCCTTAATGATGCAGGGCAGGCAAAGGGCGGCCTGCGAGGGCTCTTGGCTTTGCCAAGGAAAGAATTCAAGGTCAAGCCAGAGATAGAAGAAAACAGCTTTATTGAAGAGGCAGTGTTACAGCTTCAGCGACTGCTCCCTCAGAGCAGGGCTACCCCTTAGGCAGAGAGTAGCAGCTCAGGGCATTTTTGCAGTAATATTTATACCCAATTTTAGTTGCATGCAGATTAAGAGGGAGTTTATGCAGAAATTTCTATGGAGGAAGTAGTAACTTTTGGGTCATTGAGTCATTGCCATGGAAAGGGGCAGTAACTCCTGGGTGTTGCTGCGGCAACAATAAATTGACATAGCACACTGGTGAGCATGTCTGATTGAAAGCTGCTTCTGCACTGGTTGGCCCTGTTTTAGCTAGTCCTCAATCTGGTCCAGTCTCCAAGCCCCACCTCTGGAGTCAAGTCCCACCTCCCACCTTAATAACGGGGTTATGTCAAGAAGTCAGGCATTCTTGGTGGCTTCAAGAATTCTGTGGACAAGGAGAGGTATCAAAGGCTACTAGCTTTTTCTGAGCATCAGTTTCCCCATTTGTAAAACTGGAGAGCAGAAGGGCTATGGTGAGACAGAGTGGTAACTAAGGAGAGATTCCTTCCAATTCTGACATTACCTTGGGCCATGACCTTGGACATGTTCTCTCCTTTTTTTTGAATTGAGGAAAGAAAGAGGGAGAATATTGGCCCCTTGACCAATGCTTCAGGCCTGCACAATGGCTCAGTCAGCTGGCCATCTCTTCTACGGGGCTCCCTACAGTTCCTCTCTGAGCTCCCATACTATTTGGTATCCCATAGAGAGAGTGTTCTTTGATCCAACCACACAGCTGGGTTATGAGTATTGTTCTAGAAAACTTTACTGAAAATATTGTTTGTATATTTCTACCATCACTCTATATAGACTTTGTGGTAGAGTGGGCATTGTCCTATGTTAATAAAATAGGAATACTAAGACAAAAATAAAGAATTAGAGGAGAAAAATCTTGATAATTCCAAGGGTTAACATGATTTGGGGACTAAAAATAACGTTTATCCAGCAGTTTACTGGCAGCCAGAGGATAAAAAGAAAAAATCATGTAGGACTCCAGAGTTTTCATCATCAGAAAAAATGGAAACATTTTTATCTTCAAAGAGGCCTGTTTTTTCTTCCATTGGCCCCAAATTCAGAAAGAAAATTTTTTTTTAACTGGGGATTTTTTTCATTTTATTTATTTTTATATTTTAATTATTTTAAAACTTTTAAATTTTTTAGTTGTTTAATTGACATAATAATTGTATCTATTCATGAAGTACATAGTGACGTTTTGATACATATAATGTAGAGCGATCAGATCAAGGTAATTAGCATATTCATCATCTCAAACATCATTTCTTTGTGTTGGGAACATTCAATATTCTTCTCCTAGCTATTTGAAACTGTATAATATATTCTTGTTAACTACAGTGGTATAGAACACTAGAACGTATTCCTCCTATCTAGCTGTAATTTTGTATCCTTTAACAAATCTCTTCCTATCCCCCACTTCCTTCTACCCTTCCCAGCCTTTACTATTCTCTGTTCTACTTTTTACTTCTATGAGATCAACTTTTTTTTAGCTTCCACATGAGTGAGCACTTGTGGTGTTAGAGTTAAGATATTCAGTGGAACACTCACTACAAGTTTGAAAGCAAATTCAGAAGACATTCATATGACGGCTTCTACGACCAATTTTTAATCAAGTTTAGGGTCCTTCTTGGCCATTCTGAGGGACTTGGAATTTATCTTGAGGACAATGGGAACTCATGGAAGGGTTTGGAGAGAGAAGTGACATGGTTAGCACCATGTGTGGGGCACACTTTGACTGCAATGTGTGGCACAAGCTAGAAGGGCAAGACTTTCAGGCAAAGAAGTATTGGAGTGGATCCTCAGCGATCCTACAGGTAACACGGCTAGTCTGTGGGTTGCACTGGTAGGAGGAGAGAGGGCAGCACCTTCCTTACGTGGAATTGAGCCATACTTTGCTGGTTGCTCTTGTCAGATTCCTGTATGCCATGGGCACAGGGCTTTCAGTTTTCCAAATGTGTCACTGTATCATGCTCCTTACTAAATCCCTGGGGGATTGGCTGGGCAGAATTCAAAACTGAGGGCAAGGGTCCTATGAAGTCATACACCTAATCAGGGCAGACGAGGGAGACAAGGGAGCCATGGTTCACTTCCAGTCTTCAGTCACCTCATCCAGGTCTCTGGCCCATTCTGTCCTGCCACTGGAAGTCAGACCCCTCCTTGTTGAATATGCCTGTGTGTGTGTGTGTGTGTGTGTGTGTGTGTGTGTGACCCATAAAAGATGGAATGCTAGTATTTAGAAAATAAACAGCTCTTCAAGACAAGGAGCAAGGTGCTCCCATTGCTGACTATGGCCTCCCTCTTTGTCTCCTGGCCCCTATGCTGCTCTTCCCCACCAGCCTGTGCCTCTTGTGCCTCACTCAGAGTAGGATTCTGCAGGCATGGGTCTGCTTACTCTCACCCAACCTGATGCACTTTCCAGCTAGAAAATATGAGGGTCCCTGGAGGCCCAGCTGGCTCTTTTTTCTCTTTGTTTGGAAATTAGTTTAGAGATACCAGCTAGCAGATTAAAAAGCCCATATCGGATCTGCTAAAATCTCTTCCCTTCCATATTTCATTTCTGCTCTTTCAGGAAATTTCTGCTTCTCTCTTAGAATGATGGATTTTCTTCCTCTTCGACTCTGGGAGAAGATGGCTGCCTTCATAAGGAGGGGTCTGGTGAGATTCTACATAGGGGGATGGTGAGGGCCTGCAACAGGACTCACCTTGCCTTCCATGTCTGGAGCCCCAGTAGGCCTCATTTCTGAGGAGCTGCAGCCCTTCCAACCCCCACCACTGTTTTCAGTTTGCTCTCCTTCCCAGAAAGGTGTCCCTGGCAACAGCTCCTCCCTACCTACTTATCCCTGCCTACTCTTACCCAGCCCTCCAGGGGTGGCACAGGATCTCGGTGCCTTTACCCTGGAGATCTGAGGGTGATCTGGATATTGCACCATTCATGGTACTTGAAACCAGGAATGGATGGGCACAATGCATGGTGCTACCTAAGCATTTGATCAAACTCACTTCATAGTGCCCAAAGCACAGGCTGGAGTGTTCCACCAGCTAGGCACATGTCCTTCCTCACAAGTGCTTTCTGAATGTGCGTGTAGAACGAAACCTCTTTGGCCGTAGTTGCTTCTTCCATCAGCTGCTCTCTCTACCGAATGGCTCCAAAAAGTGGGGGGGCTCAGAGCAGTAGGGACCTAGTTCCATGATGCCTTGCAATTTGTGGCTCTATTTGAGAATCATACTCAGAGGGATAAGGGTACAGTGATTGACTAAGGTCCCAGAGCAAGTAAGGTGCCAGGCTTTAATTCAAACCCAGGTCCGTCTGATACCAAAACGCAGATTTGTTCCACTATACCACAGCTAGATACTTGTGACTGCAGGATGGCTGCCAGGGTCTGTTTGCAGACTGGGCTGGCCTTCTGAAGACTCAGCATTAAGGAATACCCTAATGCTGAACAATAATAAGGCACTTTAGATGAGGTCCTATCATGGACCAAATGCAGGAATCACCCAAGAGACCAGCGAACATGGCACCAAACAACTCCGGTGGCAGTGAAGATGGGGAGACCCAGAGAATGAGGAGAGATCCAGAGGCTATAAGCTGGTCAGGTAAGGCACTAATGGAAACCAGTTACCTCTTCTGATTAGTCCAAAGGGGCTCTTAAAAGGATGTTTGGAGGGAACAAAAGCAGAGGCTGGGACATCATGGGCAGGTGAGGTGAGAGCCAATGGAGAGCCAGTAGGAAATAGACTGGAAGTTCTGTTGTGTGGGCACATAATCCAGGAGTCAGAGGCTCAGCTACATCCAGTCTAGCCCCTTCCTACTGAGCAGCTTTGACTTCCTGATGTGTAGAGTGGGGCTGGAAACCCTGCCTGACAGGCTTGTGGGAAGGATTTCAATTATGTAGAAATATGCTGCATATGGGAATGCATGCTGCCAGTTTGAGAGGTAACAGCCAATAAATCACCCAAGGAATCTACTTTGAGCCCCTGCTACACTCACTAAGTTGGGCTGCAAGAGAAGATATGTCCCATGGCCAGAGGGGCAGAAGATTCTAGGCAGAGGTGAGAGCAGCTCACTCACTTTCTGGATTGATGAGAAGTTTTTGGCTTGGGCAGGGGCTTTGAGTTCTTTGGAATTCCCTTCTCCCTTTCCCTTGGTATGACAGTGTGTGATGGTTTGAGCTGGTGCTGAGCTGGAGTCATTCTTGGGTGGGGCTCTGAGTTGAGTAACCCAGAGGTCCAGCCTTCCCCATAGTTGGCTTTGCAGCACTTTTCCCCATTCCTGTCCCCAGGAATTGCACCTTCCCCAAGGATTGGGCTTTCTTTTTTGTTAATCTGAAATTATCAGATATAGTCATGGCTTTAATGTTATGTATTTAAGGACTAAATTCTTCAACTTAAACAAAATTGCACTTCCCAGAAGTTATAGGCAAGAAGAGAGGCATGTAGCTGCCCACAAACCATCTTGACCTTCTATCTGATCAACGTGCATTGTCCTTGCTTTCCATTAGCCAGATGCACTCAGTCCAAGCTCCTGTGCCTGGCAAGCAGGACCCTCCATGATTTGGTCCTGCCTTCTTCCCCAACCACATCTCTCCATGTTTCAAGCCTCCCCAGGGTGGTCACCATTCCCTGAATTTCCTGTGTTCTTTCCAGACTTTCTGACTTTGGCTCATGCTGTTTCATCTACCTATAATTTCTTTCACTTCCTTCTCTGCTTATGGGATTTCCACTTATGTTTTAAGGCCCAATGCAATACCTCTCCTCTGGGAAGCCTTCCCTGATGGCATGACGTATAAACTGATTAGCACAGGGTTTGGTCTAGCATAGATGCTCAAGAAATATTTGTGCCCATTCCCTTTGCTGACTGTTCCTCATTTCCTAGGAATTATTCATCTCACTTTCCTCTCTATTCCCATTGCAGTTTGCTTATTCTTAGATCAAAGAATCCTTCATCATTGGGGGTAATTACAGGGCTCAGAAGTCAGATAGCTGTGAGTCTTCTACTAGTTGTGTGACCTTAGGGAAGTCATTTCAATTCTGAGACTCAGTTTTCTCATATTTCAAATGGGAATGTCAGTACCTGCTTCACAGAATTGTTATATGGATGAAAAAATGATATACAGAAAGCTTTTGGAAGAGAGAGTACTTGGCCTATGGCAAGCATTCAATATTATTGCTACTATGACTTTAATAAAATGTAGGGACTTGCAGGACTAGCCATCATTGATAGAATAGCCCCATTCCTTCCAGGTCCGCTCTGTGACAACTAGTAAGCCTGGATATAACACAACAAACAAACGTAGGAAGACTCCATAAGGTAGAGAGAAGAAGGAAGACTGTCTAGAGAACTTGATACTTGAGGAATGACATGGCAGAGAGTTTTCTGAGTTTTCTTATTTCCTTTCATATATCCCATACATGACACTACAGATACTTTCAAAATGGAATAGTCAACAGGCACAAATTTTTATAAGGCAAGCAAGAAAACAAACACAATACAAAAAAAAATTTTCTTTCTCTATCCAAAGGATTAGGAAGAAAATGACCTAGCAAAACAGAAACTTTTTTTATATGATCCACCCTTCTCTAACTAAACAACAAAGGAAAAACTTCCTTCCCCCCATCCTACAATGTCAGCAAGATCAGGTGGGGAGCTGAATTTTTGTCCCCATCATGATAGCAAGAAGGTGGAACAAGATAGCGAGAGGTTGTGCTAGTTGCCACTCCACTGATCCTGATAAGATAGTGTCAGCAGAGCCTAGCCACCCCCACCTGTTGGCAGCAAGCCAATGCAAGGTGGTGCAATTTAGCAATCTGCCTTTGCAGGGGTGGTAATAGCAGGGTATTAGTGGGGAGCAGAACATCTACCACTACCTGAACCTGCATACTATACCTCAACAGGGTGAACTGCCTACATAAACGCAGATTAAATAGGATACAAAATCTCAACATGATACCCCAAATGTCCAGGATATGTTCAAAAATCACTTGTCATGCTTAGAACCAGGAAAATCACAACTTGAATGAGAAAAGACAATAATTGTCAACACCTAGATGACAGAGGTGTTAGAATTATCTGATGAGGATTTTATAGCAGCTATTGTAAAAAATGGTTCAGTGAGCAATTATGAATGCTCTTGAAACAAATGAAAAAAATAGAAAGTCCCAATAAAGAATTAAAAGACCAACAAATAACCAAATTAAATTCTTAGAACTGCAAAATACAATAACTGAAATAAAAAACTCAGTAGATAGGCTCAACAGAAGAATGGAGAGGACAGTGGAAAGAACCAGTGAACTTCAGGATATTTTATATCATCAAAATCTGAGAAGGAGAGGAGAGGAGAGAGAGAAAATTATTGGGAAAAAAATATGGATGAAAAGCTCCGAAGTTTGGTGTAAGACATAACCCTACAGATTCAAAGAGTTAGGCAAAACCCAAGCAGGATGAATTGAATAAAATCCATTCTGAGACACATCATAGTAGAATTTCACGAAAGTAAAAACAAAGAAAAAAGTCTTAAAAACAACTAAAAAGAAATGACTCATTATCTATACAAGTATGTATCAGTCAGTTCAGGCTGCTATGAGAGAATATCCTAAACTAGGTGGCTTAAGCAACAGAAATTTATTTCTTACAGTTATTAAAGCTAGAAGTCTGAGGATGGGATGCCAGCATAGTAGGGTTCTCATGAGTGTCCTCTTCTTGGTTTGTAAATGGCCATCACCTTGCTGTATCTTCACATGGAAGAGAGAGACAGCAAGTGCTCTGATATCTCTTCTTATAAAGGTTACTAATCTTATTCATGATGGTCCCACCCTCATGACCTAAATACCTCCCAAAGCCCTTACCTCCAAATACCACCACATTGGGGATTAAGCTTCAAAATATGTATTTAGGTGGCACAAATATTCAGTCCATAGCAATGTAAACTAATTTGAATGACATTGTATTTCTCTTCAGAAATCATGGAGGCCAGAAGGTAGTGGGGCAACATTTCTCTAGTGCTGAAATAAAAGAACTGTCAGCCTAGAATCCCATACTCAGAGAAAAATATCCTTCAGGAATAAATGTGAAATGAACACATTCTCAGATGAAAAAAAAAAACAAAAAAACTAAAAGTATGTCACCAGCACATCTACTCTTAAAAAATGGCTAAAGGAAGTTCTCTAAATAAAAAGTAAGTGACAAAATTAAAAACCTTAGAGCATCAGGAATAAAGAACAGCAGAAAGAGTAATAACACATATAAAAATAGTAGACCATTTTTCTCCTAAGTTTTCTAATTATGTTAGATGATCAAAGCAAAAATTATGACATAGTCTGATGAATTCTAAATGTATGCAGAGAAAATACTTTTTACAATTATACTATAAAGTAAGGGGTGGGACAAAAGGACATAAATGAAGGTAAGATTTCTACATTTCATTTAAACTAATTAAGTGTAACACCAGTAGACTGTGATAAAGTTATGTATGCATAATGTAACACCTAGAACAACCACTAAAAAACTATTCAAATGGATATTCTCAATAACACTATAGATATTTCAAAATAGAATTTAAAAATGACAGGCAAAGTGGTTTGAAAAGCATAACCCAACTATTGTTGTCTACAGGAAACTCATTTTCATATAACAATATGAGCAGGTTGAAAATAAACGGATTAGAAAAATATCCTGCAAGCATTTATCAAAGAAGAGCAGGAGTATCTATGTTAATATCAGATAAAGTAGACTTAAGGGCAAAGAAAATTACTACAGACAGAGATGAACATTATATAATAATGAAAGAGTCAATCTAGGCCAGGTGTGGTGGCTCACGCCTGCAGTCCCAGCACTTTGGGAGGCTGAGGCAGGTGGATCACCTGAGGTCAGGAGTTTGAGACCAGCCTGGCCAACATGGTGAAACCCCGTCTCTACTAAAAATACAAAAAATTAGCCGGGCGCGGTGGCGGGCGCCTGTAGTCCCAGCTACTCAGGAGGCTGAGGCAGGAGAATGGCGTGAACCCGGGAAGCGGAGCTTGCAGTGAGCCGAGATTGCGCCACTGCAGTCCGCAGTCCGGCCTGGGCGACAGAGCGAGACTCCGTCTCAAAAAAAAAAAAAAAAAAATACAAAAAAAGTAGCCAGGTATGGTGGCATGTGCCTGTAATCCCAGCTACTCAGGAGGCTGAGGCAGGAGAATCGCTTGAACCCAGGAGGCGGAGGTTGCAGTGAGCTGAGATTGCGCCACTGTACTCTAGCCTGGGGGACAGAGCGAGTCTCCATCTAAAAAAAAAAAAAAAAAAAAAAAAAACAGTTAATCTACCAAAAAGACACTGCAATCATAAATGTATACAAACCAAACAACAACACTGCAATGCATGTGAAGCAAAACGGATAGAGCTAAAAGGAGAAACAGACAAATCCACAATTACAGTTGAAGACTTTAACGCCACTCTCTCAACCCTTGATATAACAACAAGACAAAAAGCAAGGATGTAGAAGAACTAACTCAACAACACTATCAACCAACAGGATTTAATTGACATTTGTAGAACACTTCACCCAACAAGCAGAAAAGGCATTTTCTTCAAGTGCCTGCGGGACATTCACCAAGATAGACCATATCCTGGAACATAGAACAAACCTCAACATATTTAAAAGAATTAAAATCATACAGAATGTATCATGTGACACAATGGAATAAAAGTAAAAAAAACACAACATATTGAAATTTTTTAGACACAGCTAAAGCAGTGCTAGAATGAAATTTATAACACTAATACATACATTACAGAAAATAAAAAGTCTCAAATCGTTAATTTAGGCTCTTCTTTTAAGAACCTAAAAAAGAAGAACAAGTATTCCAACACAAGCAGAAGGAAGAAATAATAACAGAAGTCAATGAAACTGAAAACAGAAAACAAGACAAAAATCTTTGAAACAAAAAGCTGGTTTTCTGAAAAGATCAATAAAATTGACAAACATCTAATGATACTGACAATAAAAAGAGAAGACATTTACCAATATCGGGGTGAAACAGGGGCTATCACTACAGACCCTGCAGTCACCAAAAGAATAACAAGGGAGTACTATGAACAACTCTACACACATACATTTGACAACTTAGATAAAATGCACCAAGTCTTCAAAAAGTACAAACTACCAAAACTTACTCAATATGAAAACAATAATTTAAATAGCCATATGACCATTAAAAATGCAATCATAGTTTAAAAGTATAACTGTGAGAAAGAAATCTCCAGTCTCAGATGGTTTGGTTAGAACATCTATCAAAAGTTTAAAGAAGGCCGGGTGGTGATGGCTTATGCCTGTAATCCCAGCACTTTGGGAGTTCTATGGGGGTGAATCACTTGAGGTCAGGAGTTCGAGACCAGCCTGGCCAACATGGCAAAACCCCATCTCTACTAAAAAAAAAAAAAAAAATTGGGTGGGCATGGTGGTGCATGCCTATAATCTCAGCCACTTGGGAGGCTGGGGCAGGAGAATCATTTGAATCTGGGAGGTGGAGGTTACAGTGAGCTGAGATCACACCACTGCATTCCAGCCTGGGTGACAGAGTGAGACTCTGTCTCAAAAAAAGAAAAAGTTTAAAGAAGAATTAAGACCAATTTTACACAGCCTCTTCCAGAAAATAGAAGATAAAACACTTTCAAATCTATTTTATGAGGCCAGTCTTATCCAATACAAAAGCTGGGAAAAGACAGTATAGAAAAGAAAACCACACACCAATATAACTCATGAATATAGACACAAACATTCTTTAAAAATATATTAGCAATATATGAAGAGATTTATACAGCATGACAAGGTGGGGTTTATTCCAGGTATGAAAGTCTGGTTCAATATTTTCAATCAATGTACTCCATCATATCAGCAGGCTAAAGAAGAAAAATCACATGGATTAAATCAAAAAAGCATGTGGCAAAATCCAACAGCCATTTACAATTTTAAAAACCTCTCAGTAACTTAGGAATAGAGGGTGTTACAGACTGAATTGTGTGTCCCCCTGCCCAAATTCATTATGTTAAAGTCCTAACCCCAAATTTGGCTGTATTTGGAGACAGGGCCATTAACAAGGTAATTATGGTTAAATGAGGCCATAAGAGTGGGTTCATAACCCAACAGGACTGATGTCTTTATAAGAAGAGGACAAGATACCAGAGATCTCTTTATCACCCCACAACTCTCATTTAAGCCATCCAGTCTGTGATATTCTGTAATGGCAGTCCAAGCAGACTAATCAGAGGGGAAGAGCATCTACATAATACCTATAACTAATGTCATACTTAATGGTAAAAGACTGAACACTTTCCCTCTAAAGCCTGAAAGAAAACAAGGATGTCTGCTAGTACCACTCTTACTCAACATGTCACTGAAAGTCCTAGCCAGCTCAATAAGAAAAGGAGATAACTGGAATAGATTAGAAAGGAAGAACTAAAACTGTTCCTGCTTGTAGATAACATGATAATCTATGTTAAAAATCTTGAGGTATGTATAAAACAAGTAATGAGAGAGTTCATCAAAGTTGCAGAACACAAGATCAACACACGAAAGCCAATCTTACTTCAGTATACTAGCAACAAGCATGTAGAAACTATAGTTAAAAGCACAATACCATTTAAAATAACTCTAAAAGAGAGAAGGAAATATTTAGCTGTAAATCTAACAACACAAGCACAGTATGTTTATGCTGAAAACTACACAATGCTAATGAAAGAAATTAAAGAAGATCTAAATAAATGGAGAGACATACCATATTCAGGGATTAAAAGATGCAACATAGTAAAGATGTCAATTCTCCCCATATTGAAATACAGTTTTAATGCCATTCCTATCAAAATTCCAGCAGGATTTGTTTGTAAATATAGACAATATTATCCTTAAATTTATATGAAAAAGCAAAGGAACTCGAATAGTTAAAACAACTTTGAAAAATAAAAATAAACTAAGAAGAATTTCTCTGCTTGGTGTTAAGGCCTATTGCATAACCAAAGTAAGCAGTATAGTGTGTTTAGGGCAGAGGAACAGACACTGATATAGATCAGTGAGACAGAACAGAGAATTCATAAATAGACCCACACAAATACGCCCAACAGATTTTTGACAAAGTTGCAAAAGCAATTTAATGGAGGAAGGATAGTCTTTTTAACAAATGGTACTGGAGCAAGTGGACACCCATAGTAAAAAAAAAAAAAAAAAATTTGACCTAACCGTCACACTTTTTAAACTCAAAATGGATCACAGACTTAAATATAACATGTCAAAGTATAAAGTTTTCAGAAGAAAACATAAGCAAAAATCTTTGGAACCTATGGCTGAGTGAAGAATTCTTAGACTTGACACCAAAATCATAATCTATTAAAAAAAAAATAGATTAACTGGGTCACACCGAAACTACTTTGCTCCTGAAAGGCACTGTTAAGAGGGTGAAAAGACAAGCTACAGACTGGGAGAAAATATTTACAAACCATATATTCAACAAAAGACTTGTATCTAGGATATATAAAGAGCTCTCAAAAATCAAGAGTATAATAATAATAATAAAAACTCCTGTCAGAAAATAGGCAAAACACACGAAGAAACATTTTGTGGAAGATAATCCACAGATGGCAAATAAGCACAACCTCATTAGCCATCAAGGAAATGCAAATAAAAACCACAATGAGATATCATTGCACACCTATCCGAATGGCTAAAATAAAAAATATTGACAACAACAAACGCTGAAGATGATACAGAAAAACTGGATTATACATTGTTGGTGGGAACATAAATGGTACAGTCCCTCTTGAAAAGAGTCAATTTCTTATAAAATTAAGCATGCAACTACTGTACAACCCAGCAATTTCTCTCCTGGCCATTTATGTCAGAAAAAATGAAAAACTTATTTTCACAAAACTATACACAAATATTCATAGCAGATTTATTTGTAGTAGTCAAAAACTGAAAAGACCTCAGCTATCCATCAGTGTGTGAATGGTTAAACAAACTATGGTACATCCAAACCATGGAGTACTATTCAGCAATAACCAGAAATGACCTAATGATACATGCAACAACTTGAATGGATCTCAAGGGCATTATGATGAATGAGGTAAAAAACAATCTATATAACAGTCTCGAAATGAAAAATTATAGAGATGGAGAACAGATTACTAGCTGCCAGAGGTTAGAGATGGTGGGATTGAGGGTGTGTGTCTGTGTGTGTTTAAAGGTGTAACACACGGAAGATCTTTGTGGTGATGGAACAGTTCTTTATCTTGATTGTGGTGATGGTTACAGGAATGTACACATGTGATCAAATGGCATAGAACTATACACACATTGTACCAATATCAAATTCCTAGTTTTGATATTGTACTATAGTTACATTTCATGTAACAACTGAGGAAAACTGGGTTAAAGGTACACAATACCATGCTGTAGTATCTTTGTAACTTCCTGTGAATCTATATTTCAAAATTTGAAGTTGAAAAGAAAAAAAGTAGGCTCCAAGATGTGTTAGAGTGGAAAGAATGTGGGCTTTGAGGTTAACCAGTCCTGGATTTGAAGCCTGTCTTGTCTTCCTAGTAGCCAGGTGTGAACTTGGGCTACCAAGTTATTTCATTTGTCTGAGCCTTGGTTTCCTGCTCTTTAAAATGGGGCTAATAATATGGCCTATTCCACAGGGTTTCAGGGAGGATCCAATAAGACGATGTATGTGAAAGTGCTTGGCTCAGGGCCTGGCCCATAATAAATGTTCAAGGAAATGAGCTACCTAATGGTGGCCTGATTTATTATGACTTCACACTTGTTTCATTTGTCCTGATATGAAAGCAATTCTATGCCTGGCCTTCCTCTCTCCACCAGACAAAAAGCACCTTAGGTGTAGTGAGTGTGCAACATTTGGTTTCATGGCCTGTTTCCCAGGCCATAGCCTAGGCTCTGCCCTGAGGCACATCCAACAGAGACCTGGACTACAGGCACTGCCAAGGGTGGCTTCTCCAGTAGGTAAACTCTATTCCTGTAGCATGGCTCCTGTGTGGATGAGTGAGGAGCTCTGTAGCAGGGACACATGGACACAACCTGGCATAAAACATCTGCTTTCACAAGTTCCCTCAGAATATGCACCCCATGACTTTGTTGGGCCCCATTAATCACGGCAGCGTTTCAAATTGCGTGTCGGAAAATGCACAGTGATAACAGATGTTATTGGAATGTTTTCATGAGGGATGGTTGGGAGTAAAAAATAATCCCACTTTCATTACTGTGGTCATTTTGCTTCCCCCACCCTACTTTTGCTCAAAAATACCACTTTTCCCTCAAGAGCCCTTCACTGGCCTTGAAGGTCTTCCCTATCAAGACTTCAACCTGCTTCCCTCCATCTGCTGATACTCCCCTTCTCACACACCTACTCTCCACTCTGGACAAAAGGAACTGCTCCATCTTCCACAAGTTACCCACTCCAGGCTTTGCCCAGGTTGCTCCCTAGTCCCAGATTTCTTTCCCTGCACGCTCTATGCTCTGCCCAGGCCTGATTCCTGTCCTTCCTTCTAGGCTCTCTCCTACCAGCTCTTCCCCACTCCCCTAACATCTGGCTGGGGTCTGTACCAACTTGTGCTTATGGATCCTTATGCTTTCTTCAGCCCCGCCCCCTGACCTGGTGAGCTTCTGGGCGCCTAGTCACTTCTTAGTGAATGTTTGCTGAATAAGTGCTCAATGCTCATGGCTTGCATACAATGAAGAGTGGCCTGAGCCCTGCCAGCCAGCAACTGTGCTTGCAGTGTCCCCACTTACGCTGTGGAAGATGGAGACTTTCCAGTCAACATGAAGGAGGAGCAAAGGCCTGAGAGTGTGAACTCTGTCATTGGTTTGGCAGCCACCCAGGATGCCCCTGGCCAGGAGGTGGCTGGGCAACTCTGGGCTCACAGACAGCCATTGAGCAAGCCTCATAAAGACGGTCTGTGTCCATAGGCCTGACACATCTGGGCCGGGTGCTTGCAAAGCCAGTTGATATGCTGGAGGGCACAGACAGTTTCCTGTGAGTTGTTATGGCCAAAGACCTATCCCTACCCCCACCTCTTTAAGCTTCAGCCAGACTTAAAGATATTCTGTTTGGCTGGTGTGGGCTGAGAGGCAGTAGATGGGGAAAGAGCACTTGACTGAGAGTCTGAAAATCTAGATTCAGTATGCAGCTCTAACTCATAAGGACTTTTTGGAAAACACATCTAACATGTCATGATCACAACCAAATTAACAATGATTCCTTATGAATCCATACTAAAATTATTTGATTTGAATCAGTGCAAACAAGGTTCTCATACTGCCTGTCTCTTTTAGTCAATAACACTCCCTACACTCTAACTTTTTGAACTTTCTATTATGGAAATATAGAATTATAGAGTATAAAATGGTATTATCAATCCCTTCTGAAGCATAACTACATCATTATTAGTATACCTGAAATAATTTATTACTCCTTAATGGTAAAAGAATAAGTGCTTTCCCCCTAAGGTCAGGAACAAGGCAAGTCTTCCAGATTTCAGCACTTTTACTCAGCATAGAACTGGAAGTCCTAGCAACTGTAATAAGGCAAGAAAAGGAAATAAAGGTATACAGATTGGAAATGAAGAAATAAAACTTCCTGTACTTGCAGATGACATGATCATCTCTATAGAAAATTCCAAAGCATCACTAAAAATATTCAAGATCTACTAAGTCAATTCAGCAAGGGTGTAGAATACAAGACCAACATACCCCAAAATTTAATAACACTTTTATACACTAACAATAAATATGTAGAAACCAAAATTCAAAACACAATACCATTAATAATCGCTCCAAAGAAAATGAAATACTTAGGTATAACCTTAAGAAAACACGCATCAGTATGCCAAAATTTACAAAAAGTTGACGAAGGAAATCAAATAACACCTAAACAAATGGAGAGATAAATCATCCCTATTCTTGGGTTAAAAGACTCAAGATAATAAAGATTTCAATTCTTATGTAATTGATACACAGATTTAGCATAATTCCTATCAAAATACCAGCAAGGTTTACTTGTAGATCTATACAAGCTTATTTTACAATTTACATGGAATGGCACAGGTTTAAATTAGCTAAAACAATCTTGTCAAAAAAGAATAAAGTTGAAGGTATCACTCTACCCAATATTAAGGTTGAGTTTATAGCTCCAGTAATTAAGACAACTCAGGATTAGTGGAGGGACAGATACATAGACCAGTGGAACAGAATGAAGAACTGAGAAATAGAAAGAACCATAATAGAACCACCCTTTGATTTTTGACAAAATTGCAAAAGCAATTCAACAGAGGAAGGTTTGTCTTTCAGCAAGTGATGCTGAAGCAATTCAATATCCATAAGCCAAAAAAAAAAAAAAACCCACGTTGACCTAAATCTCACAGGTAATGTAAAAATTAACTCAAAATGGATCATAAAATTAATTGTGAAATGTAAAACTATAAAACTCAGAAAAAAACAACACAAGAAAAAATCTTCAAGATTTAGGACTAGGCAGGGAGTTCTTAGCCATTACTCCAAAAGCATGTCCCATAAAAAGAAAACTAGATAAATTAGACTACATCAAAATGAAAAAATCTTGCTCTGAGAAAGACCCTATGAAAATGATCAAACAAGTTACAGACAGGGAGAAATTCTTTGAAAACTACAGTTTTGAGAACTCCTTATATATTCTAGATACAAGTTCTTTGACAGTAAAAAACAATTCAATTAGAAAATGGGCAAAAGACATAAAGATGTATTTCACTGAAGAAAATCCACAGATGGCAAATAAACACATGAAAAGATGCTCAACATTGTTAGTTATCAATGAATGCACGTTGTAACCACGATGGGATACCTTACACACTTATCAGAATGGCTAAAATTTTTTTTTAACGGAACAAAGCAGAACGGTCTGAAGGACTGAGAACCAGGAATATTGAGGGTAGGAGATCAACGTCTCAGCTCGAGCAGTCAGGCAGCATGAACTCACCCGTTCCACCTTTTTTGCTCTATTCTGGTCCTCAATGGATTAGATCATGCCCACCCACACTGGCAAAGACAATTCATTTCCTTGGTCTACTCATTCACATGCTAATTTCTCCTGGAAACAGCCCTACAGACACAACTAGAAATAATGTTTAACCAAATATCTGGCCATCTCGTGATCCAGTCAAGTTGACACAGAAAATTAACCATCTAGACCTGGAAAGTGATCTTAACCTTGCTTGATTAGCAAACACAACTACAACTTAACATGGTCTATTTCTTATAACGTCCATCTCAGAGAAAAGTGAAACTTAAGCTCAATCAATTGGAAGCCACCAACTAACCTATAATTATCTAACTTGGGATTTCCCAATGAGATAGACCAAACAAGGCAACTATACACATGTAACCAATCAAATATTTTCTTTGGCTTACTTCTGTGTTTACCCTGTAAAACATTCTCCCCACTCCTTCAGTAGAGCCCTAACCACTTTCTGTTTGGTGCTACCTGATTCATGAATCAATGTTTGCTCAAATAAACTCTTAAATTTTTGTTTTAAAAAAGGAACAACACTAGGTTGGCAATTATGTGGATAAACTGGATCACTTGTAAATGGCAATTAGAATATAAAATGATATAGCTATTCTGGAGAACAGATTGGCAATTGCTTATAAAGCTAAACTACCATATGTAGTTTATGTATGCAAATGCCATATAACTAAACAATTGCACTCCTGGACATTTATTCTAGGGGAAGGAAAGCCTATGTTCTCACAAAAATCGGTTTATGAATGTTCATAGAAGTTTTACTTATAATAGCCAAAATTGGAATCAGCCCAGATATCATTCAGTGGGAATGGTTAAACAAGCTGTGATACATCCACATGCTGGAATACTACTCAGCAATAAAAAGAAGCAAACAATTAATACACACAACAACCTGGTTGCAGCTCCAGAGAATTATAATGAGTGAAAAAGCCAATCATGATTGGGCTAAGGGATGCCCAGATATCTGGTTAAACACTATTTCTGGGTGGGTCTGTGAGGGTGTTTCTGAAACAGATTAGCATTTGAATTGGTGGGCTAAGCAAAACAAGTGGCCCTCCCTAATGTAGGTGGGCATCATCCAATCCATTTAGGGCCCACATAGAACAAAAAAGCGGAGGAATGTTTAACTTGCCTGATTGCTTGCGCTGGAACATCAATTATCTCTTGGCTTTGACACTCTTGGTTCTTGGGCCTTTTGACCTGGACTGGAATCTACACTGTCAGTTCTCTGGCTTTCAGGTGTTTGAACTACACCCACTAGCTTTCCTGGGTCTCTGCCTTACAAACAGCAGATTGTGGGGATATATGTACTACACACACACACACACACACACACACACGCATACACACACAGTCACATTCCACATCTGCAGATTCAACCAACCATGGATCAAAAGTATTTGGAAAAAAATGATAAAAATAACAATACAATTACAAATGATACAAGTAAAAACAATACAGTATAACAATATTTATATAGCATGTACATTGTATGAGGCATTGTAAGTAATCTTGAGGTGATTCAAAGTATACCAGAAGATGTACATAGTTTATATGCAAATACTATGCCATTTTATATCACAGACATGAACATGCAAGGATTTTGGTACCTGTTGGGGTTCCTGGAATTAATCCCCCATTGATACCAAGGGATGAGTATATGTTATATTGGCTGTTTCTCTGGAGAGCTGTGACTAATACACACTCACAACTGAATATCTGTAAAACTGGGGAAATAGGAATAACATCAGTGGATTGTAGCACAATGTCCATCATTTCATTAGGGTTTCAAAATGGTGATATTCTACTTTTCTCATTCCTTCTCATTTATTAGCTGGAATACTTCCATAAAAAGAGACTTCTCGTCATCAACTATTTGGTTACCTTTATATTGGAAAGGCAGGAGAAGTATTTATTTCTTTCCATTTATTTACCTGTTTTTAAAATAAGGAGTTGGGTTCCCTAGCATCCTCCAAATATGTGAACCAATGAGACCAATTTTTAAAACTTTTCACTATCATTAGAATCTCACAGATTTAGACAGATGTGTTCTGCTCCAATCCTTTCAGTAATTATTCTTGTTGATGCTCAAATTGTTATATCTTTGGCCAATGAGAGTTTATACAGGTTGGGTCCTAAGACCTTTTGCTATGATAGTAGTTTTTGACAACTTCCCTTGCTTTCTGGTATGACAGGCAGTTCCAGGGTTGTCTGGTACATTTTCTGCCCCAGACCTGAAATCAGCCACTTCTCCAAGGAACCTTTGTTCTTTTAATGATAAATGGTATTTAGAAATCAAGATCTGGGCACTAACAGTATCCTTGCCAATAGGTTTGCCATTGTTTCTAGGCCTTTTCAGAGACAGAGGTAGAAAATATTTTTTTAAGACAAAATAATTTATGAATCCATACTAACACTTTCAGTTCAGATTCAGGACTACAGGGTTTTTATTTAATCTCTTCCATCCAATGAAACCAGCACACTCGGTTAATTTTTCCCACAACATGAATGACAGTCTCAGAATAACAAAACTAGCACTGCTACCAACAATATGATTACCAAAAACAATTTAAGATTTTTTTTGCAGTTCTTTTTTTCCTTATAATAAATCCTATTAGCGATGCTCAGTCAAGTTACTATGTATTAAAGTCACTTGAAATAGTTCTCTACACAGATTCTTGTTATTTTGATTTTTGTTTTCATTTTACTTTTGATGTTTAGGGGCCGCTTTTTATGCACTTTAATTTGTTTTAAAATTCTGTAAAGGATTTATGTGGCACCTGTTATTGACTGAAGGTTTGTGTCCCCCTAAAATTTCTTTGCTGACACCCTAACCTCCAACATGATGATATTAGGAGGTGAGACCTTCGATAGGTGATGAGGTCATGAGGCTGGAGCCCTCATGAACGAGATTAGTGTTTGTATGAAAGAAGCCCCAGAGAGCTCATTTGCTCTTCTGCCAGGTTAGGACACTGGGAAGTAAACAGTCTATGACCCAGAAGAGAAGCCTCACCACAAATCAACCATGCTGGCATCCTGATCTCAGACTTCCCTGACTCCAGAACAATGAGAAATATATTTCTGTTTTTATAAGCCACCCAATCTATAGTACTTTGTTATAGCAGCCAGAATGGACTAAGACACGTCCAAAGTCAGTTGTTGGGAATGTGGCCTCTCTGTGGTGGCAGCCACAGCCCCGTAATGCAGCCTGGCTCTTTTGGTTTACCATAATTACCTGTTAACTCAGCAGTCTCCCCCACTACATTATCAGCTCCATGAAGTAGAGGCAGCAGATGTCTTGTCCACCTCTGTACCCCACTATCTAGCACGTAATACATAAAGTGGTGCTCAGTAAATATTGATTGAATAAATAAACTTGGAGAGATTTCCTCAGGATTTAGAGTAGCAATCATCTCAGTGACACAGCCCTGTACCTCCTTACCAGGGTCTAAGACAAAGCACAAGGCGCTCAGCCCTCTCTTGCTGAGGAAACATTTCTGCCCTCTTTGCCTAGTCCTCCCAACTCAAACCCCGTTCTGAAAACTCGTATCCCACCGTAACAGTAACCAAAATACCAGTCTTGATGTTTCCCTCAAGAAACCTACAGGTTCTTAAAGAAACAAGAATCCAGGTAGCAAATCTGACATCCCAGAATTCCTAGGGAAGGCAAACAGATTAGGCTCCCCACAGTAAACAGATAGCTAAAATATAGCCATCTTTTTAAAAAGTCCTGCTTATTTCTATAGAGAACATACTGTAGAGAAGGCTAAAGATTGTCCCACAGATTTCCCATATTGTTACACAGCATTAGATTAGGAGATGAAATTAAGACTACTGATTTTCTGATTGTGTGGATTTTAGGTGTATTTTGTTTGTTTGTTTCACATACTAAAGTAGGAAACCATGAACAGATCTCCCCAAACTGGAGCGTGGGTCCAAGGCTCTGGTTCTATCCCAGGGATCAAAGCAGCATGGCCCAGTCCAATGGGAGGACTGAGGAAGTCCTGGGTTCTGGCCTGCTCCTGGCACAGTGGTCTCATCTCTGCCCCAAAGAGGGAGAATAAAGTGATTTTTAGGGCCTTCCTGTCCTTCCAGCACTGTTCAGCTGAAACTCTATGGTGACCTCCTCCCCTGTAGCACTGCAGAAACTCTACAAGTGGGAGAAGTTGAAGGCTATCTGGGGCTTTTCAACATGGCCCCCATTCTTTAGTGGGGCATGGCCTGGGGAGCCTGACATGGGGTCAAGCCATCCCAAAGTTTTCCAAGACCCACATTTTTTTTCTCCAACCCCTTGAATGACTAAATTCAGCTGGTAACCCCCTCCCCAACCATAAAAGGTATTATTACTCCTGAAAAATATTATCTTCCCTCTTATGGGACTGTCCATGTAGGTGTGGAACTGTAGTCAGAGGAATTAAAATATGCAAATGAAAAATGCAAATGATAAAAGCTAGGCATTGCTCACCATGGCGTTCCCAGGGTTTTCTTGAATAGCAGCAAATTAAAGAAATGCTATGTAATCAAAGTTTATATCAAGCCTTAAGAAAGAAAAACTCCATTATCTCTAAATATAGCGATGTATTTCAATGTACGCCTTCGTGTCTTGAAATTATGTGCGGCTCACTGAACCAGTGTGCACACAGTGCATTGGGTTTCCTTGGGGTGGGGGGCCGGGGGGCGGGCAAGGTCTCTGCTTGCTCTACCCTTTGTTCTCATGTAATTAACAGATTACAATTAACAGAGAAATGTAATTTGCACCACAAACCCTTTTGGCCCAGATTTGGTCCCGGTGTTTTCCCTGTGCAACTCAGCTTGCAAATTCCCAGTTTAAATTCTCAATTTGAGGAGGGGGCTGGGGCAAGAACAGGAAGCGGGGCGTTCTGCAAGCTGGGTCTCCATATACTTGGTCCTTTCTTAGCAGGAGGGGGTTTAAGTACCACTCCAGACACTTAAGAGCTGTTCTTTCCTCTCTCCTGGGACTACCGGGGCTGCTTAAACTTCCCCAGGGATTTTTGATTCTCACATTGGGTTTGGAGTTTGAAAGTGTTACATTAAATAAGTCTTGCATTTCACTTCACACCATGGAGCCAGGGTAGCCATGACTTTCACCTCCACATAGCTCATATCTAGAATGGAGCCCTTATCAAGGATCTTGGGCCCCAGAAGGCTGATCTACAGCACAGCTCAGCAATGAATTCACCCTGCTTTCCTTGACGTAAGCATTTGTTTTGGGCATTTGGTAACGCCTGACATAAACAAGGTTGATGTTTTGACTAGGGCTTGAAATATCAGCAGTGTAGCAGAGGATTTCAATGCTGCACTGTTAGGAGTAGCTTTGGGCACAAGAAGATGGAGAGGGACCCCGTGTTTAGGAGGCTGAAAAAGAGCAGGCAAAAACATTCCTGCTTCTAAACTAAAGGAAAGCTGAAAAATAGAGACCGTTTACAAGTGTCTTTCAATTTACCCTAAATAGACTAGAGACACAGCCCCTCTGAAAGGGTTTATTTAACTCTCTGGCTTTCAGACTAAATTCAGGCAATCTTTCTGCTGATCAGGAAAGCAAACATTTTTGTGGCTTCTTCAAATCCAGGATGACTTCCTGGACTGATTTATTTATATTTTATTTAACCAACACTTACATAGTACTTAGTGTGTGCACAGTCCTGTTATAAAATCTTTCCAAAGATGAACTCATTTAATCCTCACAACAATCCTACGAAGTAAGCACTATTATAATCTAGATCTATGAAGGAGGAAACTGAGTGGTTACATGTCTCACCCAAAACCATGCAACCAGTCAATGGGGTGAATGGGTACACAAACTATGGTACCTCCATCTCATGGAATACTCCTCAGCAGTAAAAAGGAACAAACTATGGATACACACAACAACCTAGATGGATTTACGGAAAATTCTGCTGAGCAGGCAAAAAGAAGGATCCTTGTGGTGATGGAATTGTTCTGTATCTTGACTGTAAAATGTCAATATCCCGGTTGTGACATTGTAACATAATTTTGTAAGATGTTACCATTAGGGGAAACTGGGTGAAGGATATATGGGATCTTTCTTACAACTGCATGTGAACCTATAATTAGTTCAAAATGAAAAGTTTAACTCAAAAAATTTACCTCATGTGTTGTTGCATCCAGAAATCCTATCCACAAAGGCCTGCCCCACCTTCACCCTTTATTTAACCCTTACTTAACCCCCCTGTGCCTCAGTGACCTTATTTGCAAAATGGGATATTAATAGGACCTACCTCAGAGGAATGGCTGTGAAACCTCTGTGGCTTCTTTCTTAAGTGCTGAGAAGCAGTGATAGAGCTGTGGTCACAGAAGGCCTGAATTGAGGGTCAAGGCTAGAAAGACAGCTTTTAGCAGAACAGGTCTGGTCTTTGCCCTGCCATACTCATAATGGAACCATAGGCAAGCCTCTTCCTCTCTCTGGGCTGCAGACTCTCTGTTGCAGGAACAAAGGGGGATTGGTTGGCCCAAGAGCATGGAAAGGAAATTGCCAACACCTTTCCAGTACTCATACAAGTTATTTTGTTATTCTGCCATCTTGCCAGGAGACTCTTCCCTGGCATTCAATCTTAGTGTTAACTAAGTGTCAACTTAGTGTCAGCTAAGTTGATATGCTTGAATTGCTCATCTGGCTCCAGAAACTCTTATATAAATTACTTATTTTTAAATTTTTTATCAGAGTAATACTTGTAAATAGTTATCAACATCAATTAGAGCACCAGTTCATACTCCATAACGGCAGCCATTTCTAACTCTTGTATCTCTTCAGCTTCTGGTATGTACTTCCATATTTCTACATAGCATGTCTATACTGAAGTTTTTCATTTTACCATTTTAGAAAATTATTTGCCTCCCTACCCTGGAAGATAAAGATTTAACTGTCTTGGACCACCTCTATATAGTCTACTCTTTCCCTACCCCAAACTCCCAGTATAACCATATCACCATTTTTACTTAAATCACGATACAGTGTTTCTGTTATTATAATTATGTAAATATAGTTCACAGCAGAGCCAGGTAGTACACTATAATTATGTTTAATTTATCCTTTATCATACAAACTTTTTCTCACTAGAGTTAATCATTGCCTCATATTTTTTTTCCCTTTTTTTGGTAACGCATATCACTATTCATCCCCAAACAATATCTTCTTGATATGGTTAAACACATCACATAATTACAGCAGTCATCCTGGGAACTCTTTTTCCATTTCTCCTGTTTCTCATACTGTGTATTTCTCTTTCTTGGTTTTCTTCCTCAAATTGATGGAGATCATATTAATTTATCTTCCTGAGAAGAAGCACATCTGAGGCAAAATTTCAGAGGCCTTATTTATTAAACCCACATACCTGAATGAAAAATTGGCTGAGTATAGAATCCTAAAGTGGAAATAATTTTTCCCGAAGATGGCAAAGGAGTTGCGCCACTGTTGCCTAGCTTCTAGTGTGGCTGTTGAGAAGCCTGAAGATATTCTGATTCAAGATCATTGAAATTTTACCTCTGTTTCTCCCTTTGGAAGCTTTTAGGATCTTCTCTTTATTGCCAATGTTTTGAAATCTCATGATGATGTTCCTTTGTGTCAAATTTTGTTATTGTTTGGATTCACAGTGCTTGGCACTCAGTGGACCCTGTCAAGTTGGAGGCTCCTCTACTTTAATTTCAGGAAGTGTTCTTGTGTGATTTCAGCAATAATTTTCACCTCCATTTTCCCCGGCTTTGGGAATTCTCATTAGTTGGATGTTGGGCCTCTTGAATTGATCTAAAGATCTTATCTTTTCTTCCATTGGCCCATTTCTGTCCATTTGTTTTACTTTCTGGGATATTTACTCAACTTTATCTCCACCCTTTCTATTGGTATTTTTTTAATGTATGCTATTATATTTTTATCTTCCAAGGGCCCTATCTTGTCTATAGCATCGTAAATGCTTGCAGTGATGGATACACCCTTATTTTTTAATAGACTTTATTTTTTAAAGCAGTTTTAGGTTCACAGAAAAACTGAGGGAGAAGTAGAGAGTTCCCATATTCCCCTGACCCCCACATATGTACAGCCTTCCTCACTATCAATATCCTACACCAGACAGGTGCATTTGTAACATTTGTAACAATTAATAAATCTATATCAATATATCATTATCACCCAAAGTCCATAGTTTACATTAGGATTCACTCTTGGTGTTATATAGTCTGTGGATTTGGACAAATGGATAATGACATGTTCCCACCATTATTGTGTCATATAGAGTAGTGTCACTGCACTAAAAATCCTCTGTGCTCTGCCTATTCATACCTCCCTCCCCACTAACCCTTGGCAACCACTGATCTTTTCACTGTCTCCATAGTTGCACCCTTTTCCAGAATGTCGTATCACTGTAATTATATAGTATATAGTTGTTTTGAGATAATATTTTCTCTTATGTTTCTAAGGATATTAATATATTTTTAAATAACATAAACTTATTATCTTCTAATTCCAAAGGTCAGAAGTCCAAAATCTGTCAGTGGGCTAAAATCTAACTGTTGGCAGGCCTGTGTTCCTTTTGCTGGCTCTAGGGTAGAACCTATTTCATTGCCTTTTCCAGCTAAGTATGCTAATTTTAATTTTTTTGAAGTTTTCTTCAGCTCCTTGCATTGTCTTTGCTTCCTTTGACTTGTTTTTTGCTTGTTTTATGGCTGGCTCTGGTCTCTGCCTTTTGTATAAGAGGCTTTCCACAAATAGCAGACCCTTGCCTATCCCTGCATAGTGAGAATGGGGCAATAGCATTCTGTCATTCTGTTAGAAGCTCTATGTTCAGGATAAGGCCTTATCACTTGATGGACTTCACTGTAGGGTGATCTTATGGGGACTCAGTTAATTTATTGGGGGCTCCCAAGTGTCAGTTTCTGCTGCTCTTTTGCTGGCAAGATGGAGGTGTCCTCCCATCTTTTGCCTGGGGCAATATAAATCTGGCTGTGTTGGCATTCTGGAATGCAAGTAGGAGAGAAATTTGGGGGTCTTCCCACCATCAGTTATGAAGCTTTCAAGTAATCCCTGTTTTCAGTAAGTTACTTCACCAGTGTGCTTAGCTGGATATCTCCAGCAAGTGGAACCTCCTGTCTTCTGCCAGGGTAGTTGTGCCCTGGTACAGGGAGGAGACTAAGGGGCTAACCACTACCCTTGATACACATTCTGAGCCAGCACTCTTGCCCTCAGCCCTATCGCATGCCCTGCCTTTAAGGATACCCTGCTGCCTCCCATTCTTGAGTCTTCCCAGTTCCTGTCTTATAGTTTGCTTTGCTTCTTTCTGGCTTACACGGATTTAAATTTCTGTTCTCTTCACTCTGTAAATTCACCCAAAACTCATCCATTCACTTTCCAGCTGCATCTCTTGTTTGCAGTTGCCTCATTTCCCCCCATTATTTTGCTCCTACAGGTACAGGCTTTTCTTTATTTCTTTACTGTCATTTGAGTGGGGTTTGGAGAGGGAACACAGATAAACATGGGTGCTCAATCCACTGTGTTTAACCAGCAATCCTCAAGACTTTGAGGCCAAGAGTTTGTCTAGAAAGAGGAAAAAAGTTTACTTTTTTATCTCAACAACTGCTTTTACCCCAACAGGGCATCCCTTCCTGGCCCAATGCCAGCATCCCCTCTTGGTTAATGCAACACATTCAAGCCAAGGTGGTCACATAAAAGGTGTCTGGGGCCTTCTAGGGTACACATCCTAGACCTCTGGGGTCTCAGAGAGTGTTTTCTGTCACTTTACTATACCCAGATTTTGAGCTTTGGGGGTCTAAACCAAGGACATGCTCAAACCAAGGGCACAGACCTTTGCTTAATCCAACACATTCAAACCAGACTGGTCACAGTACAGTCATCACGTTAGAGCCCAGTAACAATAGTTATTAAGAGACTTTCAATCAGGAAAACACAATGGTTTTTGCTCAAGAGATACTGATTCTCTTTCAATTCTAAGAAATAATCTTAGCCTCAGTTGCTGTGGAAGATGGAGGTCACAGCAGGATATAGTAAGAACATCTTATTGTGGTAACTCAGTTTTCTTCTCTGCAGGAAAATGCCAGACCTTTTGCCTAGTGTCACTGTGCCATCGAGACCCTGAGTCACTGCTACCATAGCAATAAAAATACAAACCCATCTGGCATTTTTGGAAGCAAAAGGATTGCCAGTAAACACCTGCCACCCAATTGCCTCCACCACGGAATGAATGCAGCTTGAAAACAAACACTGGAGTTTAAGGTGACTTGACCTGAGAAAGCCACTGAGATTTTTAAGCAAAGCATGTACCATCCCCCTCCTCCATCTTTGCCATGCCCTGCACATCCCTATGAATCCCCCTAACCAGGGATGGCAAGAAATTTACACACATGACATCACCCCTCCTTCCTGCTTGCCTGGCAGACATTGCTAATCAATCATGGTGCTCATCCCACTGAGCCTGGATTCAGCCACTTCCAGTCTGTGAATGTTGGAATACAAGTCAAAATCCCTGTGCCTTCCTTGTCCCGGAGTCTAAGGATATTGGTTGTTGAAGTAACCTACCCCTGTCAGCAGGCAGAAGTGCCTTCAAACTGTGCACAGGCTTCAGACGTCTTCCTCATGGTCTGTCTGCCCCACACTCCTTCAAGAAGGAGCCAGATTGAAGCCACATCACTTCCAAGGTCAAATGGGAATGGCATGGGCAGACTATTCTCCTCAATTCTCCATTACCTCAAACTTACAGGCAGCATGGGCTCCCAGACCTCAAAATCTGGGTGGGGTAGAGTGACAGAACACACTCTGTGAACCCCCAGCTAGGAATCAGATGTGCTACATTCCCTTAAGAAGCTAAGAGGTAAGTCAAGGAGACACCACCACATCTAGAAACCTTGGTCTCCTAGGTGAAAAGACCCAATTCCCAGATGGCTTGAAGAGCCCAGTCACTCCAAATAGTGGTGGAGCCTTCTGTTCCTTAGTCAAGCTTGTCCATCCCTGGATGCACTTCCTTCCCAAGATTATGACCAAGACTTTTCCATGTCACTTTGTGGTCCCAAAAGGGTCACCAGCAATTCCCCAGGCAATTGTGGTGAGTTTCCCTAAAACAAGACTAACCTCTGAGCCCCAGGTGATATTCCTGCCCTGGTGGACATCTGTTGCTCCTCTTCTGAGAGACGAACAAGGCCTACCTGACAAGGATGACAGCGGGATCCTACTGGGGGTCAAGGTTAGAAATGAGAAGAGCTGTAGCTTGCTTCTCATCTTCTCTGTCTCGGTCATTTCTGCAGTTGCCACCGTCTCATCCTCTCTACTTCCCCGAGCACCCTGGAGATACGTGTACAGAGAAGCACTAAGCCTGCTCAGCTGTGGCAGTCTGAAGCCTCACTTCCCACAGCACCATGCATGCACCTGCCTCTCCAGACTGTGAGCTCCCAGCAGGCAGGGACCCCATGGGCCAGGCAGCCTGGCCTGTGTCACAGCTACAAACACCAGGCCAGAGAGACAAAACTGCAAGCCAGTGAGCAGACCCCATGCCAGTGGGCATAAGCCACTCGAGCCTCCCCTGCCTCGGTAGCCAGAGCATAGCCTGAAAAAGCACAGGGCTGGCAAATGGGGATTCAAAGGCCAGACCATGCTCAAAAACCAGCCCAGGCAAAGCTTGATGGCTCACATCTATAATCCCAGCACTCTGGGAGGCCGAGGCAAGAGCATGGCTTGAGCCAGGAGTTTGAGACCGGCCCTGGCAACATAGCAAGACCCCATTTCCACAAAAAACTTTTAAAAATTATCTGAATGTGGTAGTGCCTGCCTATAATCTCAACTACTGGGAAGGCTCAGGTGGGAGGATCACTTGAGCCTGGGAGTTCAAGGCTGCAGTGAGCCATGGTAGCACCATTGCACTCTAGCTTGGGCAACAGAGTAAGACACCGAAAAAAAAAAAAAAAACTTAGCCTAGACCCCAGTGGCTTCATTGGTGGCAAGGCTTCACAGCAGCACTTCTGCTGGGTTCTGGCCCCCAGCTCCTCACAAGCACCCACTCTTAACCTAAGAGCCCAGCTGTGAAGAGGGCCCTGGTGGATCTATGGCTCTGCCCCCAATCCTCACAGTGTGAGCAGAGCCCGTGTCCAGCACAGGGCCAAGCACAGGAGAAACCCCATGTTCCTCCACGCCCCTCGGCCCCACAGAGGAGCCTGACCTAGCTGGGGAGCCAGGGTTCTGTGACCTCAGGGACCCTGTCAGTTCAGCCTCCTTTACTCAAATTATAGTGAGGCTCAAAGAGGAAAAAAATTGTCACCTGGTCAGGCAGGACTCAGGCATTTGAGAAGGTGAGGCGGGGCAGAGGGCTCCAATTTATTTTCCATTTCCTGTATATGCTGCACGGCTTTCAGTGTTTTAATTGATTACATCAACTGTGCTCATTTCCCTGGACAAATTGGTCTTTACACAGAAGAGGCAATTACCTGGGCTTGTTCCATCCCAATCGTCAGGAGCAGGCAGGAACCTCTTTGGGGCTGCACAAGATTATGTTATCTGAAAAGACTCAGATTCAAAATGAGGGCAATTATTTCAGCCTTATAACTTTTTTCGTTTGCCTAACAATATCTGGTGCTGCTGTGGGTCCTACAGGGCAGGAGGAAGAGCGCCTAAGTCTGCCTAAAGGCCTCAAGAACAGGCTTTGCCTGGTCACTGTGAGCAATGTGGGCAGGCAGCAGTTCCGGAGGAGCTGGATGTAGGATGACGAAAAAGGGCAGGGTGAAGGGCTAGGCTCAAGCTGCATTCTGCCACCTGTGGGCCATGTAGCTTTGAACTACTCAGCCTCTCTGAGCCTCGGCTGCCCGATCTAGGACAAGGAGCTAAGATTCTTTGCCTTGTGGCAATTAAAGGAAGGTTGTAGAACCCCATGGATCATGAGTGTCAATTTGTTTTGTTGACTCTCAAAGCTTTGCCCTTGGGAGAGCAGCCCAGGAACCCAGAGGCATCTGGAGAGTAGAAGCCCCAGGTCTGATGGAGGAATCCTCAAGACTATCATGAAAGCCACTGGATTTGGGGTCTGGGATGGGGAATAGGGTGAAGCCAGCGAGACATCTAAGGAGGCCTCACCTCAGCTGTGCACAAGTGCAGGGTCGGCATCTTGGGCACCTCACTGGCCTCACTCTGGCCCTCACTCTGCATGGGGCCTTTTACTTTCAGCCAGGAAAGTAGGCAGGGCTTGGGCCAAAGTGGCTATGGACTATTTGCTTTGGATCCTAATTGTTCTAGAAAGTCTTCTAGGGGTCTATCTGTGCCTCTATCCCAAGCAGAAATGGCTCTCAGAGAATGAGGCAGGGGCTAGCAAGGATGCAGAGCAAGCCCTGGGCTAGGAGGGGGAGGCCTGGCTTCCAGGTCACGTTCTGCCACTGGCTCATGGTAAGCCGTGGCCAGGTCCACACTCTCTGTGGACTTCAGTGTGCCCATTGTTTGGTTAGGGCCTTGGCCTGGATCATCTCTAAGGCTAGTTCTAGCTCTGATATTCTCCAAAGTGATAACCTCGAGGGTTGCAGAAAGTCCCAATCACTTGGGCCACAGCCCTGGGCTGGTGTAGAGTTGCCAACAGGCAGTGAAGGTGGCTTAACACCCACCATCTACTGGACCACTGGCTGCACCTCTCTGGTGAAAATGCTGTGCATGTGCCTGAGCAGGACTGATTGCTTTGTTCTAGCCAAATTGAATCCGAAGCAGATGCTCTAATGTGAGTTTGGGGCGTAGGATCTGGATTTTTAAACTGCCAAAGGAAACAAGGTCACCTTATGCATGCATGGTTGTCCAATTTTGTTTCTGAAAATCAAAGCTTTCTTATTTTTTTTTAAAGTTTGAGATGCTCTCATGAGGACTTTAATGCAGATGAACATGTGGAATTTAGACTTTTTTTTTTTAGTTTATTTTCAAAAGGTGCTTGCAGCCAATTCCAAGTGTTATATAATTCAGGCCTTTTATATGAACTACCCTTCATATAAAAGTTAGAAACTCCAGAGAAGCCGAGTCTTTAAGGAAAGTGCTAACCCAGGCTTAACTTGAAGAGCATACATTGTTCAATTCTAGTGGTCCTGGGAAGTAGGCAGAAAAAGTGATGCTTGTCTCCTTGTCATAGATGACAAAACAAGGCTCAAAAGGTGAAGTCATGTGCCAAAGTCACACAGTGAGTAAGAGGGTTCACTTCATGCCCATACTGTGAACCTCACACCACCCACCAAGGTTGCCCTGTTGGCCTAGAAGCATGGGGTGTTGTGGGATCAGCCTTGCTTAGCACCCATTCATGTGCAACCCAGAAATAAGAGGTGAGCCCTTGATGAGTGGAAGATGGGAGCCTGTGGCTACATTCTTCTTCTCCTTCCAGACACATGCCTTGAGTTTATGCAGGGTCAAGCAGTCAGTCGCAAACAGCAGCCACCAGATCAGCAGTGCATCTCACGTGGGTCCTCCCTCCATTGTGGCATCACTGCCCCTTTCCTTCACTCTTGCCCCCTGTGGCATCCCACTGCCTGGTAAAATCTTAGTCGCTATAAGACTGCTTTCGGGGAAAACCAGACTAAGGCTTCCTGGCATCAGGCACAAAGCCTGGCATGTGGTAGGTGCTCACTAAATGCCAGGGAAAGGTAAGGTATACGAAAAAGATGACCTTCCAGAAATGTCATCCTGGAGTCCCCATGCACGCATGACTCAGGGGTCAGCCAGAGACTTGGGCAGTGTCTATACACAGGATCTAGGACTCCTCCCTGCCTCTCCCATCTATAGGATTCCCCTTCACTTTTTAGCAGCTGAGATGATTGCCCTGAAGGCCGTCATATTGTTGTTCATACCAGAAAGACTGTGAGTTTGCCTTGGGGTTACCCTGCAAGGTGCAGAGTGGGGCTGCCCCAGGCTAGAAGCTGTGTAAGCAGGAAGTACATCCAGGACTGTTTCCTTCCCCCAAGCGTTGACTTTCTTCCAGAATCTGCCTGCTTTGGGTAGCTCTCCAGTGCCTTCAGGTGTGTGTTTTGGTTTGGTTTGGTTTGAAATGCACAGTTGTCATCCGCAGGAGGCTTGGTCCCAAAGGAGCTTACTCAGCATTGCCAGAAGTGGAAGCTCCCCAGGGTGAATTGGATCCTATCGTCTCTGGGCCCAGGCCCAAGGCAAGATGCAGGAAAGTTCCCCTGAGGAAGACACAACCTTGAGAGGCTCTGTGCCAGGGACCCTGACATGTTGGCCTCGGCACCTCTATCCCTGATTGGCTGGCCCACAACTGACAATACCACTCATACCCTGTACTTGCCCAGACGGGGCCAGGAAGTCAAGCACCCCTGGCTTCTGGGCCGCTTCTCGATGAGTCATTATGGCCAGATGCTATGGGACCACAGGCTGGCTGACCACTGGTTCCCTGTGTCTCTGAGGTGTTGAGAGCACCCTTGGGCTGCCTGCTAAGTGATGTCGGCTTGCCTTCCCTTGGGAACGATTACCTGTGTTCAGCATCAGTCCTCATCAACTTCTTGAAATCCTCCTGTGGATCCTTCTCCCCCAGTGGCATCTCCCCTTCTTGGGAGGGTGTTTCTCTTTTCCTAGGTCCTTAACTTCTCAACAGAGCTGGCTATGGGGGCTGGTGGTTGGGGCCTGCCTCCCTAGCCTCTGGCATTGCAGGTACAGAGGGAGGCCAGGGTCGTAGGGCTGAGACAAGGCGGGAAGACTTCCCTGCACCATCTGGGGAGAACTTAGGATGAGGCTGAGGTAGATGCTTGGCAGGAAACAGGGTCAGACACATTCTCAGGAGGAAGGCACAGGACAGGCTAGTGCTGGAGGACAGCAGAAATATGGGGCTGTGTATCAGTTTCCTGTGGCTGCTGTCATGAATTACCACAAACTTGGCGGCTCAAAACAACACACATTTATTCTCTTACAGTTCTGGAGTTCAGGAAGTCTAAAGTCAAGGTGCCAAGTGGAGGTGGTTCCTTTTGCAGACTAGGGAGAATCTGCTTCCTTGCCTTTTCCAGCTTCTGGAGGCTGCCTCACCTCTTGGCTCATGGCCCCTTCCTCCATCTTCAAAGCCAGAAGCACAGTGTCTTCAAATCTCTCTTTCTCTTTCTGAATCTGACCCTCCTGCCTCCCTCCTTCTCTTATAAGGACCCTTGTGAAAAACTAGATAATTCAGGATAATCTCCTCGTTTCAGGATCCCTAATTTAGTCATATCTGCAAAGTCCCTTTTGCCATATAAGGTAGCATTCACAGATTCCAGGGAGTGAAGTCATGGCCATTTTTGGAAGAAAGGGGCATTATTCAGCCTATCCCAGTCTGGGAGGGGCTGGGGCCATAGACCAGGTAGGCCTCTGTCTCAGTCAGCTCAGGCTATGTAACAAATACCATAGACCAGGAGCTTAAACAACAGACATTTATTTTCTCACAGTTCTGGAGGTAAAAATCCCAAGATGAAGGTGTCAGCATGATCGGTCCCTAGTGAGGGTGCTCTTCCTGGATTATAGATGGCTGCCTTCTCACTGTGTCCTCACACTAGGGATATATATATATATCTAGAGAGAGAGAGAGAGAGAGAGAGAGAAACACTCGGTGTTTCTTCTTACAGGGGCTAATCCCATCATGAGGGTCCTACCCTCAGAACCTCACATAAACCTAATTACCTCCTAACAGCCCCATCTCCAAACACCATCATGCCAGGGCTTAAGGCTTGACATATTAATTTTGAGGTGACGCAATTCAGTCCATAGCAGCCCCTAGGCACACCGGCAGCAGCCCTTAGGGAGGCCTAGTACGGCAGGAGCAAGAACTGGGCTCATTGCAACAGATGGTAAACAGAGGCAGGCAGTAGTTCATGGCAAACAGCACACCAGGATCCGGAGATCAGTCAGTAGGGAAAGAGCTCCAATGCCTGGGCCAAGATGGAATGAGCTGGGCTGAGATTTAGAGATGGCTCCAGGACTGACAAGTTCCTGGGGATGGGCCTGCAGGTCAGGAGTTGGGAGAGGACGGAAGCAGGGGCTGGAAGCTAGGCAGGGCCTGATTCCAAGCCTCATCTTCATTTGGAGAGAGCTGCAGCTGTGGCTAATTAGAGCATAATTAGATTTGAGAAAGGTCACTCTGTCCCTCACTCAAGCCCATTTTGCTGTCATTATTGAGTACCTGTTGCATTCCAGGCCCTGAACTGACCCGAGGGGAATGCAGTGAGGGACCACGCTTGGCCTCTGCTCGCCAAGCTTGCAGGAGAGTCAACACCAACACACACACACATGCAACAACTAAACAACCATGCAGGGGTCTTTTGTTAGAGGCTCAAAACAAATTAAAACAGGTTCTAAAGCAACCAGGAAAGGCTTCCCAAACAAAGCAGCCCCCAAACCTGGCCCAATAAGATGGGAAAGATTTGACTTGGCGAAGCAGAAGGCATCTTGTGTGACAGGACAACAGACACAAGGGCCCAGATGTGGGAAGCATGTGGCACTGTCCAGAAGGCTTTGACCAGCCAGTCTGGCCAATGTGGACAATTGGGGGTCTATGAATCAAGGAAAGCCAGACTCCCTTACTGAGGCAGACAGGGCTGGCTCCCAAAGGGTTTTCAGTTCCCCTGCAAGGATTCTGGATGCCATCCTTCACCCAGTGCCTCTGCACTGGTTACCCTGAGTGGCTGCAGGCAGAGCTGATGGTCAGCAGGTCCAGCCAGTGCCCAGTTTGAATAATCAGTACCCAGGTCACTGCTCCAGGTCAAAGTAGCCTCATCTGCTCACAGATACGATCATTTTTTAGGTGGTCTAATACTTATAAAAGGTCAGGAAGGACCACTTTTCACAGTGAAGAATGATGGAGGCTTTTAGAGCAAAGAAATAAGGCTACTTTTGGCCCTGAAGTGCCTGAGTCTGCTGGCACTGGAGAGGGGTCAGGAAGTCTGACAGGAGAGCCTCCTATTGATGCAGGATGAGGAGTGGGAGTGAAGGTCCAGAGTAGCTGGCTTGGAAAAGGAGGGAAAGACAAAACCACAGAGCCTTGCTTCATCATCTGCATAATGTGGCGGACAGTCCTACAGGAGACAGCCCCTCCACATAGGCCAAGGTCAATGCCATCTAGAACCAAAGAGTTGCACAGCTTCCTGTGCTGTGTGGATTATTTTTGCCTCCAGTTCTGGGATATGGATATGATGCTTGGGCGACAGCTCTCAGAATTGTCCTGTCTCTTCTGCTGCTATACCACACTGCTGCACTCCGGTGCATTCCCTCTTGCTTTTAGGGTCTAAATGTCCATTAATAAACCCATGTTGTTTTATAGCCCCAGGTCCACTGTCACTTCAAGCTGGAACGTCACTAATGTGTTTCCTTCCCCTCATTGACTGTGCTGCCCGTTAATACCACATCTCCTCCTGGCCCATCCACCTGGTCGCCCAGCAGCTGCCAACCAGCCTGTAGCAGTGTCGTGCTGGAGTCTCAGTATGTAAAGTAGATGCAAGGGTATAGGCCCATCCTGGAAGCTGGAAGCATGGAAGGTGAACTCATGGCCTCCCCTAGCATGGTAGCCCAGGGTGGGGCTACTGAATGATCCTAAAGGTGTGTCATGGATTGAATGGTAGCCCCCTAAAATATATCCGTGTCCTAATTCTCAGAACTTGTGAATATTGCCTTATATGGCAAAAATGTGTGATTAAGCCAATGATTTGAGATTAAGAGTTTATTCTGGAGTATCTGGTTGGGTCCCAAATGTAATTGCAGGTATCGTTATGAGACAGACATAAAGGAGGGCATGTGAAGATGGAGGTAGAGACTGGAGCAATGCAGCACAAGCTAAGGACCACCTAGGGCCACCAGAGGCTGGAGGAGGCAAGGAAGCACTCTCCCCTAGAGCCTTCAGAAGGAGCACAGCCCCACAACACTTTGATCTCAGATTTCTGTCCTCTGTATCTGTGAGAGAATAATTTCTGGTGTTCTAAGCCACCCGATCTGTGGTACTTTGTTACAGCAACTGCAAAAAATGTATTAAAGGAGGGAAGGTTGTTTCAAGGGGACACAAATATGGCCTTAGTCCCAGCACAAAGTTCCCTAGATAAGACCCCACCTTAGCCCAATTCTGACCAAAAGGCTTTGGTCTCAGACAACTAGGTTTTTTTTCCTATAGGAAGAACATCATGGCAATTGATGAGTCAACATTGCCCTGTAGAGATACACTTCAAAGGCAACTTTGCTTGCTGAAATATATCCAGTCCTGAAAGGGCTGGAGCACTGCCTACCTTCAGAGTTCTAACTTAGTAGGTCTGTAGTTTGAGTTCAGGACTCATATAATTGTTTAGGGAAATGGGACCTTACCCTAAAGGAGGAGCAAGAAGACATGAGTGTGAACTATGAATGACACAGAGGTGAGAGGAGCAGCCGGTGTATCTAACTCCAGCCCCAGGAGCCCCGAAGAATGTGGGCCAAACAGAACAAAGTTATAAGAAGTAATGTGAGAGCCTCAACTGAGAGAGCCTAAACCAAGTGTCCCAGAATGTGGCAGTGGAAGTGAGCTTGGAGAAAGGAGTCAGCAGGGAGCTGTGGCAGCCAGACATGCCATGGTGTGCATTCAGAGGTAGAATCCCCAGAATGACGGGGGTGAGAGTCCTGATACCCCTCCATCCCTATAAGGCTCGGTTCACTTTGGGTTCTATACTGTAAGAGGCCTAGGTATAAACAACAGTCTTCTGGGAAGGACAGGCCCCAAGTGGGGAGGGGACCCAAGCCCACAGCATCTGAGGCAGGTGTGGGAGTCTTAAGCAATGTCCTCAGCTCTCCAGAGGGCTGGCCTGGGATCGAAGGCCCAGAATTGTCTTTCTTAGGCAATGGCATTTGTTTTCAAATGAGTAGCAGTGCCCTTTCCATCTGCTCCTGGCTGCCATGGTGCTGGTGTGGTGGTGGCCTTGGGGACAGTGGTGTAGGTGAAACAATGTGCTGGCGAGGTCAAGGTTGGGCTCCCCACTTTTTGGCATGCTGGATGTCAGCAGCCAGTGGGGAGAGAGAGCTTAGTGCCAGCCAGCCAGTCTTTTCTCCTGCTGTTTGGGCTGGTCAGTACTAGAAAGATGACAGCCTACCGAATGGGGTCCTGGCCTTGGAATGGCTGGCTAAGGAACACAGATCCTTTGAAGCTGCACACAGGAGCAAGCTTTTGTGTATTTGGTGTTAGTGCTAATGGCATTGAAGTGTGTTCTTGTGGCAAGCGAGAGACTGCGGGTGACAGAGGAGCAGCCAGCTAAAGGGTGAGTTATCTGGCGGGGAGAGGGCTGAGCAGGGGAGCCAGACAAATAGGCAGTCAGGCAGAAGTGCGAAGACTGATAGTGAGGGGGCCCGGTCCTGCCCACAGGAAGCTAGACCAGAACAGTGTCCAGAAGAGCTTCAGGCCTTGAGACTCAGGGGGGCAAAAGGTATAAAGCCATTTTCCCCTAGTGAGCACTGGTGACAGGGAAGCCACAGGCAGTGGGAGAATCCCTGGGTAGAGGAGCTTGTAAGATAAGGAGAAGACGGCCAGGAGCAGTGGCTCATGCCTGTAATCCCAGCACCTTGGGAGGCCGAGGTGGGCGGATCACAAGGTCGGGAGTTTGAGACCAGCCTGACCAACATGGTGAAACCCTGTCTCTACTGAAAATACAAAAATTAGTCGGGTGTGGTGGTGTGCGCCTATAATGCCAGCTACTCAGGAGGCTGAGGCAGGGGAATTGCTTGAACCTGGGAGGCGGAGGGGGAAGTGAACCAAGATCGCACCACTGCACTCCAGCCTGGGCGACAGAGCGAGACTCCATCTCAAACAAACAAGACAAAACAAAACAAAAGTCAGGAAGCCAAATCTCTTGGAAAGAACAAGTGTGCAGGCTGCACCCCTGCCCACCCCAGGAAGCAGGGGACTTGAGTTGGTCTCAGCCAGCCACTGCCTCATTGTGGACTCTCAGTGAGGCCTTTCCCTTCTCTGATCCTCAGTTTCCCCATCAGCAAGAGGCCTGATGCAGACCATTGTCATGGGCCCTCCCAGTGTAGCCAGTTCGTGACCACCCCTCCTTTTGCCAGAGAAGGGTACTCACATCAGCCCCTCTGTGTCAGTTTGCAAGGGCTGCTACAGCCAAGTACGGTAAACTGGTGAGCTTAAAACAACACATTTATTCTCACACTGTTCTGGAGGCTAGGAGTCCAAAATCAGTATCACTGGGCTGATCAGTATTAGCAGAGCCCCACTCCTTCTGGAGGCTCCAGCGGAGATTCTGTTCTTTGCCTCTTCCTGCCTCTGGTGGCTATTGGCATTCCTTGGATTATGGCTTCACCATTCCAATCTCTGCTTTTGTGAACACAAGGTCTTCTCTTCTGTGTGTCTGTGGCAAGTCTCCCTCTGCCTCTCTCTTAGAAGGACACTTGTGATTGTATTTAGGGCACACCTAAGTAACTCAGGGTAACCTTCTCCTCTCACAATTCTTAATCCCATCTACAAAGTCCTTTTTTTGCCCTATAAGGTGACATTCCCACGTTCCATGGTTCACAATGTGGATATCTTTTGGAAGACATTTTTTTTGTTTGCTGCACCACTATTTGGGCCTTTCTTGGTATTTCTACAGCCCTCCTATATCGACTCCAATGTTTTCACAAGATTCACTTGTTCTCAGCTGTCAAAAGAGGAAAAACACCCAGAACTCCCTCACCAAATCCAACACTTTGCCATATCCTGGTATATTAAAACAAAAATCCCCTGTGGCCCGTTTCAGACCTAACCCAGTGAAACCCAGCTCACTGCACCTCTGGACATGTCACAGAATCCAAGTCCAAACACCTTGAAGGCCTCAAAACATTCCTTCTAGCATTTGGTGAGCTTCTTAAGCATGTCTGCATATGCACACATTTGTGTGTGCACACATGTGTGTGCATGTGTGTGTGTATGGTTGGGGTAGGGAGCAGAGACATTTTGAGAACCCTGAGGTTCTGTACATCAACCCACCTCCTGATCTTCAAGGAGCCCTTCACATCCTAGATTTTGAAGCCAAGCAATGCCACATCACATGGCTGAAACACTGACAATCTGCAGTAAGTACCACATCACATGGCTGAAACACTGACAAACTGCAGTAAAGAGCTGCATCAAAGGGAATGAATGAGCCATATGTGTATTACCAAGGACAGGAGACCAAGAAAGACATTGGAAATAATCCACCAGGTTCAAGGGTAAAAGATAATTGCCAAAGGGGAAAATATTAAGAGCCTAAGCACCCAACTCCCTTGCCTGGTCCCTGTGCCCCACACCCACCACTTAGGGAGAACGTGCTCAGAAAAATGAAGTTTAAAGTGTGACCAGGAATTCAGCCCCCAGTGTCTGGCCACCATGTGGTGACATGACTTGGAGGCCACCAAAAATACTGTTACAATCTCACATCTGAGGAGCAACATCCAGGCTCCCAGGGTTTGCTTTTCTGATCAGACACTGACCCTGACAAAAGGCTGCAGCAGGCAGCTAAGGTACCCATGATGGTTAATTACATGTATCTATTATTCCACGCTTTATGTCCATGTGTACACATTATTTAACTCTCACTGGTGGGGTGGGGGTGGATGATGAGAAATTACTAAATGGGTACAATGTACATTATTCAAGTGGTGGATACAGTAAAAACCCTGACTTCACAATTTATGCATGTAACAAAATTACACTCTTACCTCAAAAATTTACGCAAGTTTAGAAAATTATATGTGTCAACTTGGCTAGGCTGTGGCACTCAGTAATTTTGTCAGTCTAGATGCCATTAACTTTTACAATCAGTTGATTGAAGAAAAGAAGATTAGTAATCCTTGATAATGTGAGTGGGACTCATCCAATCAGTTGAAAACCTTAAGAGCAAAGGCTGAGGTTTCCCAAAGCTAGACTGCAATGCATAAACCCTGCCTCAGTTTCCAGTATTTGAATCCAAGCCTGCAACATCAACTGTTACCTGAATCTCCAGCCTGCCTGCCTTGCAGATTTCAGACCTGTCAGCTCCCACAATCACACGATAGATAGAGAGAAAGAGAGAGATAGACAGATAGAGAATTTCCTATTGGCTCTGTTTCTCTGGAGAATCCCAACTAATACAATGCCTAGGTGGTCCTATAAGGCTTCTGTGTGAGTTCTGAGGAGGGAATGGGCAAGCCCTGAACACAACCTCCAGTCCATGCTGTAGGAAAAGAAGGAGGCATGACTGCCACAGACATGTGCCTTCCCAGCCCTTTTCCCTCTCAACCCCTTATGCATCCCACCTGCTCCCTGACTCGGCCCTGCCTTTTGAGTGCATCTGTCCTGTCCACCCACCCCTCTCACCACACACACTCCTCCACAGCAAGCTCCAAAGCTCTCCCGGGGGTGGGGGTGGGGCAGCCCTGGAGAGGTCACCCTCCCAGGGGCTCACTGCCAAGAGCTGGAGTTCAAGAGGAGGACAGAGGAGCCCTCGCATTCACTGACAGTCATTGCCTTATTCAGTATGCACATTAACCCTATAAGATAGGGACCATTAATTACACCCCCCTTTATCAGATGAGGACTCTGGGGCCCAGAGAGGGTATGTGGCTTGCCTGAAGTCACGCAGCTAGCACAGGAGTAGCTAAGAGCCAAATGCCGATCTGTGTGACTCTAGAGCCTGTGTTCTTTCTATCATGTCCGCCACCCAAGATTACTATTCTCTGTAGACACAGGGTAACAACAAGGCTGCTCCAGAAACGTGCTCTGCCTTCCGTGGTCACGCAGGGGCTCAAGCTCAGACATGAGAGGTGTAACTCAGCAGCAACGGTTACCTATGTGCGGCTGAAGGATACAGCCGCAGGGAGCATGAGGCTCTCGAAACACAGAAAGCCCTTCAGAAGCGGATTCTGCCTGCAGGAATGACAGACTACCACAGCTCATCTGACTAAGTTGGGGGAGTCTAAATAGAATTGAGCATCTAAGAATGAGAGAGACTTTCTTCCAATGACAGTGTTGCCATTGAACTGGATTTCAATAGGGGTGGTGTGGAGACCAGGACAGGCTCTTTGGAGGAAGAAAAGCCTGAATTCAGCTCCAGCCAGGATGGCGGCCATGCTGGAGTAAAATTCAAGAGACTCAGAGAGAGAGGCCTCACCCCCGTGGCTCCAGCCTCCTGTGCAGGAAAAAACACAGAGGCCTTGCCTAGGAAGGAAAGAGGAGTGCCTGTGAAGCTGGCCCTGTTGCCGCAGGGAGAGAATACAGACACCTGGCCAGTATCTGAGCTCCTGAGCTGGTGAGTGGAGCTATACAGACTGTTGAAGGCGTTTCTTCCAAAGGTATTTCTTTCAAAGAATCTTTGTTACAGCAGCCTGGCATTTCAGCTTCCAAAGGCATTTCAGCTCTGAATCCGAATCAACGAACAGAGCAAATGAGATATACTGGATAAAGGGCAAAACTGCCAGGCAGTGATGCAGCGATCTTGATTATGGAGAAATGCAGATGGATAGGCTGAGGGGTTCCAGGCATGTTCGTGGGTCTCCTCAGCCCTCCATTTGTGCATCTATCCACTCATTCTTCCATCCATCCTCCATTTTGTGCCTCCTTCCAAGCCTGCCTGAGACCTAGTACTGGCTTGTGCCCTGGGCTAGCCTGTTTTATAGGAGGAACACAGAGGAATCCCACACGGACTTTGACTTCAGAGCAAAGCACTCGCTCACTGCACCCTTGTCCTGAGCCGGCCCCCTCCATCTCAGCAATGCTCAACTGCTCACAGTTCCATCATGCCTCTGCTTGGAAGCCATTCTTCATCTTGTCCCCCTGGAAGACTAGCGGCAGCCCCTGCGTGGTAGGCTGGAAAATGTTTCCCAAAAGATATCAGCCCCTAATCCCCAGAACCTGTGAACATTACCTTATATGGCACAAAATGTGATTAATTTTAGGATTTTGAGATGGGGAGATTATCCTGGATTATTTAGATGGGCCATAAAATTAATCACAAGTGTCCTTATGAAAGGGAGAATAGACAGAGACAGAGACTGGAGTGATGCAACCACAAAGCCAGGTGTCTTGGTCAGTTCAGGCTGCTATAACAAAATGCCATAGATTGGGTGGTTTATAAACAACAGAAAGTGATTTCTCACAGTTCTGGAGGCCGGAAGTCTAAGATCAAGGTGCCGGCATGGGCGGGTTCTGGTGAGAACCCTCTTCTGGGTTGCAGACAGCTGACTTTTCCAGTATCCTCACACCACAGAAAGGGCAAAGAGCTCTGTCATGTTCATTTTACAAGGGCACTAATGCCAATCAAGAGGGCTCCACCCTCATGACAGAATTACATCCCAAAGGCCCCATCTTCTAATACCATCACATTGGGGGTTAGGATTTCAACATAGGAATTTTAGGGGGACACAAGCAGCTAGTCATTGCACCAAGGAATGCCAGAAGCCACCAGAAGCTGGAAAAACCAAGGAAAGGATTCTCCCCTGGAGCCTCCAGAGATAGCTTGGCCCTGCCAACACCTTGATTTCAGTGAAGTGATACTGATTTTGGACTTCTGGACTCCAGAACTGTGAGACAATAAATTTCTGTTATTTTAAGGCACCAAGTTTGTGGTAATTTGTTACAGAAAACTCATACATCCTGGCAGGTTGATTGTAAAGGTTCAAGAAGATGCTTTATTTATATGCAGGCTCTAGCATGTAGTATGAGTTCAATGAATTGTAACTTAACTGAGCACTAACAGAAGATGCTAGGCCAAAAGGTTACATATCAGAAGTCCAATCAATAATTGCAAACTTTCATTCAAGACTGCAGCGCACTATGATTGTGCCTGTGAATAGCCACTGCACTCCAGGCGACATAGTTGAGACCCTGTTTCTAAAAATAAAAATAAAAATAAATTAAAAGTAAAGAATTGCAAACTTTCCAGCCTCCCTGGGCCTAGTTGGATACAAACACTTGGTCTCTGAAGAGAATTGAAAAACATAAAGTTGATTTGATTCATAAGTAGAAGACTTTCTTCTTACTAAGTACACCTTCTGCCACCAAATCTAAAAATGCCACAGGGCTCAGGTAGTAATAGCTGTGTAGTTGGATCACATATAGTGTCTTTGGGGGTGGATGGCTATCCCAGGAACAGCAGACATGGAGCTGATACATCTACCCTTCCCCCAGGCTTCCCATCACACAAGCTCCCAGGGGAAAGGGTTCCCTAAACCCGTAATGCAGTAGGCCTGACCAGTTTATGCCAACTTGCCAGGTGGCATGTCCAGTCTCCCATACCATCCCACCAGCCTGGCAAGCCCCCAACACAGCACCTCCCTGGCTCTGTTAGTAGAATCCTGGCCCTGGTAGGTGGGGTTCAGGCCAAGTGAGCAGACCAGAGGAGTTTGACTCACCTTGGTCGGCAGGAAAAATATTGCTGCCTGCCCCTCTCAAGACAAGCCCAATGGTCACTCAGTGAAGACAGCCCCTTTCCTAGTTTCTGCAGTGCCCACCGTAACAAAGCTACCATGGAAATACAACGGGCCCCATTACCCCACAGTCATTCTATAATGCTGTAAAATAGTTTCTCTCTTGCCTGGTCATGGAGAAAAACACCACCAGAGAATTGCTTCGTGTGTATGTGCCTGTGTGTGTGTGTGTGGCCAAGTGCACCAAATTACTGGGGTTATTGGATGCTACCAAGAGCCTCACTGTGGAGGAGTGAGATGAATCCTCTTCCTCCAGTCTCCTGAGCAGCTCCCAGCTCAGACTAAGTAGCAGTTTATTATGAATCTTATCTGATAGCAGTATTTCTATTTAGCAGCACATATATAAGCTCAGCCTGGTCTAAAAAGATGTGACATGAGATATGTCTGCTCAGCCACAGTCTGGGGCCCTGTAATTGAACACTTGTAATTAACATGAAGTCACCAGCTTGGTGCCACTCAAAGGGCACCAGGTAGGGCAGGAAGGGGGATGGTTGCTAAAGGCCTATACACAAGAAGATTTTCTAAACACTGGGGAGAAGGCAGCAAAAGACCCTACCATTGCCCACGGACCCTGCTGCTATGCTGGCAATGCCCCTCTTGGTTAATGCCAAGCCTTAGGCCATCCATCCCTTGGTCTTTCTGGAAGTAGGGGGTGGGGCAGGTGTCAAAAGCCCCAAGGTCAGATGGGCTGGTTATAGTGGGCTCCCTCTTCATCTTTGCTTTCTGCCTGCACCCGGGGCTTGGCTTCCTGCACACAAACAAGAGTTGAAACTCTCTAGTGGGTTCCAGCCCCCACCTGAATCCCACCCACAATTGAGCCAGGGATAGCAGGAAAGCAGGAAACAGGAAGGAAATACTGTATCGGGCACTGAGCTCGATGCTGTATCGGGCACTCACCTCTGTATCGGACACTGAGCTCAATGCTGGTGACTAGGAACTGAATCAAGTATGGTCCCTCCATCAGCCCCCAAGGGGCTTATCAATAATAGGAAAGCCAGATACACAAACATTGAGGAGTTACAGAACTTTCTACAAGCCACTTTTCCTTTCTAGCCCTCAGTGTCCTCATCTGTAAACTGGGGATAATAATACTAACAGAAGTGGAGTCTCTAATGAGGTAAAGAATAGGCAAGTGCTTCCAAGGACATAAAGAGGCAGTGAGTGTCACAGATCAACCCTGCACATTTCTCACCATACCCACCTGTGCTCCCTGGAGCAAGAGAAGTGTGTAGGCCTGCTGCCACTGATCTGTAGCTTGGAAATGCCTGTAGGGCTTTGCCTTGGCTCTCAACATGATGCTCTCATGGCCTGCCCATCTATCTTCCAACTTGTGAACCAGGACCTTATGCTGAGAAATCCAGGTAAGAGACATGCTGGCCAGAAAGGTTGGCATGTGAGAGGATCCCATTCCTTGCCCTCAGAAGGCATGGGCGAGCAGAGCCATTGCCTATCATGAAACACCCTTGCATGGGACAAACCTTTGATTTGAAACCCTATGCCTGCTGTCTATCCTGGGTTCATTCTTTGACACCAAGTCCATTAGTTTTTTTAAACACCTCTCCTTTCAACTACCTGATGACAAGCTGATCCCCTCTTGCTGTGTTCTGCCAGTGTTTTATTGGGTATCAAAAAATATGGGACACATGGAAATGTGTTTTATGTCATTGAATAAACTCTGCACCAGGAGTTAAGAGTCCCGGGTTCTAGCCCAGACTCTAGCACTTCAAATCTGTTTGACCTCCCCTGGCTTCAAATGCTTCATCTTAAAAATGGAGAGGACATTAGTACCTGTCTCACAGGGTTGTTATGGGGGTTAAAAGAGATAAAGTCTAGCTGGAACAAGAGAGAATAGACATATTTCTCCCTATTTCTCTCATTAAATGCAGCTAAACCCCTGGACGTGATAAATAAAACAAACATACAAGATTCTGAAAGGCAGAGAGAAGAAATTAGACAAGTTAGAGACTGTAGGACCCGGGGAATAACACAAGGGTGTCTTCCCTGGGTTTTCCTTTTACCTTACATATCCCAGATTTAGAGCTGAGGAAACCAGCAACCCAGAAACATCTGCAGGAGCAGACCAAAAAAGGCCCCAAAGAAAAGCCTTCTCTCTCTAGCCAAAGGACTAGGAAAGGGGCAGCCTAGCAAGACAGAAAACCTTTACAAAGTAACGATTCTATTCCAGCCAACCATCACAGAAAACACTATGGTCCTCACCCCTTCCCTACCAGCAAAGACTGAGTGGAAAGCGTATACTTCCACCCTCACCAGGCTAGAACAAGGCACTCCAACCTCCCCTTCAGGTGGTATCCAAGAAGACCAGTCAGAGAGCTGGAATGTTCTTTCCCACCCAGCGCTAAGGAGACCACCACCCACAGTGTCATGGAGGCCACATAGGGAGCAGTAAGGCAGTATCTCTCCGCATTTCAGCCAGCAAGGCATCATTGGCAACTTAGTGGGGAGCCTGAAATCCCACCTCCACACAGCAGTAACAAGGTTCCCCAAGCCCCTCCCAGGGTGTCAAAGGAGATTAAGTGAAGAACGTAGACTTCCAACCCCACCTAGCAATAACAAGGCAGCACTTTCCTTTACCCAACAAGTGGTATCAGGTAAGGCCTGTGATAACAAAAGGCCTAAACAAAAATCCAAAGTCTCACAACATAATACCTAAAATGTCCAGGATATAATCAAAATCACTTGGTATACCAAGAACTAAGAAAATTACAACTTGAATAAAAAAGACAATCAACAGATACCAACATTGAGACAAATCAGATGTTGAAATTATCTGACAAGAACTGTAAAGCATCTGTCACCAAACTACTTCAGAAATCAATTGCAAACATGTTTGCAACAAATAAAAATCCAGGCAATCTTAGCAAATAAATGGGAGATATAAAAAAGAACCCAGTGGAAATTTTAGATCTGAAAAACACAGTAACTGAAATCAACATCTCTCTGGATAGACTCAATAGTAGATTGGAGATGACAAAGGGAAAATCAGTGAACTTGAAGGTGGAACAACAGAATTTACTCAAGCTGAAAAACAGAGAGAAAATTTAGTGGAAAAAGATAAACAGAGCCTAAGGGATCTGTGAGACTATAATGAAAGATCAATATTCATGTCATCAGAGTCCCAGGAAGAGAATTAAGAAAAGACCATGAGCCTGAAAAAGTATTTGGAGAAATAATGACTGTAATTTTTTCAAATTTGGCAAAAAACAGAAACCTCAGGAGGTTAAATGAATCCCAAACAGGATAAATTCAAAGAAATCAATGCCACAACACATAACAGTCAAACTCCTGAAAATGAAAGGCAAAGGAAAAATCATGACTGGAGTTCAGAAGAATGATATCTTCCCTATTGGGAAAAGACAATTTGAATGACAGCAGATATCTCATCAGAAACCATGGAGGCCAGAAGGAATTGACCCAACATATTTTAAGAACTGCCAATCCAGAAACCAATATCCAGAAAAACTATCCTTCTGAAAGAAAACTAAAAGGCTTTGTCACCCAGAGACCTACCTTAAAAGAATGGCCAAGGGGAGCTCTCTAAATAGAAAGGGAAAATGAATGATAAAAGAAGGAATCTTGGGACATCAGGCAGGAAGAAAGAATAAAAATATGGGCAAATGCATTAGACATTCCTCCTCCTCTTGAGTTTTCTGAATTATGTTGGCAGTTGCAGCAAAACAAACAAACAAACAAAAACTAATTACATTCTCTGAGGCAGTTCTCTATGTACATACAGAAAATAGTTAAGACAATTATATTATAAATGGGGGAGGGTAAAGGGGCATAAACACATCAATACCAACAACAGACTACCAATTAATTATGAGTATATAAAGTATACTCTTTTAATTAAAAGAGAGGGAGAAAGTCCATGAAGTGCCTTTCACATGGCAAGTGCTCCATCAACATCACTTGCAGTCAGTTGTAATATTGTTAATGTCCACAATACTATACAACAGTAGCTCAGTGCTGAGCCCTGGGGAAACTGGGTTAAATGGCTCCCAGTTACCTCCCTTGAGTAGATTACAGTTCAGTGGGAGAAACAGACTCAGAAACAACTGAGTGTGCTCAGAGGCTGAATTGTGCCCCCCCCCCACAAAAATTCATATATTAAAGCCCTAACTCTCCAAGAACTCCAGAATGTATGTGGAGAATTAGAGTGGGCTCTAATCTAATCTGACTGGTATCCCTATAAGAAGAGATTAGGACAGTGGGACACACACAGGGAAGACCATGTGAGGACACAGGGAGAAAATGGTCATCTGCTAAGCCAAGGAGAGGGGCTTCAGGAGAAATGAACCCTGCCCACACCTTGATCTTGGACTTTCAACTTCCAGAACTGTGAATAAATACGTTCCTGTGGTTTAAGCCACCCAGCCTATGGTATTTGTTATGACAGCCTGAGCAGACTAGTATAAGGGGTGTTCATTGCAGCATTATTTATAAGATAAAAATATTAGAAACAACCTAACTGGCACATCCATGCAGTGGAACATTGTGCATCCATCAAAAGGAATGATATTAAAGCATTTTAAATGATGTGGAGCAATATGTCTGTTCCAATGGGGGTAGTAGACATATCTGATGCCCCACATCACATTCCCACCGGTTTCAGTCACAATGCAGTGCACACTTCCATGGGAGCTATGACTCACCTACCACTGACATCATCTCCCCTGGAGATTAGGCCTCCTGTCTTTGCATGGTCAGCTCCAGAGCTTTACTCGAAGCTACGGGAGCCCTCCCAGCTGGCCTATAAACACAATCTGGAAGTGCAGGATTGTTAATGGCTCCAGGAGCAACCCTTGGCTGATGCAGCCAGGGGCCAATGGATAAATACTCCAACCTCCCACCCTTCAGATGGGCAGGCAACTATGGAACGCTTTCTAGGCACTTCCCAGGAGGCCCTGACGGAATCAAGTTCTGATTGCCCACAGCAGCTCCTTCAGTAGCATACACTAACATTGATGGTCCCTTTTTCCCTGTGTCATGCTCCCCACCCCTTCATACCTGCTTCCTGGGATCAGCTCCTGTGTTAGTCAGGGTTCTTCAAAGAAAAGAGAGAGAGAGAGAAAGAAAGAGATTGATTTTGAGGAATTGGCTCATGTGATTACAAGACTGCCAAGTCCAAAATGTGCAGGGTGGGCTGACAGGCTGGAGACTCAGGGAAGAACTGCTGCTGCAGATGAAGGCTGAAGGCCATCTGCTGGCAGAATTCTCTCTTGCTCAGGAGAGGTCAGTTTTTTGTTCTATTCAGACCTTCAACTGATTGGATGAGGCCCACCTACATAATGGAGGGCAACCTGCTTTACTCAAAGCCCCCTTATTTAAATGCTAATCTCATCCAAAAAATACCCTCACAGAAACATCCAGAGTAATGTTTGACCAAATATCTGAGAACCGTGTCTCAGCCAAGTTGACATATAAAATTAACTATCATATCTCCACGATAAACTACCTGCACCAAAATATTGTCTTGGGCTCTGCTTCCAGGACACCCAAAGAGATGATACATGAAAAAAGAAAAGGATACAAATGTGTATATATAGTAAAGAAACTATGTATGGAAATATGCCAAAATGTTAACAGAGTTCTTTCTGGAAGAGGGAATTATGGGTGATTCTCCCCCTTGACTTCTTTGTTTCTGCTTTTCTGTTTTTGTCTAAATAGTCTCCATCAGCATGCTTGGATAATCAGAAACAGTGATGTATACAGCAGAACAATAAAGGGTTAAATGAGTTAAAAGCAAATTGCTCTTGGAGATAAGAGGGGGAAGTGAGTCATTATCCTTGAGGTAATTCAAGAGGACTTATTCATGGAGGAGGGGGCATTTGATTTGCCACATAGAAGAATGGATGGGGGCAGACAGCTGGGGAGGACATTCCAAATTGCAGAAACAATGTGACAAAAATCACAAAAGTCAAAAAGTAGAGGACACATTCAACAAGGATGGAGTCATCCAGTGTGACCAGCCTATAGGGCTTGTGAAGGACATAGGTGAGTCACCACATTTACTGGGAGGTCCCAAAGGGGTCTTCTGTATTTGGTGGGCCCCAGAATAAAAAGGTAAAGGATGTGTTAGTTACTTCTGCAGACTGGGAGGCTTCAGTGCACAAAAGAACATGGAAGGTTAGTCCTAGTCTGAGGTAGGTCCTTCCTGTACCTTCCTACACTTCCTTCTTCCTTTCTTCCTTCCTCTTCTGAGAGTGTAGCTTCCCTCTGGGGGAGTAGGAAAAACAGCTTGATTGTTTTCCTCATCTGCTCCCCTCCACTACAATCAAATACACATTTCCCCTCCTCCTTCCACCACCACATTCTTTTTCCCACTAAGATATGTTGTCACTAGCACACATAAGACTTACCTCTCCAGCAGTGTACAGTTGTACAGTTCTCTCTCTCTCTCTCTCTCTCTCTCTCTCTCTCTCTATCTGTGTGTGTCTCTGTCTCTGTCTCTGTCTGTTTCTCTCCACCATGTGTGTGTCTCAGTGCTCTGGAGATGATCCAGATGCTGGTACCAGAGTGAGTGTAAAGATGTGAATGGGAGTCAGAATAGACTAAAAGCATCCAAGGCGTCTAACAGGCCAGCAACAAAGTAGAAAGAGTCGGGACTCTGGAACCAAAATGAAAGGAAAGGTAGCAGTGTCATTGCCCTTGTAAGAAAGTGAGAAGTCTCTTTAGTAGAGGCTTTTGTAAGTGGATCTCTAATGGTGCATTAAAAAGAGAGGTTCCTGTGCAGCTGGGCTAGTTCCTGTGCCTTGCAAAAGGCTGCCTCATTCTGCACTAAAATAGAAAACAAACTCCAAAGCAAGTCACTCAACCTAAGCTGGCTTTGCAAGGAATAAAGCACAGCTTCCTCTTTGGGGAGACATGAGTAGTGGGTCAGAGCCTGGGCTAGAAGCCAAAGTTCTTAAATTCAGTTCGGAAGGTTATCTGTCACTTCCAAGTTTTGGCTAGCTCTGAGCCACCTCTGTCACTTCCGAGTTTTGGCTAGCTCTGAGCCACCTCTGTCACTTCCAAGTTTTGGCTAGCTCTGAGCCACCTGAAAGCTGGTAGAGACAGGTGAGCAGCAAAGGAGTGTGTGGGGACCGTGAGAATGCACCTCACAGATGTCCAACTGCAGGAGGAGGCCTTGACCTGGGGCCCCAGCGAGTGTGCTCTGAAATCCATCTCTGTGTTTGCACGGGTCCATGCTTCCCACGGACTGTTTATGGCCAGTGACTGAGCTGGCAGGGGTACTAAATTAGGTCATTCCTGGGAGACAGGGGCCTCCTCTGGTGATTGACTCTTGTTGAGGACTTCCTGATGGCCTTGCCAAGCCTTTCTTATACTGCACGGTGGTCTAGACACTTTAATACAACCTTCCTTCTCTCTCTTTCACTCAGGGTCAGCCTTGCACTGTGGTGTGGTGGTTCTTCAGACTTCCTGGGCTACCTCCTCATTTTTCTCACAGGAATTTCTTATAAAGAAAATCCTGGCTCAGCGCGGTGGCTCACACCTGTAATCCCAAAACTTTGGGAGGCCGAGGCGGGCGGATCACAAGTTCAGGAGATCAAGACTATCGTGGCCAACATGGTGAAACCCTATCTCTACTAAAATACAAAAAAAAAAAAATTAGCCGGGCGTGGTGGTGCGCTCCTGTAGTCCTAGCTACTCGGGAGGCTGAGGCAGGAGAATCACTTGAACCCAGGAGGCGGAGGTTGCAGTGAGCCGAGATCACGCCACTGCACTCCAGATGGTGACAGACCAAGACTCCATCTCAAAAAAAAAAGAAAAGAAAAGAAAAGAAAAGAAAAGAAAATCCTTGGATAATAATCCCATCTTGGCCTCTGCTCGTGGAAGGGCATAACGCAGTGTAAGGACTTCATGTGGTGACATTCCCATTAGCTAGGCTGAGAGAGAGGACCAGACCGTAGCCCTCCACAGCCCCAGCTGGTCTGTCTGAGATGAACTTCCAGGAGGAACAATTAAGTGATAAATAAGAACCATGGTGCAGCCTGAACCTTCAGGTGCTCACGTGTTCCCCAGCCCAGGGTGATTACCAATGCCAAATGCCACTCCCATCCTACCCAAGATGTATGCAGTGGGGCTCAGTAAACTCCTTTCCCTCTCTCTCTATCTCCTACCACTAACCATCCCCTTCCTTCTGCCTTCTTCCCCGAGTAACCTCAGCTCCCCTACCAAGGGCCCCAAGGACAGCCGCATGACTCAGGGACTATGCAAGAGCCTCCTTTCCATCACCAGCACCTCTACCATCCACACCTGCAGCATCAAAACCTCCGCTTCCACCATCACCACCCTCATCTCCACCACTACCATCATTACTATCTCCCCATCCATCATCACCATCACTTCCATCACCTCCACCCCAACCTTCACTACCTTCCACCATCATTACTTCTACCAACATCATCTCTTCTGCCTCCACCTCCACTTCCACCCCACCCTATAATTTCCTCTACCACTTTCTGTAAGACTCCAGAAAATGCTCTGAGCATTATATTGTGCCACAACTGGCCATGTGATGGTATGGTGGAGCCATGACTTCAATTCCTGCATCTACCTACTGCTCACAGGCTGTGTGACCCAGAAGAGATCTGTCTGGCTGTAAGCATCAGCTTCCCAATTTATTAATTGGGAGGTGTGTTAGTCCCTTTGCATACTATTTTATTCTTTATAAAAATTTATGAAGAAATTACCCAGTCTCAGGTATTCTGGGGGTATTCAGGTATTCTGGGAAGCTTTTATCCACCCTCCACAGGATTTTTTTTATTTTCTCAGTAGACTATTTCTCCTTCTCTCCCTCAATTTTAAGATCAACAACTAAATCAGGTTCAGGGCCATCAACATAATTAATGCCATTTTTGGTGGGCTCTGAGGTTTGGAGTGTTGTCACTCCTGACTAGCCCTTCACTGTGAGCAGGATTCTGGTCCAGAAGCCAAGTTGAGGCTGTCAGTGGCTGTGGCATTAGGTGAGGCCCCTTGGAGGGGGTGGCCCTAACCGCAGCCTCCGTCCTAAGCAGACGCCCTCCAGAAGCTTGGAGGCTTCCCAAGCCGGAAGCCCCCATCCACCTTCCAGGGCAGCCTTGGAGCTGGCTCTTCCAATGGGCTCCAGGAAAACCTGCTTCCGCAGCTTGCAACTGAAGTGCTCATCTTGGGGATCCAAGCGGGGCTTCTTGTTTCTAGCTGTTGTCAGTTGGATGACGTGGGGGACAGGCTCCTCTTGTCTCTCAATTTCTAGCTCCTAGGCCCCTGAGCAGCACAGATATGGCCAGTCACCTGATTCCAGGGGAGCTGAGAAGTGGGGCTTTCACCACAGCCAGTCCTGCTCCTCCTTCCTGTGCCCCGTTAGTAGTATGACTAAGTGACAATTACCTAACTCTCCCATTTGAAGTTGGGATAGAAAATGTTGTGGCTGAAGTATTTCTATTTCTCACTTTCCAAGCTCGCCAGGGCATCCGCATGTAAGAGCTCTCACTCTATTTCTGGCTGGGTGCTTCGTGAATGAAACAGGATATTCTGCCAACTTCAGAGCACACCTTTTATCATGCACTGCGAGATCGGCTGACTTGCCTATCCTCTCCCCAATCCCCCCAGTCAGCAATATACCAGCTCCCAGCGGGTGGAGAGCAGGAAGTCACTGAGCTAGCCGACTTGTATGGGGCTCCTAAATTCCCCTGAAGCAAGGGCAGAGAACACACTTCCTTCGATGACAAGAGACCTGAATGCTGATAATGGGAGTTTCCTGCCTGCTTGGCTTCTAGCTTTCTCTCATTCTCCTTGGGCATTGAGCAGGGAGCAGAGATCTGGGCTTTTGCATGGTACCCCAACCCCTGGCTGGCTCTTCTCCCTTCTCCTTGCTAGCCAAGAGTGCCAATTCAGAGCCTCTTCTTCCTTATAACAGATGCAATGCTTCTAAAGCCTAGTATAGCTCTGTCACGAATGAGTTGTGTGGTCTTTGGACAAAACATTTCACCTCTCTTGCCTCCATTTGCTCATCTGTGAAAGGGAAGAAATACCTACCTCACTGGATTTTGTAGAATAACAGTGAGACTCCATTGGGCACATGGACCTCAATCCACACCTTTTGTCTTCAAATTGAAATGCTTCATAATGCCTATTTAAGTCTACTATAGACCGTATGCTGTACTCAGGCTGTCTTGAGAGCTGAGACATGAGCAGCTGCATTGGAAGATATTTATTATGAGATGACATCATATTCTTGCATGCAAAGGTCAGCCCATGGTTGGGATTCCTGCCTTTGTTGTTTTCTACCTTGGGAGTTTCAGGGTCATTACCCACATCCATCTGGGTTTGCCAAGCTTGGGCTGTAGCTAAATTTCTTTGCCAAACACACGTTCCCTCAGCTTGGGAAACAAGTTGATTGGAAGGCAGATTTCATCTCTGTGTGTTTGCCTTATTTACACTAAAACCCTCGAAGTTGGACCTCATGGTGAAATCATTTCGGGAATTGCTAGAGAAGTCCTCATCCTTTCCTAGCCATCAGCCCCTCTTTGCAAAGGGCCCAGCACCAAAGATCGGCAATGCCACTGTCCATGCCAACCCTGGCCAAGTGGAACAGACTGAAGGTACATAGGGGCAGGACCAGGCCTGGCTCTTCCCCCAGGAGCTAGCATGGAGGCTCCCACATCCTTCCCATGGGACCGTTTGAATCCCCTTCATTGGCTAGAGGAAAGTCTCAGTCTCTCTCTGGGAAAACTGTGCTCTGTCATGAGGAGAGAAATTGCCCTGATGAGTGAGCTGCATTTTTCTTGGCTATAAGCTAAAGGGTGCAGGTGCTGCCAAGCACTAGGGTAGGTATGGGTGAGAACAGAAAAGAAAACTAGTTGTTTCTTGTAATGAGGTAAATACAACTACAAGACCTCAGCACAGAATGCATTAGCAGCTTTTTTTAAGGGGTGTTGCTGTGAGAAGGTTTGAATGATTCCAGTTCTTGAGTCCACCAAAGGCAGGCCTGGGTCTGATGGCCTTTGCCTTCTCACCCCTCCTCTGCTTCATGCCACACATCACTTGCTGCCCTGCAAAGAGACCTCCAGGCTCTCATGGACTTCAGAAGCCCATCCTGGGGGTCTAGAGAAAAATCAACAGGGGTTCACAGATAAAGGTTTTCTGAGGTCAAAGCAGCTGGGAAAACCCTGCAGATTCCACTGTTGCCTTGGAGAATCCCAATGCACATGGCAAAGAAAAGGCCCTGAGAAGTCCTGCAGTTTAACTTTGTTGAATTTAGCATTTATCAAGTGAGTTTCAACTGGAAAATTTTGCTGTGACACCCCTGTTAACAAAGTGTCAGTGGTATGTGATGTGGGAAACAGGGCTGGACAGTATGTGTAGGGATTCCAGAAAGGGCATAGAGCTAGGAGTCAACACACCTCGATTCCAATCCTAGCCCCGTCACTGACTCACTAGGCGACTTTGAGCAAATCCCAATCCCGTCTGGGCTTCTGTTGCACCTCATGGCTCTGAGAGTCTGTGCTAAGAGGAAAAAGCGGAGAAAGTCAACTGTGGGGCATGCATAGGAGTCCAGAGTACCTGGTCCCAGGCCTGACTGTCACTTTCTTGTTCTGTGATAGGTGAGCTCTTTGCCCTCTCAAGGCCTCGGATTCCTCTCGGAGAAATGAGGAGTTGAGCTAGATGGGCTCTACTCTGTGGTTCCTCTGGTCCCGCTGGGATATCATGCATTGGAAGGGACCTGTGCTGGCCTGGTGCCTTAGGACCCTGGTTCAGGGCACTGGTTTGAGACAAGCTCCACTCCACATCCACTTACAGAAAGGAGCTGTGGCTCTTTCTCTCCATAACTTTTTTTTTTTTTTTTGAGATGGAGTCTTGCTCTGTTGCCCAGGCTGGAGTGAAGTGGCCCAATCTTGGCTCACCACAGCCTCCGCCTCCCAGGTTCAAGTGATTCTCCTGCCTCAGCCTCCCGAGTAGCTGGGACTATAGGCGTGTGCCACTGTGCCCAGCTAATTTTTGTATTTTTAGTAGAAACGGGGTTTCACTATGTTGGCCAGGCTGGTATTGAACTCCTGACCTCATGATCCGCCTGCCTCAGCCTCCCACAGTGCTGGGATTACAGGCATGAGCCACCATGCCCAGCCTTCTCCCCATAACTTTCTAAGGGACTAGATCGAAGGAGAGCCCTCTCTTGGTTCTCATTGATTCCATGGAGGGACAGGGCCCAAGGTAGAGTTTCCTGCGTGGGCTACAACCCCATTTTTAGGGGTTGGATTATGTCCTCCCAAAATTCCTATGTTGAAGTCCTAAGCCCCAGTACCTCAGAATGTGACTTTATTTGGAAATAGGGTCATTGTAGATGTAATCAGTTCAGATGAGGTCATACAGGAATAGGGCGGGTCCATAATCCAATGTGACTGGTGTCCTCATATAAAGGGGAAATTTGGAAACCAGCACCACAGGGAAAATGCTGTGTGAAAACAAAGGCAGAGGTCTGAATGATGCTCCTACAAGACAAGAAACCTGAAAGAGGGCCAGCAAACCCCCAGAAGCTAGGGGAGAGACATGGAACAGACTCTCCCTCATAGCCCTTAGGAGGAATCAACCCAGCTGACACACCTTGACCTCAGACTTGCAGCCTCCAGAACTAGGAGGCAGTACACTTCTGTTGTTGAAGCCATTCAGTTTGTGGCATTTTGTTATGGCAGCCACAGCAAACTCATATGGCCATGTCCTTGTCCCCACCTCTGACGTGGTCCTGCCACCCATGCTTGGTAGATGGTATGAGGACTGTATGCAGGCCATGCTTCCTATACCTTCAGGCCACGAAAGCTTGACCAAGAGGTTTTCAATCGATTAAGTGGCAGCTAGCCTGGCCAGCCAGAAGCTGACCTGCTCTGCTTTAGACAGTGCAGGATGAAAACCCTAAAAAAATGCTCAACATTTTGACCCATTAATTCTATCTCTGGGATTCTGTCCTGAGAAATTTGCCTAGATACAGAAAAGCTTCATACCAAGAAAGGTCCACATCAGTTTAAAATAGAGAAAAAGCAAGAGCCAACTATGTTTCCAACAGGTGGGACTGCTTAAAACAATGATGCTTCACCCATTTGATTAGAAGAGTATTGCCTTAGCTCGCATTCTCCCCAAAAGTAGAGTCTGAGACAAGTTTCTTTTGGGAAATGGTCCCAGGGAATAGGAGGGAAGGACGGGAAAAAACGAAAGAGGAAAAGAGGAAAAGCCAATCTAAGGTGTATTACTGAGTTGCTCACTGCTGTGGGCAAGTAAAGCTCAGATCCACTGGGAATTCTCTGAGGATCCAATGGAATGCACCTTGGATTGTTTGCCCAAGACATGGAAGAAAAGAGTATTTATCTTTTCATCAAAGTTTGCCTCAGTGAATATTGACTCTCATGTTTCCAGGTTTGTACATGTGGCAAGAATGATTTAGCAGACTGCCACAGTAAAATGACTCTGGGGAAGAAAGTAGGGGCACACTGATGCAGCTGAGGGTATGAGGATAAAAGCTGGTGACACAGATATGCAGCCATTATGAAGAAGACCTGACTGTGTGGAACACACTTATGATATGTTAAGGAAGAGAACACGGTACACCCTTGAAAGTTTGGTGGGATCACATATGTACATAATAACCTAAAACGTGTGCAAAGAAAACAGACAGGAAGGAAATATGATGAAGAGTTAACAGTTTATTTATCTCTAAGTAGTGAGATCATTTGTGGTTCTCTTTCCTTTTCATTTCCTTCTTTGCATGTATCTGTATTTCCTGGTTTCTTTAACAAACAGGTATTACTTTTAAAATGAAAAAGAGTTAATGAAGTAGTTTTCACACTTGAGTGGGCACGGAATCACGTGGAGTGGTTGTAAAAACACAGTTGATGGACAGAAGCCTGGCTTCATGAGTGTGCACCCCATGCAGTCACACAGGGCCCTTGCTCAGATGGGCCCCATGCTTGGTTTGATGCTTTGCTGTCACCATCTTGAAATGCTTAATAATTTTTGAACAACAGACTGCATTTTCATTTTGCTGTGAGCCCCACAAGTTATGGTAGTCAGTCTTGGCTGGGCCCTATACCCAGAATCTCTGCTTCAATAATCTGGAGGCAGGGCCTGAGAATTTGAATTTCTAAGATGCTCTAGGTGATACTAATACTACTGGTTTGTGAACCGTACTTTGAGAACCATGGTATAAGAATAATAAAAAAGATTGCACTGACTAAACAGCTCCCAGGTGCATTTAAGAATGTATTTATAGACCATTAAGTACTTTGGAGTAGAGAAAATGTATTGAAGATCAATCAGAAATGAAAATATGGTGGCTCCCAAATGAGAATGCAAGTCAATGAGAAATCCCAAAGTGTGGTTCAGTGATAATAGGTCCCTCAGAGGATGGCAACCTGGCACTGGTCTTGACACACCCACTTTGGGCTTCCATCTCTGGTCAGCTCCTTTCCAACTGAGCAACACTGGGCAAGCTGCCCTCAGTCTGTCATCACTTGTGAAATGGGATAACAAGACCTGCCTCACAGAGTTTTGGGTGACAGTTGAGGGCCTTGAAGTCCTAACTCATGATTCCTTGGGACACATGGCTCCTTGGGGAGCCCCAGCTCCCCCATCTCTTCTCCACTAGACCTTGAGTTCTCGCTGAGAGCAGGGACCCCCGCTCTGACCTTCTGGGGTCTGCTGGAGGGCAAGGTTGTTGAGAGGCTCCAGAGGATAAAGCTAGGACCCTGGATGGGAGGTAGTGGTGGTAAAACTACTTCCTACAACACCAGGACTCTCCTGCAGTTAGAATCCCCCAGGAAGGCCCCAGCTGCCCTGGGAGTGCCTGTGGGCTTCCCAATGAGCCAGAGCTTGGAAAAGGGGACCACACCCATCTTCTTGAGTTAGTGTTCTGAAAGGTGCTAGAATTACACCTGTGGCATTGCCCAAAAGGAGGTCCTGGCAGCAAGAAGAAAGGACAGGGTACAGATGTGGAAGCATCTGTCTCCCAACCCACCCCTGGCCTTCTCCTCCCAGATGCAAGTTGGGTGAGATGGAAGCACATGCCTCCCTCTCCTGCTGTGGCTGGTTTCCCTGTGGGGGTATCATGCGAAGGCAAAGATGACGTGGCCATCCATGTGAACTGAGGTGCCTCTCAGCCACTGCCCTTGTCACAGGCTGGCAATTGTCAGTGCTAATCTGAGTAGCTGGGAAATAAGACTTGTGTTAACACTTTGTGTTATTCAAACAGGTCTTTCAGGGGCCAGTGAAGAAATTCACTTTGCCACACTTGCTGCCATGCCAGCAGGCTAATTGTGTGTTGCTTGTGCCTGCTATTGAATCAGGTCTCTTTGGCTGTTCGACTCATAAATCAGGGCCAACAATCCCAGCCAACAGGGAGAGCCAGCTGCTGCTAAGCAAGAGCTGCAGGCCCCACCTTAATCTGACATTGACCCAGTTAGGTGACCTTGGGCGAAAGCCCTATCCTTTTCTGAGTCTTAGTGTCCAGGTCTGCTGGGGCCTTGGGACACAGATGTTGCAAACTCCCTGGGTTTCAAGGAATATGATGGGACAGAGAGGCTGTTTAGCCACAGCAGTTCCATGTGTTCTGTGAGCTCACTGCCCCAGAGGCATTCTGGCCAAAATTTGGGGATCAATGCCCAGGCAGGGGTGCTAGAAAAAGCATCACTGCTGGAGCTGCAGGCCACTGGAAGATGCTGACACCCAGGCTGGCCCAGGGGAGTCAGTGATGGAAGTCAGTGATGGAAGGTGAGTCAGTGATGGAAGGTGAGTCCAGCCTGATCTAGAATAGCACCTTCCTTCCCCAGCACTGAATGGCTGCAGAGGAATCTGCCCTCCAATCTGGGAAATTCCATCCCTTCAGCAGCAGTTGGGGAGCACACAGCCCAGAGTCCAGCAGGCCTGAAGCCAGTCCTTGTGCTATCACATCTCCTCTGGGTGAACATAGGCATAATCCTCGTCTGTAAAATAGGCATTATAGTAAGAGCTTTCCAAAACCATGGAGACTGTTCTATGAATCAAGGGAGACAATCAGTGGCAACCCCAGAGCACAATGCCTGGCATACAGTAAGAGCTTAAGAGCCAATTCCTTTCTGGATCGGTTTCCTAGGGCTGCTGTAACAAATTACCTCCAACTTGGTGGCTTAAAACAACACACATTTATGCTCTTACTGCTCTGGATATCAGAAGTCTGAAATGGGTCACACTGGGCTAAAATCAGGGCACCAGCAGGCTGTGTTCCTTCTGAAGGCTCTAAGGGAGAATCTGTTTCCTCGCCTTTTCCAGCTTCTAGAGGCCACCTGTGTTCCTTGGCTTGTGGCCTTTCCTCAAATCACTCCACTCTCTTGCTTCCATCCTCACATCTCCTGCTACTGACACTGACCCTACTGTGCCCCTCTCATGATTACATTAGGACTCATCCGGATAATCCAGGATGATCTCGCCATGTCAAGAGTCTTGATTTAATTCTACCTGCAGAGTCCCCTTTGCCTTGGAAGGTAACATACTCCCAGGCTCTGGGGTGTGGGGAGAGGCATTGTTCTACCAACCACATCTTCTCTCCTCTCTCTAGGGTTCCTATTCCTGATCAGGCCAGTTTGGAGCAAACTCAGGGGGCTCAGAGCCAGAAGAGCCCTTAGAGGCCACCTATTGTGTTTGGCTCTGTCTATTCCAGCTCCCTGGCTAGACTGTCAGCCCCTGAATGCAAGGACACAAACTAGTCTTGTTCACTGCTTAATGCTCACCTCCATACCACCTCAGCACAGAGAATGGACAGAGTCAGCACTTGGTACATCTGTGCCAATTTCATGTTGTGGAATGAACTTGAAGACACTAAATAGATGCCTCCTGACCCTCAAAATTCACTATCCCCCACCCCGTTTAAAAAGAGTAGCAACTGGTTTATCTGTTTCTTTTTAAAAAGTTATCAGGATGGCGAAACTGGCCCAGAGAGAGGAATGGACTTGCCCAAAGCCACAGGAACTAGCATGCATCCCAGGCTTCCACCATCCTAGAGCAAGTTGTGCTTCCCATTGACACTCATTTTGTAAATGAGACCTGTGTGGTTCAGGAGGTTGTACAGCTGACAGGCAGCAGAACCTGGGTGTACACCAGGGCTTTTTGCCTCCTAGATCAAGAGAACCTGAGTTCTCTGACCACAGCATGCTAGAGGCCACAACCAACAGGAACACAGGAATGAGGACAGACAAGTGCCCTTGGGGAGGCTCAGGCTGGCGACTACCCCATGCAGAGGAAGTGCACGGAACTTGATCTGGGAGAAAGAAGGCTGCCTGCTGGCTACCACCCTGAGTCTGCCCTGACCCCAGCCCCTCTCACAGGCTCTGAGGCCCCAGCACATCATTACTCTCCCTGGGCTGCTCACAGCCTGTCATCCCCACCTTAGCATGGGCCCTGGTGACATGCAGGTGGCAGTGGCTCAGCACTGCCAAAGGGGCACAGCAAGGGTTGCCACCTGCAGTTCACTCACACACAAATACACATGTGTGTGCACACACTCGCACGTGTACATTCACACGCGTACACATGCACACACACACACTCATATGTACCTCCCCTCCCCCACCCCACACACGGGCAGATTCAAGGCTGCCTACCCTCCCTTTTCCCCAGGATTGCAGTAGCTGCCTCCTCTGCCCCCATATTGTGCCCCTTTGCCGGCACTCCCGGGCTCGTGGCAGTGGGGGTGGGGAAGCACAAGCAGAAATGAAAGTACAGATTTTGATCCATCCTCATCAGGAACGGCTGTCCCATCTAGGAGTCCCCGGACAGGATTTTCCATGCCTTTCTGAAAGGGCCACTCAGAGTCTCAGCCTGTGCAGTGAATAGGACACTAAGCATCTGTTCTAGACTTTGCTTCCGTTCATGGAGTGGAGGCTTTTGACTGTTTGCCAGGAGCAGAGAGGCCTGGGGTGCTGTGGAAAGTGGGGCTCAATGTTCATATGCTGTGTGCATTCATTTGTGGGCATGTGCATTTATGTGTGAGTGTGCCCCTGGGCATGCTTCTGGCTTTGGGCACGTCTGTGTGTTGACAAATGAATATGTGTGTGTGTGTGTGTGTGTGTGTGTGTGTGTGTATGCCTGTCTGTTGGTATGTGTGCATGTGTGTACATACGCATATGTGTGTGCATGTGTGTATGTGTCTCCATGTGTGTCTGCACATTGCCTGTCTCAGTCGGCTTGGCTGCTATAACAACGTACCATAGACTGGGTGGCTGAAACAACACATTTATTCCTCACAATTCTGGAAGCTGGGAAGTCCAAGATCAAGGTGCCAGCAGATTCAGTTCCTGGTGAGAGGTCTCGTTCTGTCTTGCAGACAGCTGCCTTTTCACTGTGTCCTCACACGGCAGAAGGAGACAGTGAGCTCTAGTCTCGCTTCCTTTTCTTATAAGGACACTATTCCATTGTGGGTCCCCATCCTCATGGCCTTACCTAACTTTAATTATCTCCCAAGGGCCCCACCTCCAAATACAATCACATTGGGGTCAGGGCTTTAACATGAATTTTGAGGTGGACACATTTAGTTCATGGCAGTGCCCGTGTGTGTGTGCGCGCGTGTGTGTGTCAAACAATCAGCAGCTCTACCATGCTGCTGCCACCATCGTCCCCTCTGGATTTCCTGAATGAGGTTATCTTCTGCCTTCTCCAGATCTAAGCACTTGGATCTCTGGACTTGGCCAGTCTCCATCACAACCCTGCAATCACCTCTCTCAGTGTGGGTATCAGCATTGAGAACATGAACAAGGCCAGACGTCCCTGGCTACCTTCACAGCCAGGGCAGCACCATGACCTCAGAGCCTGATCCCAGAGCCCACTCGAAGCTTCCATATGCTTCCATCGTTCTCTCTGCTTCTCCCCCGGAAGATCCCTATTACTCCTTTAAAGCCCAGTTCCAACACCTACTCCCCAGGAAGCCTGGCAGCTTGCACCCCAGGAGGCTTAGTCACTCACTCCCTTGCCTGGGCTCCCACAGTGTCTTGCATGCAGCACTTTTACAGCTCTTGCCAGGTGGTACTTTAGGTACGCCTGTCTCCACAGCTACCAAGTGAGAACCCGGCGCTGGTTCATTCTGTTGTACCCAGCACCTGTTTGTCGAGTGACTGAAAGAGTGCCTACTATTGTCTCATGAAGATTCAAGGGCAGTGCCCAGGGGGAACATCTGGCTAGGTCTTTTCACTGGTGACGAATTTCTGACAAGATTGCACCATAGGAGGCAAGGACAGTCAGGAAACATCGTGCTGCAGTTTCTCTCTCCATCAAGGTCAGTTCCCATCTTCCTCCACCCCTGGCAAGCAGCACAGGTCACAGAGGAGGTGCAAAGCTCTGTGTCCTCCCAAACAGAGCCCCTCCCCACCATAGCCAGGAGGCCTGCTTCTCTTGACACTGGGAAGCCTCCATAAGCATTGGAGTGATCACAGACCCAAAGACTGGCTGCCCCTTCTCCAGACCGATAGGGACACCAAAGCCTAGAGGGACAGCATCTAACCAGGGTCTCTCAGCAGAGCAGTCACAGAGCTGGGTTCAGCCATTCCCCTGTGTGGCATAAGACGCCCCACCCTGTCCCAGGGAAGTAGAGGCTCCAGGCTCTTCCTTTCCTGCAGACATGTGAGCAGCAGATGGAAGCCAAGTCCAAGACCCTGAGAAGCACCATGGCAGCTCAGGGCACTGCAGCCTGCCAAGGAGATGAGGCTAAGGAGCCGAGCTGGCTATAGCCCCTGATTTCTCTGAATGGAATTGAAAAGAATGAGGCTATGGCTGTCACTCCCACCTCTATGTGCCATGCTGCCAGCACTGGGAAGTAACATCTCTGCTCATCACCAGCCTCGTGTCCTATGAACTTGGGGAGCCTTCAAAGTGCCCACTTAAATAAACGCAGGCACTTCCAAATCCCCACTGCTGAAAAAGGGCAAAACCTCAGATGGTCCCAACTGAACTCATGGCACAAGAGCCAGGCCAAGACAGAGCATGACCAGGAATGGCAGGCCAGGGGCAGGGAGGAGGAATCTTTGGAGGTTTTATTACTTTTTGCTTTGTGATGACTGGCTTGGAGCCCACACAGTTCTTGAATACATAATAGGGAATTGGGTGAGCCTGCAGAAATAAATTTTATTAGCACACAATCACTGCAGCCCCAGACAGGGCCTTCTTTCAACAGGTCCGGTCAATTAGCAGAATAATGCAAGGGCTGGTTTTCGTTTTAAAAGGTTTAATTAAAGTTTGGGTACAATGAACATGCAAGCCACCAATCTGTCTTTCAAGGCATGTATTATCTGGAAATTGATTGTAACTTATGCTTCTTTCTAGAAGTGTAATTCCTTAGAAGACATGGAAGGCACCCCTCTCCACCTCTCCCCACCCCACCCCCACGAACACTTCTCCCTATCTCCCCAGCTCCTCTCCCACCCGACCCAAACTGCCCTATCCCTCTGCCTTAATATAGTCAACAATGCCAAGGTTTCACGTGTGGTTCAGTGGGGACCAGTGTTCCTCTGGGGAGGAAACCCAGCCCCCAGGTCTACTGTGTGTGGGCAGGAGCTGGGAGCCCAAGGTACCTCTTCCCTCCCTCACAGAGCTGGAGGCCAACACGTCAGCTTTATTTGCCCTGAAAGAACAGAGAACACCAAGTCTCAAGTCAGCCACTGCTGCCGAGAGCAACAGGTTTGAGTGGGAGGGTGTGCAGGGCTGGCAAAGGACAGCCTTTTTGCAGAGACAGGCCTCCCTCATACAGGCCCCATTTGTCAGGACAGGCCTGGACAGGGTGCTGCTCCCTCTCTAGCTGGGTGGGCAGCTCCTTCGGCTGGACCACCCTTTAAGAGATGCCAACTGTTTGTCACTTTTCTGCCTGGCACAGTGCTGGGCATTGGACAGGATGGGGGTCTAGTGAGGGCCTCCCCTTTGGGGATCTTAGAGCATAGCCGGGAGGCAGCATGAGCCAGTTTGGGGGTTATGAGGTCAGTCAAGCCTGAACTGGAATACTGGCTCCTGGGGCCACCCCTGCTGGGCACTGCGTGGCGTTGGGCCACCGTTTCCTCATCTGTACAATGGCTAGACAGAGAGAACCTGCCTCCTCCACACTCACAGCTTCTGATCATCACCCGCATCACAACTCTGGTTGTCCTGTGAGGACCTCCCTGGACCAGCACTGTCTGCAGTGGGGCAGGCTGCTCTGCAGGGCTGGGGGAAGCACCCAGTCACTGGAGCTGTGGGGACAGGGGTGTCCCAAGGCTGGGCCTGCCCTGTCTCATCCCCTCCACCAGTGTGGTCTCCCGTGCCCAGGCAGCAGGCGGCAAGAGCTGATGCAGGGTGACTCCGGGGGCCCTGGCACGCCTCGAGCCTTAAGCCGGTCAGTCTCTGGGAGCCTGTGGGAAAGACAGGCAGGGCCTCTCGGGTCAGGCAGGCCCCCAGCACAAAGTGCTGACAGGTGGGGAGATCCAGGCCCACAGGAGGCAGGGCTGTGCCCGAGGTCCCTTGCAAGTCAAGGCCCCGGGGCGGGGGCGGTCCCTGAGTCCTCAGCTGGGGCTCTCAGCAGGGCCTCCCCAGGTGCCCTGGGCTCTGGAGGACCCAGTAGCCCCGTCCAAGATCCTCAGAAGGAACCAGTATAATGCTGGGGTCAGAGTGGGAAAATGTCCCACCTGGTTTGGGTGACTCTGAGTCCTTCTGCAAATTCACCTGGTGAAGGTGGCATCTGCCCCATGGGTGCACACTGTCCCCGGGAGCACAAGACACATCTCAGAAACAGCGGCCTCGGCCCCAGTGGTGGCTGATGGGGCTTTCCCAGTGGATGCTCAGGGGAACCATGGACCTCCTTCCCTCCTTCCCCCTCTCTCCCCCTCCCTCCATCCCCCCTCCCTCTCTTTCCCTTTCTTTCCATCCCTCTCTCCCTCCTTCTCTCCCTCCCTCTTTCCGTCTGTTTCTCCCTCCCTTCCTCCTTCCCAGGCTGTCAGGGAGATGCAGGGATGGGGCCTGGGCTCTGAGTTCCTTTGGGACTCCTGCCTGAATGTCTATCTGTCTCCCATAGCCCTTCGAAGGAGTGGCCTCCTGCCCACAAGCTGGAGGGCTCTGCCATTTGCAGGCTGGTGCCTTTCTCAGCTGCTCCTCTTGCGGGGCCACTCTCTAAAGAGAACAGGTGAGAGATCAGTCACAAACCCATAGGCACGTCCCTGGCCTGGCTAAGACATACAAGGGACTGATATGACCCTGGGCTCTGGGGGCAGAACCCTGCCCTGCCACAGCACAGATGTGGGTGGTTCTGTGTCCCCAGCACAGTGGGGATGCACTGCAGAGACACAGCATGCAGTCCAGGCTGTCCCCTCCCCGCCGCCGAGCTCGCCATTGCCGTCAGGTGCCATGGAGGGCCATCATTGTCATCACTGCCATAGAGGGCCAAGAGGAGCGGGAGCCACTGGGGAGGCAGAGGTCTGCTGGGGCTGAGGGTGGGCCTTGGAGAGTGACACCTCCACAAGACTAGAATGGAGCCAGAGAATGAGGACACATCAGCAGAGTCTGACCTGTCAGGGTCCCCCCAGTCCCCACTAAGGGCAAGTGGCTAGAGGTCCTCAGAAAAGTCCCCCAGGGAAGCCCAGAAGCCCCCAGCATAGAGCTCCAGGGATTGAGAAGAGTTTGGTGAAACCAGAAACTACCATGTGGCCCTGGTGACCCTGGTGCCAGAGGAGGGAGTGGGGTTGGGGGAGGGGACTGCCACTCCCTGGGGCTCCAAGCGCCACGTGTCCCTCAGCTCCAGAGCTGGGGCTGAGGATACAGTTTCACAGAGTCCACCCCTTCTTCCCTAGACCCCAAAATAAGAAAGTGGAATCTGAGAGCCTAAAGAATTCCTAGGATTCCTCCCCTGCCAAATTTAGCCCTGGAATGGTCCGGACAATTCATGGTGGAGCTGCTGAGATTTTCTGGGTAATGACAATTGGTCATCACTTCCTGTAGGGACTGGTCTCCTGGTCGGAAATCACTGGTTTGTCACAGCTAAGTTAGGCCTCAGTGCCAGGGTCTAAGAACTGCCTGTTAGCCCCACTCTAAGGGGGAAAGAGGCTGATGGGTCTAGTCACGGGGCTGGAGTCAGGGCTTCCTGCCCCTGGTGGAGCTCCTGAAAGAATGGAGTCCACGTAGCAGCTAAGGGAGCCAGTGCTCTAGTGTGAAAGAGCTGTCCAGAGTTATAGATTCTTTCGTCAATTCCAAGGAATATGGCTCAGCTGCTGTGAGCTAAGGCACAGGTATGGACAACTCAACACAGGGCAGAGAGACTTGAGAACATGGCTGGGAGCTAGGTGGCCTCAGGCATGTGGGTTCCATTCTCAGCCTCCAAGTTTGCTATTGTAAAGTGAGACTGCCCACTGAACATCCCACACAATGCACGAGTGGGGATTACTTGAGACAATCGGGCAAATGCTTAGCAGAGCTGGATGGAGGCAAGGCTGACTCTTGAAGGGCCTTGACTACCGTACAGAAATGCCTAAGGAGAATGTAAAGCAAGGACAAAGCAAGAAAAGAGGACATAGGTGTGGCATATCACCTTTGACCTCTACAGGCATAGCAGCGCTGGCCTTCACACCTGGAGTACCGTCCAGTGAATCCCTCAATACACAACTCCCTAACTCAAGGCCGGAAGGCCACCCAGCCCCCAGGCAGCCTTGTTCTTGCTCTTTTCTGACCCTCTTTGTTGCATTCTGGACTCCCTTATGCTAGGAACAGTCAATGTCAGGTCCCTCTCCCTTCAAAACCCTGTGAAATCAAGTGATATTGGGTAAGTCACATTTCTACCCATTCTAAGCATCAGTTTTCTTACCTATAAAATGCAGGCTTATTGCACACAGGAGGGGTCCAAAGTTGATTGGTTCCCTCTACATCCTAAACACAGTTATACCCACAGCTTTCCTCTTCAAGGCAGGTAATTCCCTCCCCAGCCCCAGCTTACAGCACTCCACCTTCAGGTCCCTTTAACCTGGCCTCACCCCAGGTGTCAGGAGTCTCAGGGTGGAGCCCGACTTTGCCAGCTAGAGTGGGAGGCTAAGGAAGGTTGATAAGCTGTTGTAGTTATCCATGGCTTGGCCTTCTCTCAAGATTGCCAAGAGCTTCAGTTTTGTCCCCTGGTTTGGCAACAGGAAGTCAGCACAGGATCTTATCATTGGCCAAGCTCATTGAATGAATGACAGTGAATGACAGTGCAATTGGCAGCAGCTGGGGGTAGGTGGAAAAATAAGGGGAGGGCAGTGAAGAGAGGTGGAGAAAGCCCTGAGCTGGGAGGTAGGACACCTGAGATCAAACAACCCCACCCCACTTAGTCTTGAGCATGGCACTCTTCACTGCCTTTTTGGGCTACAGTAGAGTCTCAAAGTCTTTGAAATATGTACCTCTCTTGGAATTCTTTGTTCCTTGTCTCACTTCCCTGTAAAATGGCAAATATCAGAAGGGCAGCAATAAGCTTGATCTCAGTCACTGTTCCACCTCCAATGCCAAATACACACAATCAGCATTTGATAAATATGCAGCAAACAAGAGAATCAACAGATGAATACATGAAAGGAAGGAACAGGAACATGTTTGGTAATTTGCAAAGAACTGTGCACACCCAAGGGAGCCCTCTTATGGAAGCATAGTGGACCAAAGGCAGGATCAAGAAGTCAGGCTCCTAGGCTCTTCTTCTTGAGACAGCCAAGCAGAGACAGCCTACTCAGAGTGCCTTGGCCAGGCCAGCTCTTACTTCTAAACTTAGTGTTGGTCAGTGCTGTCTTCAGGGGAGTTACCTGCATTCCCTGTGATCAGCGTTCAGGTCCAAGAGTGAGCCACAGTGGGGCCCAGAAGGAAGGAGAGGCTGAAGCCTGTCGCACCCCCGTCTACAGTTGTATGCTTTGAGGACAAGCTGCCACTATGGATCTAGGGCTCCAAGGTCAACACACATTTGTACTGCTTCCTGGAATCTTGGCATTTTTCTTTTAGAATAATGGGAGGGTGTGTGTTAAATGTGAGGAGGAGGCAGGAGAAGAATGCTGCCGTTCAGTCCCTCCCCAGATGGGCCAAGACAGCATGCCTGTCCTTGCTCAGCTGTTTGAGCTGACCTGTGCCTGGGGTAAGATAACAGACAGCAAGTAAGGAAGAGAGGGAGAGAGAGAGGGAGACAGAAAAACTGAAAGAAGGAAGGAAGGAAGGAGGAACGAAGGGAGGGAACGAAGGAGGGAAGAAGGGAGAGAGGAAGGGAATCTTTTTTTTTTTTTTGAGACGGACTCTCTCTGTCTCCCAGGCTGGAGTGCAGTGGCGCGATCTTGGCTCACTGCAAGCTCTGCCTCCCAGGTTCATGCCATTCTCCTGCCTCAGCCTCCCAAGTAGCTGGGACTACAGGCGCCTGCCACCACACGCGGCTAATTTTTTGTATTTTTAGTAGAGACAGGGTTTCACCGTGTTAACCAGGATGGTCTCGATCTCCTGACCTCGTGATCCGCCCGCCTTGGCCTCCCAAAGTGCTGGGATTGCAGGCGTGAGCCACCACGCCCAGCCGAGGAAGGGAATCTTAGAGACTGCATCTTCTAAATGTCTTAATTCCCCCCAAGATTTGTCTCAAGATCACCATCTCTTGCCTTTAGAATGCTGTGTTCTACTAGAAGTTTTTCGTGTTTGTTTGTTTGTTTTACACAAGTGTGAAAACAAGCAATGCCTAACTATTAGCTGTCAGTAACTGACTCCCAACACCCAATTCCAGAAAAAGAGTCCCCAGCCAAGCCCTCTGGAATGTCTTTCTTGGTGCCCTAGAAAAAGGAGGGCTGTACCTTCGAACTCTGCTGTTTTAAGACCAGTTTTAAGATGAAGAGCACCCTAAAGATCATTCTATTCTTTCCCTCTCATCATAAAGATGGGAACACTGAGGCTAGAGAGGGGGGCAGGGCAGGCCTCTCCTGAGATTTCCATGTCAGGTCCAACCAAAAGGACTGCCATATCATCAGCCCCCATTTCAGCTTCATCTGAGCTCAGACCCCCATCAGAATACAGGGCCTGCAGTATAGCCCTACGGCCAGCATGGAAGGCACTTCTGGACATTTCACAGAAGCATGCCCATATGGGAATTTGCCCATATGGGAAATTTATAGCCCATGGTCCTGGCTTGGGGTCTGAGCTGGGCATGCACTGGGACATAAGCTTGGAGTTTTAGACTTTGGGATGGCTCATGGGCTGTGCTGGAAGCACAAGGATATCAAGGCTCTATCTCATAACCAGGCTACGAGTGGGCATCCCCTACCCCTGCAGGCCTGAGCACACATGCCCAGAAAATACAACCCAGAGACATTTTCAAAACCACAGGCAAATAAAGCCCTGCAAGCCTGGCCCAGACAGGTGCCAAGCTTCTGCTGTCTTTGTGTGAACATCTCCTGTCAGTGGTCGGAGTATGTACCAGCTCCAAAGCCAGACCTAGGAGCCAGTGAGCTGCCACCCTGAGACCTGTGACACTGTGGGCAGGCTGCTCTGAGAGGCAGTGGAGACTCTAATGGAATCTGAAGTTAGGCTCCCTGTGTTCAGACCCTGCCTCTGTCACTGACTGCCTGGCTGCTCTTGGGTGTGTTACTTATTCTCTGGGCCCCTCAGTTTCCTCAAAAGCAAAATGGAGCTAATTGTAGAATTTTTGTAAGGCCAAAATGAGTGTGATGGTCAGGTTTATGTGTCACCTGGTCTAGGCTCTAGCCTAGCAGTTTGGGCAGGGCAGGGAGTTAGGAAAGAGTGGTAGTGCCCCCACTCTCCACTTATCCCCAAGGGTGCTCATGTATCCAGAGAGTTCGCTGCTTAGGTGGGGGGTGAAGAGAACTTCCTGAATCTCAGGAAATGATTTCCAATCCAAATCTGGCCAACAGAAGACTACAAATAAGTGACCCACAGGGCCCCCTCATCTTACTTGAATATACCGCCGAATCCCCTGGCGAGCTTGTTCGAGTGCATATTCTGAGTTGATAGGTCAGGGGAGGAGCCTGAGATTTCGAGATTCTGATGAGCTCACGGGGAATGGTGACATGGCTGGTCCCTGGACCACCGTTTTGGTAGCAAGATCCTAGACAACACCCTTGCTGAGGGATACTTGGCCCTCATTCAATCCTCCAGGGCTGCACAGGGAACTCACTACCAACTAAGGCAGCCTATTTGTTCCTTGGTCTGCATCCTCCCACCCCACCCCACCCCAGCCAACAACCTTACAGCTGCCTTTAATAACTGAATAGTTTTGTAAATGACCTTGGGCTGCAAGACCTTTTACTTCTCTGGGGCTTCATTTTTTCCTTTGTAAAAGGAGGGGGTCAAATTAGACCTGTGGATTAGAGCACTCTTTGGAACTCTGCTTCTGCCCAGATACTCTGTGAATGAATTTCGTAGCTCTTGAAATAGAGTTGGGAAACACTGTTCATTTTATCTTCTTCCTGAAAATTCAAAGCATATAACATAATAAAGGCTCCGATAAGTCCCACTAGAAAGAGAACTACTTAGTGTTGTTTAGCCCTAAAGCTCCCAAGTTATTTTTGATCTCTAAATCTTTTTTCTTAGTATCTTTTTTCCACATCTGGCAAAACTCATGTTCCATATAACACATTTCTGGAAATACTGAACTCGATGGACTTTAAAAGGCCTTCCAGAACCAACAGGTTTATTAATTTCCACAAGATTCATAAACGTGGATGGCTCTTAATTGTCATCCATTCACTGGGATGTTGAGGGATGCTGTGGCTCACAGACTGGATTCTGGCTGAGTACAAATAGCCACAACACCCTTGCCAGTAGCCCAGGGACTTTGGTGTAGCAACCATTTGAATGTCTGAATTTGACACTCTGACGGCAGATGAGCTCTGCAGTGATTCCTCCCAGTACTGCACCCAGAATAGAGAGTGTAGGCCAACTGCAGGCTGCTGTCCACCAAGAAAGGCAGCAGAGGATCTGGGTTATTTGAAGATTATAGATGTATTTTAAAAAGCAGATAAATGTTAAGGAACTTCTACCCAGAAAAATACACAGAAGTGCATCTGCACACATGCATACATATGCACATACAATATTCTGCACCCAAATCCAAGGGTCTCATAGATAAATTGAAGCCTCCATGGGCTTCCTAGGAGCGGGCATCCAAGCTTGACTCAAGAATCCCTGGAATGGTCTTCGGACTCCTGGGAGGGGCTTACCTCTGACCCCCTTTGAGTGCCAAAAATGTCTGGAGACTTCCTACTCGTCTAGCGCAAGCAGGGGCAGGAGTGGAAGGTGGGCTCAGTCCCTCCCTGCCCTTCAGAGCTGCCATTCTCACAGGGCCATGAGACAGGCACTAGTTGTCTCCCAGACCTGGCTAAATTCAGAAGGCAAAAGCAATTATAGGAGCGCATTCGACAAGAGGGCAAGTTTGGGGCTTCTGCTGAGGGGTTTGAGAATGGTCGGTATTAAACACAAAGATAGTTTCTTCGAGGTGGGGCTTTGAGTTGTGATTTGAAGAATGTGGGTTGTGGCTTGGGGGAATCTAAAACCAGTTGTTCCTTGCAGAGGGGGCTAAAGGTTTGGGGATGGGAAAGTGGGTTCATTTGAGAGAGTGGAGAAGGCAGTAAGAAGGAAAGACAAGTGTGGGTCAAGTGGAGGGTAAGTGTGAACTCACAGCAATTCAGGTGCGATTAGCAAACCAGCTCTCCTTTCAACAAAGTGCCCCAGGCTCTCCTCTATGCAAAGCCTGCAGGCAGGTAGGGCAGACAGAGCTCACTCAGCCAACTCAATCGCTCTGGAATTCCCCACCCCCCGCCTAGCAGCTGTCCTGTGCCTTCCCCACAAGCCTCCTCCAGCCTCAGCCCCACCCTTACTCTGCCAGCAACAGGCTTAGCTCAGGCTTTGCAGAGAAGAGGCTTTCAGCGTCCTCCCCACCTCAAAATGCCCACACACCTCCCTTCCCTCTTTCTTCTTCCACTTCAATCTCAAAAGAAGAAGGATTACTCCTTCCTCTGTGGAAGGCTGATCTCTTCCTCTGGTCCTGGACCCCATTCTGCCTGCTCTGGCTGCCTCCACTTCCCATGTACCCTCAAACCACCCCAACCCCTGCTTCCAACGCTGAAGCATCCAGCAATTTTTGGTGCATCCCCTTCTTCTCTCCACCCTGTAAAAATACCTGCCCCACAAAAACACTGGTCCACACTCCTTTCTCCTGACTAACCTTCTACCTATGCTTCACGTATCAGCAAAACTATCACAACTTAAGGGAACCCTCCGTCCAGATTACTTAGGGTTCCTATGATCTCCTTCACTCCTGCTGCACTGGGCACAGTCCTGTATGGTACACGTTATACCAGGTTTATAAATACCCTGTGTTTGTTTCCCCAACCAGACTGGAAACTCAGTGAGGGTAGGCATGTGCCTACTCTCATAGCCTGCACTCCTCAGAGAGTAGAATTGAAGACAAAGGCTTATGTGTGAATGTTTTGGGAGGAAGATGACTCCAGAAAGCAGAAGTGAGAGGCAGGGGAGCAATGCATAGGATAAAAAGCCAATATAAGCATGTGTTATCAAGTTGCCCTCCATGAAAGGCAACTGGCTGCTTGAATTTCCAGGGCTACCTAAGAAACCATATGAAATGCATCTTGGGATCATCCATGGGGGAAGAAAAAGAGAGGCAGTCATCTTATGGGATGTAAAAGCCCCCAAATGCCAAGGTACACATAAGTGGGTGCTGTGAGAGTTCCCATGCTGGCATCAGAGATGCCCAAGGGAAGGAGAGGAGAAGCAGGCATTGCAAGGCACTGGCAGGTTGCATTGGCATGGAGGTGTTCAGAATCTTCACAGAACCAGTTGTCACAGCAGTGGCTGAACTAAGGGTCAAGTGAGGCCAAGAGGACTTAAAGTGGGACATAAATGGTGTTTGATACAGTCCATCCCTTGTACCACTCAGGTTTGCTTGTATCTTCCATTATACTCAGCTCCCATGTTACAATATGGAGCCTCCATGTTTTGGGAAACAAAATGCTCTCACTTCTTCCTTGAGACAGGTGAGATCCCAGATCAATCTGTCTCAGAGGCCCCTTCAAGGTGGTGGCCAACTGCAATTTTTGCAAAGACCTAATTCAAGAGGGTTAATGAAGAAACTGATGGTCTCTGGTGCCACAGATATCAGCCTGGAGGCAATAAAAGACAGTGGAGTCAGGTCTTGAGGAGGAAAAGCATTGTATTGTAAGACACCTGCATCAGGTGACATCATCACAGGATCTCCACACAAGAACAAGCTGCTTTTCTCTGACAAAAAGAAAATGGCTACCAGCATGGAGGCTTCTGGAAAATATGGGAGTTCAAGTTCTCACAGTTATCTATCCAAATATTTACATCCTAGGTGTCAAGGTCCCACTGTTTTTCTGTCAGGGCCTTGATATAGGAAACTATTGAGGCTGCCATTCAATCTTCTTTGTGGCATGCTAATCTTACAATTTGGTGTTGGGTCTGATTTTCAGCATGGCCTGCCCTGCCACGGCAGGAGATAAGGATCCTTTTATATACATCCATAGAGGCCCTCTAGCTTTCACAGAGTGTTTTAAATTAATGGTTGGCTGACCCAAGCCTGTCATTTTCTTTACTGCAAACTTCCCAAAGTAACAAAAGCCAAGCAACTCTCAAATCCTTACAATCACCATTGTCCCCGTGCTAGTCAAGGGTCACAGTTACCACATAACCACATGTTTCACAGGTGAAAGCAAATAACTGTGATGCCACTGCATGCCAGGGCTCACCACAGCCCCCTCTTTTCACCGGAAATGGGGTTCTTATTCTCATCTTACTGGTAAGAGGTCCAGTTCTATAATTCCATCCTTAGGATTGGTAAAACCCTTCCTACTAGCAACTATCTGGTTCCCTGGAAAGCAGAGCCTAAGACATCAGCTTTTATGTGAGTACCTTTATTGGGAAATGTGATCCCAAGAACAAGAGTAAGGGATGAGATGGGAAATAGGAAAGGAAGAAGAGCCAAAACAAGGATATTATATCTAATTGCCCACCATAATTTGTGACTGATTGCTTGATGGCATATAACCCTCTGAGAAGCCAAATGAACTGTGTCTCAGAACTGGGGGAAAATAAGGGAATCAGTTATCCATCACCTCCTTTCCTCATTGGCCAAAGTTTCACTCCATAGAATCTTAACTCCCCTCTGTGTACACATGCAAAGCAAGTTTCCCTGACATTCTATGCCAATGTCAAAAAAGAAGGTCAGGTAGAGGCATGGGGTGTAAGCCTGAAGGGACGTGCTATCAAACTGTACCTGCATGAAATTTGTTGGAGACCACACAGAAAGAAGTGGGTGCTTCAGAGGTGGCAGGAATAAGAGACAGACAAGACTAAGCAGATGTCATAAAATATATAAGAGGTTTCTGGTAGACCTTCCTTTTTTTTATATAGCTCTTTCTTCTGCAACCAGTATGGTGCTGGAGGAAGGTTCTCAGGGGACACTTAGGAGAGAATGTATGAGTGCCCATTCTTTCTCACATTGGAGGCTGGATCTGGGAGTCACAGACAGGGCTGGGAAAAGATTGAACAACCTCACTTTAAGATTCCTTCCAGGCCCAGGAGCATGGTGGTAAAGAAGGCCCAAGGCCACAAGATAATACAGAAAACTGGCCCAAAAGTTCCTGCTTCCTGCCAGGGTAGGGAGGTCACCATTTTCCATGCTGAGGGACAATGGACCATTAGGAAGAAATGGGAATCCTTTAAGAGAGATAAAAGGAGAGAGGCCTCCAGGGAGCAAAGAGGCAGGGTGAGTCCTGGGAGGTGGGAACAGGATCCAGTCAGGGCCATTTATAAAAAATCATAAAAGCATCCACTTAAAACCCTGTGTGCTCCCATCTGCAGCTGGGGCTTTGGGGGAAGTGGGATGGAGGGCTTTTCAGGGAACAGTGAGTGGAAACTTAGGAGCAGGAAGTAGTGATGGTTTCCTCTCCTGGTGTTTTCAGCAATGGATGAGCTACTTGCATCTGAGCCCATGGCCTCAAGCAAATGGATGTAGATCTACAGGCAGGATGCCTTCGATTTGCTCCATCCCTCAGCCCCTGGAAACCACAATTGAAAATCAATAATCACTAATAAATCGCTAAGTAATGTTACACTGGCAGAATAGCCATTTCATTAGCAGGAACAAGCCCTGAGCGGAGAGCAGGAGTTGGCATGGAGTTTGACAGGGGACAGCTAGTTCTGGCCTCCATCAAGGGTAGGAAATGTTCTGCTTGCCGTTTACCCTACTATAGAAAAACGTGGCCCCTGGTGTTCTCAGCTGCTTTAGGGTTACAGAAGCTTCTCGAGGCTTCTGCTCTGATTTTCTCAGCCTCTGCTAAGGGTTGCAAAAGCTTCTTGAGTCTTCTTCTCTGATTCTCCTAGAGTCACTGGGCCTATGGAGTGGCATGGTAGAGTGGAGCCTATAGGGTGGCACACTGCCACATTCACTCTTCAGGAATGTGAAGCCAGTGTGGGACTGTGGTTTCACAGATAGACCAGGGCAATGACATGGGCAATGACGTGTTCTGGGAAGGATGGCTTCTGTGGGGCAGGGCTACAGACAGGAAGGATGTTGAGCACTGCATGGCTACCTATAGGAAGCTTCTAGATGTCCACTGCAAGGGTCAGTGTGACACCATGTCTATCTTTCTTGGACCTCCACGGTTCTAAAGCCAGGCACCATGGCCCTCCTAGCCAGCAAGGCATCTGCCACTAGGTCCAGGGGATTTTATTACTAAAGCCGTTTGTTTTGCCACTGATGCAACGTGACACCAGCCTGTGTGATCCAGCTCTGGGCATCACGTCTCCAGCACACAGCAATGAGATGGAAATTTGGCTGCTGCAAAAGGCATCGATTTTGCCTTATTCTGTGAATCTCCTTTCTCTGAACAGCAGGGACATTTCAGTTCCTTGTAAGGCACACACTCTCTTCCTCCTGGCAACTGCCCAATACCGTAATTCCCCATATAGTACCACCTTGGAAGTGCCTTGAGCAGCATCCCAGGAGCAAGAGGGCCACTCTACATCCCATGCCCTGAGGCATTAAGGGCTTAATGAAGTACCCAGGCAGAATGCACTCAGGGAGGAAAGCATCCCTAGCCTCACCTGCTTCCTAGTTCAGGAGAAAGGGCCTGAGAGACAAACACCCTAGCTTACAGAGAAAAGCAGCAAGCTACTTCCTTGCCTTCCTTCCTTTGGTTTTGTTACTCTAATTTCACTGAGTGGCATCTACACTCAGTCCTTAAGGGAGCAGGGTTTCCTTGCTGGCAGATATGCTATGGGGCTGTGAGGCAGGGTACTGGGGGTATAGCTATAGTGCCAACACAACTGGCGACCACCCACAGTCCAGGATTGGTCTCCTGGCTACCAGGACTGGTCTCCTGGCTACCAGGGCAGGTGAGGGGAGCTCCCTGGAAAATGCTAGAAATGGGAGGTCCAAGCTTGTGAGAGAGCCAGAAACTCAAGCCCAGAAAGGGAAAAGAGCTTGTCCCAGGTCCTACAGTGGGCCACTTGCAGGATGGGGCCAATAACCCAGAATCTTGTTCATGGGGCTGCCACCACCTGACATGGTGCATCACTAGCTCTTTAGGGGCCTACTCTCCTCCCACATGCACATATTTATTTGTACTTACCTGTTGCTTGTTGGTGCACTGAGTTATTTCACATAGAGGACAGCAGCACTTCACAGGAGAACTGGAGGGGCCCTTAGGACTTATTTTGCCCAGCCCTGACGCTCAGCAGTTAAGCATGTTTTGCTCTCAGCAAGCATTTTTCAGCAGGAGCAGCAGCAGGTTCTAGGATACCTATTAGACCCTGGCTATATCTGAATAATAGCTAACATCTGAAAGATGTTAACTGACTGAATCCTCATGCCACCCTGTGAGGTAAGTGCCACTGCTAGTCCCATTTTACAGATAAGGAAACCAAAAACACAGAGGGGGTTAAGTAAGCTGCCCAAGGTCACAGAGCTGGTAAGAGGCAAAGCCTGGATTCAAAGCAGGCTGGCTCCTGATTGCTTGCCTTTACACTACCCTATGTTATATCTCACAGAGTTGGTGTAATGATCCAATCAATGAGTTAATAAGTCAGGTGTCAGCACCTGCTGCTAAGGCCCTTCCAGCTCTCAAGTATGGTACATATGTTGTCTCTAATGATGAATGTGAGAGAGTTTGTCCTTGTGTCTGCTCTTTCCAAGAGTGTACAGCCCAAGTCCAATGCTCTGCACACAGTAGGTATTCAGAAAAAGCTCCTCTGTGCATTTGCTATCACAGAAACAGGCATTTGTATATTGCACACCAGCTCTGTGCCCAATCCCATTTTGCAAAGACATGACAAAAATGAGAACTTGTGCTTAATATCAAGTAGTTCATAGTCTACCGAGAAAACGGGTAAATCAACAGTTACAAGCCAAGGTAGTAACGGCTGCAATAGAGTCAGCTCAGATGCTAGAGGTGCTTTTCACAAATGGGGCAGCTCCGTTTCCTGGGCCTCAGGGAGGAGGGAGTCAAAGAGGGCCTCACAAACAAGGACCTTAGGCTTCAGCTGAGGCCTAATGACTTCAGAGGAGTACCCCAACTGACCAGGGGAAAGGAGGGCCTCCTGCTGCCTGAAGGGAACAACGGGTACACAGCATGGAGGTGTGAAAGAACAGTGTTTTTCAGAACAATGACTTGTTTGCTCTGTCCACCACATGAGCTACCTTTGTAGAGGCTCGGGGGCAAACCCAGAGGACAGAGCATCAAGCCAAAGAGGATTATCCTCAAGCCTTAAAATCAAATGAATCAAATGGAATTTGTGCTGCTAGTTTTCAGACTTTCTCAGGATCCATGACTCCTTTTTCCCTTCCAATTCCTCCTTCTTGGAATGGGAATGTCTGTCTTATGCCTGTCCCACCATGACATTTTGGAAGCAGAGAACTTGTTGCCTGGTTTCACAGGTACACAGATGGAGAGAAACATTGCTCCAAGATGAGTTATACCCCCAGTCTCACCCATATCTAATTTAAATGATGTTTAGATAAGATTATGGACTGAGAGTTGGTGCTGGAATGGGTTAAGGCTTTAGGGGGTGTGGAGATGGAGTGACTGTCTTTTGCATGAGAAAAATGTGCACTTTTGGGGGCCAGAGGGCAGACTGTTACTGGCTGAATTGTGTCCTCCCACCAAATTCATATGTTGAAGTCCCAACCTCCAGTATTTAGAAGTACCAAGTTGAAGTTGTATGTTGAAGTCTCAACCTCCAGTATCTCAAAATGTGATCTTATTTGGAAATAGGGTCATTGCAGATGAAATTAGTTAAGATGTGGTTATACTGGAGTAGGATGGGGCCCTAATTCAATATAACAGGTGTTCTTTATGAAAGAGAGAAATTTGGACATAGAAGTATGCATTAAAGGAAGACTGTGAAGAGACACAAGGAGAAGATGGCCATCTAAAGCCAAGGAGAAAGGCCTAAGACAGATCCTTCCCTCACAGCTCTCAGAAGAAACCCCACTGACACACCTTGATTTCAGACTTCTGGCCTCTAGAACTGTGAGACAAGAAATGTCTGTCGTTTAAGCCCCCTAGGTTGTGGCACTTTTTTATGGCAGCCCTAACAAACTATGACAGATTTTGGTATTTTGGAGTAGGGGCAGGTCAGGTAGACCACATATCCTAAGCAAAGGAGGTGGGACTTTAGCCCTCAGGGTTAGAGGGAGCCAAGGAAATAGTTTAAGCAAGGAAGGATCTGTATATGGGAAATTTACGCTAGTGGCTGTCAGGAGAATGTATTGGAGAGGACAAGACTGGAAGAAAGGAGACTAGTTAGGACATGGTTGCTGTACTCTAGATGAAAGTGAATGGCTGCCTAAATATAATAATGAAGATGATAATAATAATAAGTAGTAGTAGTAGTAGTTGCAGTATAGTTATGTTTACAACTAATGTGAATTGATTACTTATGCTGTGCCAGGTAATTTACATGGATTAATTAATGATTGCAACAACCTGATGAGGTGGGCACTATTGTTATCTCCATTTCACAAATTAGGAAACTTGCCCCAGGCCACCCAGTAAGTGCTGAGGCCAGGAGTTGAACCAGGCCGTCTGACTCTGACACCTGTGGTGCAGTGGTATGTTGGTAAATATTTAACAACCAGCCCTGATTTGTAGCATTTGCCCATTTTGGTGGTGTGCCTATTCCCACTATTGCCAATTTCAGGCTACCAATGTGTCATCAACAGGTTGACAAGATTTCTGAAAATGTAACCATCCTTTCTCACAAGGTGATGCAAGCCAGCTAGCGAAGCACCAGGCACAGAACTAGCCATGTGTGAAGTACATGTTACTTCCCTCCTCCCTGCTGAGCTTTATGTTAATAGGATACTCTTGAGGCCACTCAGTTCCAGACTGCCTAGGACATCCAAATCTTGGTTCCACAGGGAGTAACTGTGTGATCTCAGAAAAATTGCTTAACCTCTCTGAGCCTCAGTTCGCTTAGCCCTGAAATGTGTTTTTACAAGGCTTCATTGAGCTCGTAGATGTTAAGCATAGGGCCTGCCACATAATAGGTGTGCCCTCAAGCTTTAGCTGCTTTTATTGCTTATATGATTGTGCTTTCCAAACACAGGTCACCTGGAGCACATTGTCTGGTTTTCTCCAGACGTCCTGGAGAGTGTGCCTGCCTGACGGTGGGCCCAGCTGGTTTCCTGGAGTTAGGTCATATTAACCTTGAGAATGATTGTAGTGATGGTGCAGCAGCAGCCTAGATGGTTGCTAGGACAGGCATAGGCCAGAGTTGTGTTGTTTTCGCTTTTTAAGTCACAAAATTGCAAATGATCTGAAGCGTCCTAGAACAGTGGGTAGAACCTCTTCCCATGTGGGTCCTGAGTTGGGCCTTTTCTCTTGGAAAATAATGTCATTGCATGAAGAGTAATAATTAGCATGCCATCTGCATACTTTTTTCTATATAAGAGCTTTGACAATGTCTTTCAGTCCTATGCATGGTGCAAGTGGGAAACTGGCAGCCATCTGGATTTACATTAATTCCCTAAACTGTTTATCCATCTCTGTTTAAATGACCATATCCCATCCTTATCTAGGCTTTGGTAGCATTACCTATGGCATTTTGGAAACAGCGTTCATGGTAAGTAAGCAGCTACGGAGGGAAAAATTGACTTGTAGCCACAGTTTTCTGGTTTCATGGTGAAATCGATGCAAACCATTCTACAGGCCCTTAATTAACTGCTTGCTTGCTAATGAGGGCTTTTTTTTTTTTCTTAAAGGTTCCTGTATTTTAAATCAGTGAAGTCGCCAGGAAATTACAATCAATATTTTAACCATTTCCCATTTGTTTCTATTGTGTTTCTTCAACATCCCCAAGAATATTAAAATTGTTCAAGAACACAGCAAAAAGAAATAAGTCAACTTGTTTCCCAGTGGCTCTCCTCTGCCCCACCGGGGCAAAATGCCGATGTGTCCTCTGTGAGTGCCCCAATCTGTTTCCTTACCTGGCACAGACTCATCTTTTTTTTTGCCAGACATATCAAGCACTTGCAGAGTGTTCAATATCACAAGATGTTTTGAACGTACATGCAAGACCTGAGCTTTTGTCCGAATACTTTTCATTTGATTAGGTTCAAGGCTGGCTGCCTCTTGTCTTTTAGGGTATGTAGGATAACAATCACGATAGCATCCTCTTCTCTGAGGGCTAATGACTCATGGGGTAGACACCTTGACTAGGGTGGTCCTGTCCATGACAGAACTAAAACCCTGACTACACACCAATAAGGCCGTTACTACTGTGACTCCATTTTGGAAATGAGACCTGTGAGGCTCAGGAGGTTGTACAGCTGGGAGACAGCAGAATCTGGGTGTACACCAGTGCCTTTTGCCTCCCAGATCAAGTTCACTGCACTTCCTCTGCATGGGGTAGTCGTCACCCAAGGCCTTCCCAAGGGCACTTGTCCGTCCTCATTCCTGTGTTCCTGTTGGTTGTGGCTTCCAGCAAGCTGTGGTCAGAGAACTCAGGTTCCCTGGGGCTAGGACTCTGTGCAGATGAGGAGTCCACAAGCCCTGAGCCAATGCCCCAGGAGCCTAGAGCTCAAGAGCCTGGGGGTGGGGGTCTCTGGCTTTGCTGAGGGCCTGGGGTGTGGCATCTGCCTGGCTGAGTGAGGCATGGGTGTAGGGGGCTGGGAGCCAAGGGAGCAGGTGGACGTGGTGGCCTCCAGTTGGGCATTGGCTAATGGCCTCTGAGCATTAGAGGTGAAGTGGGGGATGCCAGAAGGTGCTGGCCACATCCATCATCTCACTTTCTCTCTCTGGATTCATATTCTGCCATCCAGAGGGTACCCTGAACACCCCCCAACACACACACCCACTGCAGCTGAGGATTAGCCATGGGTCCATCAGGGAGGCTTTGGGGAAACCCCAAAAAGCACTGTTAAACTGTGAAACAAGGAAGAGCTGAGGACAAAGGCCTACGGTGTCAGAAAAGGACAGCTAGGGCTGAGGATGTCCAAAGGAGGGAGGGCACCTGTGCTGTGATGGGACTCAGGACAAGCTTCATTGAGGAGAAGGCCTTTGAGATGAGCCTTGAAGGCCAGGCAGGATTTTTTTTATATATATAGAGATGGGATCTCACTTTCTTGCCCAGGCTTGCCTCGAACTCCTGGGCTCAGACGATTCTCCCTCTTTGGCTCCCCAAAGTGCTGGGATTGCAGGCGTGATACACTGTGCTCAACCCAGGCAAGATTTTGAAAGGAGAGCTGGCATGGGGAATATATGAGCAAAGGGGCAGAAGTGGGAAGAACCAGGAATTGTTAGGTGTCCAGTCAGCAGTCCAGCCAAGCAGGAGACCCAGGTGCATGTGTGAAAGTACCAAGAGAAGAATCTAGAAGTAAACAGAGACTGGTGCTCACTATGAAGGGCCTTGCATGTCAAGCTGAGATGTTGGGATTTAGTGCTGTCAGCAGTAGAAAGCCGCAGGAGGCTTTTGAGCATGGGAGTAATGAGAAATAGAGTCACTGGATGTGTATTTCCTCTTTCCAGTCAACATGTGTGTTCTCCATGCGCCCCTACCTGCGCAGGCCACACCCAGAATTCCAGAGGCTGCCCAGTTAAGTCCCAGTATTTGTCAGATGAACTTGGGAAAACTTGCCATCTGTTCACAAGAATATGACTATAAATGACAGGTGGCTGATGATTGTATTTTTCAAATCCATTGAGCTCCAGGTTTGGGTCAGAGCAAAGACAGGGCTCATATCAGCCCCGGCATGGTATCTCTGGACCCCAATAGCCTAAGCCCAGCTTTTTGTTTAGCAACCACTCAGCAAAAGGACCAGGAGTTCCCCTAGGAGGACAGCTCCTTGAAACCCCATGGTATTCTTTTCCTTGCCTGGACCCACAGGCCAGGACTGCACACACTAAACATGGGTGGCCACATAGCAAGTGGAAATGGCCCAAGCTTTGAGGCCCAATTGCTTTACTGCTCTACCACTCATGGGTTGTGTGCCCCTGGATATGTGCCTCTACCTCTCTGAGTGTCTGATTTCCTCATTTAGAACATGGAGATAATGATCAACACCTCACTGGGGACACGGACCCTGCACGTAAAGCACAGGCTAGTTCTACGTTAATGGAGGAAGATGTGCTGCTGAGCTCCAGACTTGGTCTTGCATTTTGGGTGAAAAAAGGGCCCTGGCTCTCAGAGCCAGTCTACTCAGTGAAGAGAAAGCCCTCACCCTGCCTCTGTCTCCGGCCTCCTCTCCCATTTGTCCATCAACCTTGGGATACCCTAGGTGACAACCACAAGGAAACCTCTTTCCACCAGTAACTGAAGGAATCACTCTCTGTACCTTTGTGACTGCCTGTAAGACTGCCACCAATGCATGTGTGCCACACTGCCCCTTGGTGACATGACCCGAAGCTGGTTTCATGTCATTAACACAAAGCTCTTTGCCTGCCCTCTAGCCTTCTTAACCTTTGTTTAGGTCATGAACCACCTTCAAATGTGATGACATCTATGGGCCCCTTTTCCAGTGGGTGTGTACAGTGCAGTGGCCCCCAGAGTTTCCTGAAAAGTTCCAGGAAAGCAGAATCTACTAACATTCATTGAACAGATACTCCATGCCAGGCACCGTGCTGGGAGCTGGGAAGACAGCAGTGAACAAAACAGACGCTGACTGCTACCCTCTTGGGATCTAACCTATAGAGGAGGTCAGCTAGCGGTAAGCGCTAAAGAGAAAACAAAGCTGGGAAGGAGAGAGGAAGTGCCAGAGATGGGCGTGGGGCTTTGAAATGTTACATAGGGTGGCCAGGTGACATTTGTGTCAAGACTAAAGGAAATGAGGGAGCCAGCCCATAGATATCTTGGGGAAGTGAATTCCAGCCCAAGGGAACAGCTAAAGCAAAAGTCCTAAGTAAAGCAGGAATGTATCTATGTGTTGAGGAAGAGTTGGGAGGTCTGTGTGGCTGGAGCACAGTGAGTGGAGGGAAGATGACGTTATTGAGATAGTGGAGGGACATGCCTGAAGGGCCCCAGAGGCCACTAGAAGCACTTCAGTTCTACTTTGAGTGCAATGGGGAGTCACTGTGGGGTTTGGCACAGAGATCGGGGAATAGACTGCAAGGAGAGGGTTGAAGGGAGGGAGGAATGAGGGCAGTCTGTGCGGCAGCTACTGGAGTTATCCTGGGGGGAGAGGCTGCTGGCTGGTACCCGGGGGGAGCAATGGATGAGCAGACTGACATTGTGGATACATTTTGATGATGCAGATGGCAGAATTGTCCACTGGACTGGCTGTGAGGTGTGAGCAAGAGAGAAGAATCGGGGAGGATCCCAGGGCCTTCTGCCTGGGCAACGTGAAGGATGGAGTAGCCATGAACTGAGGTAGCAGACTATGGGCTCAGCACACTTGGGAGACGATCAGGAACTCGGTTCAGTCAGGCGATTTCTAATGGCCATCCAGGTGCTGGTGCCAAGCAGGCAGTTAGCCATCTCGCAGACGTGTGGCTGTGATATTACAGGCTTCTTAGGATGCTCTAGGGGAATGGGCATCATTTGTCCCACTGAGGAAGATGAGAGCAAGTGGTCCAAGGGTTGAGTGGAGGTGCTGGGAACAGAAACCCACCTTCCATCTCCTTGGCTAGTGCACTTGGAGGTTGCAGATAGAATTTTAAAAGCATCCTGCCAATGCTCCGTGATAGGCATGGCCATCTCCCATTCAGCTTTGTTTAATCAGATTTCCTTCAAGGGACTCCCGCACTCTCGCAGTTCTACCGGGGCACTGGCAACCCTGAGATGACTCTAGCTCTCCCTGGAGGGCCTTGAAGGTAAGGTTCAGTCACCAGAGAGCAATAACCTCTTCTGGCTGCTTGCCCTTTGCAGAGCAGACAGGACTGGACCCAGACAAGGCGGATTCCTTCACAACTGCCCTGACGAACTGTGTACCCCCAGCCTCGCCCTGTTGGGCTGGGCGCATCCTGGCAGCGCTGGGGCTGCGAAGCCACAGCCCCTGCATGTGCCTCGCGGTTGGGCCTGGACGCCGCTCTTCCTCCAGGTAACTTCGTGAAACGCTAGGAGGCAATCGCCCAGCCTCACTGCGCCTACGTAGCCCACGAAGGGATCTTGCTGGGTTCTCGGAGGTGGCCCCAGCGCTTTCCGAGGGCCGAGAGCGTGGGCGTGGAGGGAAGGAGGGGCCTAGTGGGCGGCGGGCCCACCCCTTTATTCGTGGCCTGCGGCTCCGCTGAGCGTGACCAGATGTGTTGGTGACAGGTTGCTACTCAGAGGTGCGGACAGGAGCTGAGCGCTGCTGCTGTCGGAGCAGACGCGGCGTTCCCGGGTTGTGCTCAGCCCCTGCAGCTGCCATCGGCTGGAGAAGTCCAGGTTAGGAAACGCATCCGGGGAGGGGATCCTAGAGAAGGGGCGCAGCCAAATACCCGGGAGGTGGGATAGGTGGGAGGGGAGTCGCTGGACTCGGCGCCAGGGCAGATGGTGGACAGGGCGCGCTGGCCCGCCCGGCAGTTCCCAAGGAACCTATGTTCCTGCAGAAGCCGCAGGTGTCCGTCTTGGGATAACTGCGGAGGGAGCCAATCCAGCCCAGCTTGGGCGGGAGCATCGCGTGCCCTGGTCCAGTGGAACGGGAGACTGGCCAGCGAGCCTGGACTCTGAGCTAAGCGTACTGGCGGGCGACGCCGACAGCGTCCGCGCTAAGGGTGGGGGACTGGGAAGTGGGGAGTGGGGCACTCGGCCGGGATGGAGAGAATGCAGTTCACTAACTGCCACCTGAGAGCCCTGGTCCCCGCTGCCGCCACAGCGGGTCTGTTTGGCAGTCAGGGCGCGAGCTGGTGAGCGGATGCGTGGGCGGAGGGACTGGCGCTACCCACCCAGCAGCCACCCACTGCAGGTGAGTGCCCCTCCCAGGGCGAGGGGAGGAGAAGGGCCTGGCCGCTAGCCCTAGGGTCAGGCTCTGGTGAAAATGGGAAGGGGGATGGGGGCTGAATAGGCTACTTTGTGATGAGACTCCCGTCCCTGTGACACTTCAGGGTCCTCTGGGGATCTGTCATTCCTCTTGCAAGCTCTCTTGTTCTCTGGTCCCTCTCCTCCTCTCCTTATTTCCTCCTCTCCTCTCCTCTCCTCTCATCTCCTCTCCTCTCCTCTCCCTTCATCGTGTCTCTACCTCTATCTCCGCCGGTGCCTCTCTCGGTATCTGTCTCTCAGTCTCTGCCTTCTCTGTGTCTCGTACGGTCTCCTGTCTTTCTTGGTCTCTCGGTCCTGAGCGCTCTCTCGCCCTGTCACTGATGACCGCTGGCTTTTGGCTCTCCGTGCTCGCTCTTCGTGTGTCCCGGCCACGCACGGCTCACCAGCTCGTTTTCCCCAGACGCGGAAAGTCTACCTTCGGCGTGCGGGTTTCCCAAGCGCGCCGGGCCCCGCCTGCGGCCCTCCGGCGGGCTCTGTCTGCTGGAGGCGCTCCGCTAACCCTGCTGTCGCCTCTTTCCACCAGCGCACCGCCTAGGCAAGCCAGCTGACGCCGGGGGCACAGACCACCCTCCACTGAGTGCGGAGCAGCCAAGGTGAGTGCACCGATGCCCCTTCCGCCCCTCCGATCCCTCCCCAGCTGCCCTGGTTCGAGCCGACTGGAGAAATGAGGCTGCAACAGCGAAGCCAGCCTGCGGCCGCTTTCTCCTCTAAAGACTGGTGGGAGGGCCCGGGAGGCCCCTCGGGCGGCCGCAGCTCTTTGGCTGCCCGCTGCCCCATCCCGGAGTGGAAACCCTGAGTTTCCAGGCTTCGGGCTGGCGGGGTCGCGGGCAGGGCAGCGCGGCTTCCCCTTTAAGGCCGGAGCCGCTCGTCGCCGTGAGTGTGAGGGTGTGTGAGTGTGCGGCGTGCGTGTCTCCTCCTCCCCGAGTGACACAGCAGTGAGAAATGCCTATCAGTAACTTAAACCCCCGAAACTCCACCTTCCGGGCGCGCGGCGCGGAGCCGGGCGGTGGGAATGGAGCGAGCAGATTGAGGCCGCCACTGCAGCGCCGCCAGCATGAACTTGGCCGCGAGCTGAAGCGGCCGGCGGCGGGCGGGCGCGGGGGCACCGGCCGCTAGCCAGGGGGTGATCTGCAACAGGGCTGGGTTCCTTGGCGGCCGCCTGAGTCCAGGCTGCCCGCGCCGGCGGCCGCCCGCCCCTCGGACACTGCCCCCGCCGCCGCCGGAGCTCTGCAGCACGGTAAGGCTGAGGGCGGGTGCAGGAAGTCTGACTGTTCTGGGGGTTCCGGGGTACACTTGTAGCCCCCAGTTATGGTCCCCATCGCTGAGGATCGGGGTCCCAGGGGTGCTTCGAGTCGGTAGACCCTAAAGTTTGCTCTGAGCACACGGCCCACCTGGCGCTGCGGGCGGCCACCCCCTTCTCGAACCAGCCCGGCTGGGCTGGGCGCAGCTCGAAACGCCGGAGACCACGGCCTTTGGCTCGGCGCCCGTCGGGCGTCTGAAATCCGGCGGGGACAGCCACGTACCGGGGAGGAAAGGTAGAAGGGCGCAAGCTCCTCGGGCTACGCTGGGCTACTGGGAGGCTCCCACTCTGTCCCAGCACCCCCGGGTCGCTTGCAGCCTGGGTGTCACCGGCGACGGTGCCTTCACATGCCAGCTGCCTGAGCCCAGGCCAGTAGGCAGTGGGCGCTGGATGAAGGATTTCCCCACCCCAACGCTGTTTGCCGCCTCTGAGCGAGAGTGTGGAGTGTGCGCGCCGAATCCGCTGCCCTGCACTCCCTCCCCTGCCAACTCCTGGGAAGCGCAGCCCGGAGCTGAGCTGGTGTTCAGGGCAGCCCGGACTGGGTTCCTGCGGAGCAGCCCCGGCGCCCCTGCGTCAGAGTCCGCGCTTCAGGTTCCCCAGCATCCGCGCGACGACAGAGCTGGGCGCCCGGCGCCGGCTAGCGCGGGCGGGAAGCCCCCCGGAGCGCCGCCAAATACTTTTCTCGGCCAGTTGGCTTGGCCAGGCTCCGTCCCAATGCAGTGTGTCCGAAGCCTCCTGGAAAGCTGGAGATGTCGTCTGATTCTGATCCGTGATTAAATTCGGACTGAGCAGACACTAATAGGATTAGCCTGCCAGAAAGCTCGGCCCTGAAGCCATCGGAACCTGTGCAAACACGCGCCTCGGGCTGGAGCATTCACTCCCGCCCCGCCGCGCTTCTGCAGCTGGGTGCGGCTGACCTGGGCACCCGGAGTGTGGGTGTGTGTGAGCGGGCGGGAGCACAGCGTGGCTGGGGGACGTGGGGAGAAGGGGCTGCTTTTGCTGGGGTGGCTTGTCGTTGTTGTTTGGCACCACGGTGCCCCCCGGGGGCGCGGTCCCCACGGTGAACGTGCTGCTCACGGGTAGGCAAACCCAGGCCGGCTCCGGGACATTGTCTGCAAGGGCGAGCGAGCCGAGCTTACTAGAGGCGGCTGCGCTGGAACAAAGGCGCAAAGTCTCCCTGAGACCAAGCAATTTTGAAAGAGTTGGCTAGGGAGAGGGCCTGGGTCTCCCGGGGTAGACCCCCGCGGGAATTGCGCCGCCCCCAGCGGCCCCGGCCCGCGCCTGGGGAATTGTGTTCCCTGGTTGCGGTGAGCCGGCGAGCGACATCGCAGCGGCGCGGCCCAGCTCTTGGCAGGCGTGGGTTGCCGCCCGAGTGCCCACCGGCCGGGCGGGGTCGACCGTGCACCCGCCGGGGCTTCCCGGCCGCCACCGCAGCTCTGGGCCCCTGGAGGCCGCGCAGCTTCTTTCCTTCCCTCCCTCCCACCTCTTCTTGTCTTTATAGATCCCCCCTCCCTCCCACCCCCGCCGCCGCCGCCGCCAACAATCCGCTTTATAAAAAGCCCCTTTGTTTCCCAGGAGGCTGGAGAGAGGGAAGGGGAAAAGGGACGCAGAGGCAGAGGGCGGGGGCGGCTGTCTCCAAGTGGTTTCGAGCCGCTCGGGACAGGAGGGCAAGTGTAGGCGATGGGGGAGGGGGCTGTGTTTCGAGGACCCTCTGTGGGAACCCACGAAGGCGCACGGAGCCTCAGCCCCGGCCCTCGCTGCACGCCCGGCCTGCCAGCCCTGGACACCCTAAATCCTGGCGGCCGGGACGGCCGAGTGGACTGCACTGCGAGCTGGCGGGCGCGCGCAGAGGCCCTAGGCTGCAAGCGCTCCGCGGGGTGGGCAGACGCGACTCGCCGATGCGCTCGCCGGGCTCGGGCATAGGGGGCGCCCTTTCCTTGGTTTCGCTTTGCAGCGGGCGCCCCTCGCCGCCGGAGCTCAGGGCAGCTGTCGCGCCCGCCGGTGGCTAAGACGGAGGCGGCAGCTCGGAGGCTTAGGCCACCCGCGTCTGGCTACACGCCTCATTTCTTCCCGCGCCCTCCTGCCACACCCTCCGCCCCACCACACACAAGGGCTCAAACTCTCCGAGCGCCCTTTGTTTGGAGGCGCGGAGGCAGTGGGAGCCGCCACCTCCGGGGTTCGTGTAGCCTAGGCGGGCAGTGAGGATGAGCGTGCTACTCTGGACTGCGCGCTGGCCTGCTGCCTCTGCACCTAACCCAGCGCCTGACACTAAAGCTGCCAGCTTTAGTTAGATTGACCATTTAGCGGGTCCTTGTCCCTTATAACTGCCCCCCTAAAACTTTCGAGAACCAGGGCTTGCACTGAGGAATGTCAAATATAATGTTAGAAGTAACCTTTCGCCATTCTGTTGGCCTGCTCCGCCCCTGTGCCCCAAAGTGGTCGGTGTCTCTCATAGAGTTTGTTCGGGAAGGGAATACTGAAAAGAAAAAAGTGACAAATAAGGAAAGTGGGCGGGGCCCAGGCTCAGGCTGGTGGGTCTCCCAAGCGAAGTCAGATTCCACCCGCTCTCTGGCCGCCTCCGCCCCTCCTACTTCCATTTAATCTGATGTCGACGTTTTATTTGTGCCTTTTTGCATATCTTTCTCCTACTCCCCTCCCCTCCCATCTCTGGAGGTTATTGATAAGTGCTGCTCAAACATTTGTTCTCTGCGTCTTTGGAGTAGAAGATGAAGCGTTAACACCCTCAACGCGCATACACACATCCCAAATGCGCGCATACACACATCCCAACTGCATCTAAAACCACAAGAAAGTAATCAAAGGGTAAACTACTGGTTCTGCCTTCTCCTCCCTCCTTTGTGCTTCTCTTCTGGAGCAAGATCATTGGAAAATAAAGCTGCTGATGTGCGAGATGGAACATATGGTGCCTCCATAAGAGAGAAGCTGAAATGGCCTTGAACCTGCCGGACAGACCAGCTGTTTGCTGCCAGCCAGAGCAGCTAATCAGCTTCTTCCCCTTAAAGTAACAGCCCTCTTTTCACTTCATGACCAGTTTGCATATTAAATAGGATATTCTCCAGAGGGGAAAAGTGATGGGCTCCTATACTGCTTTGTGCTTGGTGGTTCTCCAATGCCTGCTCCCTGCTCTGGGGGCCGCCCTGCCCTCTCCCGGTGCCTGCCTGCGATGTGCGAGTGTTTCTTTCAGTACTGAAGTAAGAATGTTGCTCAAAGTGGAACTTGGGACAGACGAGGCAGGAAAAAAGAAAGAAAGAGGTGGGGCTGAGAGATTTCCAGATGCCTGGGAGGAAATCTCTCTGTTTTGTTCAGCTTCGGAAAAAACTAGCATTCTTTCCCCCCTTTCCCCCTTTAAAAATATCACAAAGAGCTGAAGCTTTTCCTTACAAGATCTCCTTAAAAATCATCCTCTTCCGGCTGTGACCATTTTCAGTTTTTCTTCAGTACAATGTGTTGGGGTGGGGGGTGGGGAAGAGTTTGGCGTTGGAAGAAGAAAGCCTTTAGGAGATACAAGGAAATTCCATGTTAGGAAATCATTAGCAAAGGGTGACTTCGTCTGTTTTCCTGCCACTGACGCTGACAGTGACACAGATGTGTGGGTTGAAATAGGAACGTCATTGAATTTTTACACTCCACCAGGAAATACCCTGTTTCTGGGGTGGGGGTGGGGTCTACAGATTCACTGCAACTTAAGGTAGGAGATTCACTACTGTCAATCCTTTTTACTAAGGAAAGGGATTTTTTTAGCTTAGCCAGCATGTTTAATGTATTTTCTTCCCTTTTAAATTGATCACCTAAAGGCATAAAATGCACCTGTTAATGGATGGTCCCTAGGAAACTCAATTACTATTTGGGGTTATGAAAGGGAATAAACTGGTCTTAGACAAGTGGCTCTTCTGAAAATAGCTGGACTATGCCTCTTCTTTAAAGGAGCCTCAATATACAGTAAAACCTTTTTTTATTATTGCACTTTAAGTTCTAGGGTACATGTGCACAACGTGCAGGTTTGTTACATATGTATACATGTGCCATGTTGGTGTGCTGCACCCATTAACTCGTCATTTAACATTAGGTATATCTCCTAATGCTGTCCCTCCCTCCTCCCCCCACCCCACGACAGGCCCCGGTGTGTGATGTTCCCCTTCCTGTGTCCATGTGTTCTCATTGTTCAATTCCCACCTATGAGTGAGAACATGCGGTGTTTGGTTTTTTGTCCTTGCGATAGTTTGCTGAGAATGATGGTTTCTAGCTTCATCCATGTCCCTACAAAGGACATGAACTCATCCTTTTTTATGGCTGCGTAGTATTCCATGGTGTATATGTGCCACATTTTCTTAAGCCAGTCTATCATTGATGGACATTTGGGTTGGTTCCAAGTCTTTGCTATTGTGAATAGTGCCGCAATAAACATACGTGTGCATGTGTCTTTATAGCAGCATGATTTATAATCCTTTGGGTATATACCCAGTAATGGGATGGCTGGGTCAAATGGTATTTCTACTTCTAGATCCTTGAGGAATTGCCACACTGTCTTCCACAATGGTTGAACTAGTTTACAGTCCCACCAACAGTGTAAAAGTGTTCCTATTTCTCCACATCCTCTCCAGCACCTGTTGTTTCCTGACTTTTTAATGATCGCCATTCTAACTGGTGTGAGATGGTATCTCATTGTGGTTTTGATTTGCATTTCTCTGATGGCCAGTGATGATGAGCATTTTTTCATGTGTCTGCTGGCTGCGTAAATGTCTTCTTTTGAGAAGTGTCTGTTCATATCCTTCGCCCAATTTTTGATGGGGTTGTTTTTTTTTTTTCTTGTAAATTTGTTTGAGTTCTTTGTAGATTCTGTATATTAGCCCTTTGTCAGATGAGTAGATTGCAAAAATTTTCTCCCGTTCTGTAGGTTGCCCGTTCACTCTGATGGTAGTTTCTTTTGCTGTGCAGAAGCTCTTTAGTTTAATTAGATCCCATTTGTCAATTTTGGCTTTTGTTGCCATTGCTTTTGGTGTTTTAGACATGAAGTCCTTGCCCATGCCTATGTCCTGAATGGCATTGCCTAGGTTTTCTTCTAGGGTTTTTATGGTTTTAGGTCTCACATTTAAGTCTTTAATCCATCTTGAATTAATTTTTGTATAAGGTATAAGGAAGGGATCCAGTTTCAGCTTTCTACATATGGCTAGCCAGTTTTCCCAGCATCTTTTATTAAATAGGGAATCCTTTCCCCATTTCTTGTTTTTGTCAGGTTTGTCAAAGATCAGATGGTTGTAGATGTGTGGTATTATTTCTGAGGGCTCTGTTCTGTTCCATTGGTCTATATCTCTGCTTTGGTACCAGTACCATGCTGTTTTGGTTACTGTAGCCTTGTAGTATAGTTTGAAGTCAGGTAGCATGATGCCTCCAGCTTTGTTCTTTTGGCTTAGGATTGTCTTGGCAATGCAGGCTCTTTTTTGGTTCCATATGAACTTTAAAGTAGTTTTTTCCAATTCTGTGAAGAAAGTCATTGGTAGCTTGATGGGGATGGCATTGAATAAACCCTTTTTTTTTAAGATTCTGATTTTTTTTTTTTCTGCAACAGTGCATTGCACAGATCATTAGCCTAGGAGCTGGGAAACTTGTGTTCTAGAAAGTTCTGCCCACTAATTAACAGAGTGATCTTGGACAAGTCCATCCTTTCTCTCCCCCAATCCCATGACCTCTGAGTCTGAGTCCCTTCCAGTTCTAAAACACTATGGTTTGTGAATGAAATAGTCATTTTCTGGGAAAGTGAAACATCAAGTTCAACCTTGTCATTGGGAAACAGCTAGACAGATAATAAAAAGGGGCTGATATTTTGAAGGGCAAGGATAAAAAGGAGGAGTAAAAAAATGGCAGAAGGCCAATCAAAACAATACAAAAGTGTGAAGTGTTCACCTTTTTGTGTCTTTTGCAAGTGTGAACTTCTAACCCAGAATCAGAGACAGCGGACATCAGAAATCAACCCAAAGTTTCTCTTGTCCAGTACTCCTATTGATGGCAGGCCTCCTAATCATTGGGTTGGTATACAGATAACGGGATCTAAACTCTTTAGAGTAGACTGGCATATTTCCAAAGGACTCATCTAATGTAGAGCAGATTTGCTGCTTTGCAGTTATTTAGTGAAGGTTTCAAAGACAAAAAGGCCTTCCATCCACACACACGTGCACCACTGGGGTGTGGGTTCTGAACCCATTGTTGAACCTTTTCTTTTCTTCCTAATCCAGCTGTTTTTTTTTAAATCACATTTCCAACTTTGGGGATACAGCAGCCATGTAAGAACCTGCTGCTGTCCTACTTGATGTTAATATTGATTTTTTAAAGGGGCAGGGGTGAACATTATGAAGAAGGACTCTTTATCCTCTGAGTTCTTTGGCAATTATCTTGCTGCCATAAATGTTGATACACATATAATGGATGTAACTAAAAAACTCCTTATCCAAGCAGAAAAGGCTGAGTGTTTGTTGGAGCAGATAGAATGCTGAGAGTGTGAATAGACCAACCCAGATGTCACTGGGGAGGGAGATAAATGATGGAGGAACAGGAGCCGGTTACTATGGATCAGCACAATAAACCAATTCCCATCATACACCTCTCACAACGCCACCGAGGGGTAACCTAGGCAGCACCAGTCAACTGTATGGCAGGAAAAAAGCATTGCAAAGCTCAATTGGAACTGGCCTGGTTTTGTAGGCATTGGGTCCTTAAACATCTTCAGTACTTCGAGGAGGAAAATTTCATAAATCCGAATGAACCTGAAGAGACTGTGTTGCAAATACTTATTACTTCTTATTTTTGTTGTGTCATTGTTGTTCTTTAGTCTGTAAAGGTGTCAAAGGAAGAAGAAAAGGCCCCATGGAGCTGTCAGGACAGTTAGTCAGGGGGTTGTCCATGGAGGTAAGAAACAGTAGCTTGTGTTATAGGATATTTACATGCCAAGATTGGAGGTGCATAGTCCTGTGGGGTCCTGCTCCCAAATTACCAGCCCAGGGCTGCTGAAGCCCCAAGAGCATTTTCTTCCAGAGGTGGAGACAGAAGCAAAAGAGTTGGGTTACCTTATTTCCCTGCCTCCACCCCCCCAGCTCTGGTTGCTTTCTTTCTCCCCTTCACAGAGCCTCCCTGGTTTCCTTCAAACCTCGAGTTTTCTCCTAAAATCTGACATCTTTATAACATCCAAAGCAATCAGATATGAAACAGTTCAAAAATATTCCCCCCGGGGGAGGGAATAGCAAGGGGCCTCCCTGGCTGTAGGCACTGAGCTCCCAGAGTAAAGGCTTCCAGAGACAGGGCCTAAGGAGGGTTTGGGAGCAAGAAGCAAAAAGCTCTTTGCAAAGTTTAGGAGAGCTTTCCTTGCCCAGATTGGCTATCTTGAGCCTCCCTGAGGCCCCAGCTTCAGACTACTCCCTCCCTTCCTCGGCCTGCAAGAGGGTGGGCTCTTCATACCCCTGGAGGAGGACCCCCGACCCACCCACCAAGGCAACTCAGTCCTGCCCGGCTGCCCTCTGACCTGGACACAGCCAGTGCCCCTTTCTGCACAGCCCAGTTGGAGCCTCCCAGACCCCCATTTCCTTGGTGGGCAGGTGGGGTAAGCTACCTTACCCTCCCATGTGCCCTGCTGCTTGTTCTGCCAAGTAAATAACCAGTAAGTGGATTTTGGGAAAGGCCATTTTCTTAAGGCTGAGAATTGTTCCCTGAGGTTCAGAGAAGGATGGAGTGGACCAGGTGATATCATCTTGTTGGAAGAGGGCCTAGCAGGCCAGCCGTTGATTTTTTCCCCTTTCTTCCACCTGTGCGAGTACCTAGACACTAGACCACAGGGACAGTTTTCTGCTGATTTTGGAAGAGATCATTGGAGGCCACAGCACCTGAGCTAGTTAATGGCATCCAGGTCAAAAAGGCCTGGTGGCCCCAGCTTGTGTTCACCTGTGAGAGGAAAGTGTGGGTCTTTGGAGCATAAAGACAGGAAAAAAACAAAGTCAAGTAATTCTGAACACATTGAGGAATTCCAAGTTCTTGGTCCAATTGTCCCAGCTCCACCCTCACCCCACAAGTAATGCATTTCTATTTTTTCCTGCATTTGAATCCGAAATTCCACTCTCAGCTTCGGCAGCGTGCTGTGACAGAGTGGGGAGGAGGAAGACAGGACCCAGCTCTGCCTTCCTTTCTGTGGCTATGCCAGTCAGTTGACCATTGCACCTGTACATAGTTAGCACAGGTGCACCACCTCACCTGCAAACTCAGATGTTGAAAGATGGAGAATCTTACAGCTGGAAGAGTAAAACCCCATGATTTTACAGAAGAGGAAACTGAGGCCCAGAGAAGCGTCTGACTTTCCTATGGGGACATAGTAAAGGGAGCCCAAAGTTGACAGAACCCTGGTCTCTAGTTCTCAGTCAAGTGTAGAACATCCATTTTGCACCCATGTGTGGGCAGACAGGCTTTCCTTTTGAGGCAGAGCAAATGTGGTAAAAAGAAATGCAGCCAATGGAGGGGGAGCGCTTGTAACTGTGGCGTAATATAATCTACCCTGTATCAACGTGTGCTTTGCTCAGCATTGTTAGGACAGCAAAGGGGCATATTAGAATCTGAACTCGAAGTCTGGAAGTAGCTGGAGAATGGAGATTGTAAATTAAGAATTAGAAGGTAGTGTGTGTCTCGTTTTCGAGTTGCTGTCAGAGAGTCAGGCAGCCAGCCCTGTGGAGGGCTTGGCTGGGTGGGCTCCTCTGGCAATGGTGGGAGGTTGTTTGGGTTTGGCTCTTAATGAGATCTCAGTGTTAATATCTGCCTCTGGAAGTTCCAGCACCAGCCTCGGAATTTTAAGTGGGACAGTAGTTTTGGTGCAGTTGCCAACGTCACATGGTTTGCGTGTCTAATTCTGAAAGACTGGCATGCTTTATGCTAGGCTTCGGGAGGAGGGCACAGCGTTTCTAAGCTGCTTGTCTGTCAAGGATTAATTTAACCTCTAATTACTACATTTTCTTCGCAGTTTGCTGCACGAACATGTTGTAACAAAGCTCAAAGAAGTATGCCATTTTATTTCCCTGCCACTCTAAAATTAATTTCCGGAATACGGAGTCAAACCTGACACACTTGGTGTTAAAATAATTGTGCTGACATTCGAGCTAAAGTGAACAATCTGGTTGTTTCTAGTGATCCCCCAGCCATGGGGTAAAGAGCATTATCATGTTAGTTGCCATGACAGTTCTCGAAATGAGCCCTGAAAATATCAAGGAGTGTCACTGCACTAATCCCACCAGGGGAGCACCAGACACAAAGGTAACACCCGAGCACGTGGCTGGGGTGTTAGTTTTGGAGTATGACTGATGCCCTGTGCAATAGGGCAGCCAGGGAGTCCTTTCTCACCCACTAATAGGGCTCGTGGTGAGGTCTTGTCCCACAGCACGAGGTGAGCACATTATCAAATCGGAGGCTCCCAAGAGCCTGCCCCTGGGGCCAAACCTGTTCTGAGTGGCTGTGACAATGAAATCACAAGATGAAGTTAATGGGGATTCTCCAGGCAGGCTTTTCTCCCTCCTCCTGCCTGCTCTTCCTGGGCGTCCCGCACCAGCAATCCCCAAGAGTAACAGCCCTTTGGCAGTCCCACATATATCTTTTATCCCCACCTTCCCAAACAGCAGCAGTGGATCCCAGAGTGGGAGGCCCGTTCCCCATTCTGGGTGCTTGAGAAGACTGCATTCTCAGGCCCTGGTTGGGGAGACTTAGCAGCATTGTTGGTTGCCTAGTTTGGGTCCACCGAAGCTGATTTGTGGGATTTGAGAGTTGGCCAGGTTAGCCATTTGAGTTCTCATCTCCTTGCTCAGGTGGTTGTGAAGAGCTCTCTCTCTCTCTCACACACACACACACACACACACAGGTACACACACACAGACACACTCACACACTCACCCTCTCTCAGGAGTAGAACTTTGCCAAGATAGCAAAGGCTAGGTCTGAAGCCCTATTCTGCATACGGCTGGGGACAGGCTCACTGGCATTTTCAGCCATGCCTTTGGCTGCCAAATCCCGAGCAAATCGAGTTTAGGTTCAGTACCCCTACATTTTCCTTACCGGTTTCTAGACTTGCCTCCTGCTTCTCACACCCCCTCTCCACCTTACCTAGAAAGATGCCATCCTCAGCCCGCTGTACCTTAGTGGGATTCCCTTCCTCTGGAGAATCTGGAGCCTCTAACTTGAATTAAAAGATGCAAGAGTTACCATGCCTTGGAGAGAATCTGCTGTTTAGGGCACAGGTAAGGAGGTATTCAGGGCTTAGGGAAGCCCTCTAATCCACACCCCACCCTCCACCCCACCAAATGGTACCATGCCTGGCATAAAGCTGGTCCTATTTATGAGTTAGAGAACTGCCTGGTTGCCAAGGTTTTTCTGAGCTTGCCCTCAGGGAAGCTAACCCCAGTTGGTCTCTTGAACCTCAAATCATAACAAAAATGACTCCCTATCCTCTGAAGCAGGAGTGGCTGTTTGCCTCTTAGGGATCACAGACTTCTTTGTGAATCTGATGAAAGCTCTGGGTCTTCTCCTTAGACAATTGAAAAATAACACGCAATGTTGCATCTAATTTAGGGTACTACTAGGCCTTAAGCCCACTCATGGTTCTCTCGAGGATCTTTTGTCACAGGTTAAGAAAGCCTCAATATGAGCTTTCGGCAGGAGACATTGACCAACTGTGGGATTTTAGGCAAGTCTGTGAACCTGCCAAGTCTCAGTGCCCTCAGTTGTCAGATGGAAATATCAGAATGTCAGTTCCACCAAGTTTGGAGCATTGTGGGAGATTCAAAAGAGACGGTGTTGGTGAGATGGTCCTGTAAATATCAGGCTCAGGGCACACTCATGGGTTGCTCTCTTTAGTGTCAGTGTTTACTATTTATTTTGCATTTCCATTTGATGTGAGAAATTTAACAAGAGAAAATCAGGCTTCTTTTGACTTGAAAAGTCATTTTGTCCCTTTCTTTGATACTGCATAAGTTACGCCCAGGCAAACTGGCATTAAAGAGACTCTGGCTTGGGAGGGACCTCAAAGAGCATGCAGTGTGTCCAGGATCTAGACAGTTTTAGAGATCCCAATTACCCAGCCCTCGGCAGTTCCAGAATGGGTCAAGGATGTGTGTAGCCAGTCCAGTGCCTTGAGGAGGTTCCACATTTGCCTGCTGCAGAAGTGAGAAAATGGGATCTGAGGAGGCAGATAGTTGTTTGGTTTTTCACATTTCAGTACGGTCACACCGGGCATGAGAAGGTAAAGTGGATCCTGGGTGTCTCTCTCATAGTCACTGAAAGGGCCTAGCCAGACCCTCATGAAAACTGGGAAGTAGTCTCACCCCAGGATCTGTCCAGGGCCCCATCCTGAGGAAGTGGGGTCGTGTCCTTTTGGAGAGGAGCCTCAGGTTGGGCCTGCTGGTGTGTGGGGGGTCTGCTTAGGAGGGAAGAGGATGGCTGGACTCCATTCAAATAAGACTTCCACAACCTTCCCCGTCTAACCCTGGAAGTGTGGAAAGTCTTCTCATGGCAAGGCCACGAGGGCTCATATATCAAAGATGGGGAAACTGAGGCCCAGAGAGGAGCAGGTGCTGGCCCTGGGTCTCATGACAAGTCATGAAGACATTTCCTTGGCCCTTGTTGATCCTGTGCACCTTCCAAGTTCTCTGTCTGGCTCCTCACAATAGTGTATTTTCAATTCTCCTAGAAACACAAGCCCATCATCATATTAACCTGGCCCTGATGAATGCTCAGGTCCTCAAAGTCAGCCCTAGAAAGTAAATAGCAGGTTTGGAAAGCCCTTTGAACCCTCAGAGGGAGATCCTGGCCTTGCTCAGCCTGTTGCTATGCAGTTCCAAAGTGGAGGCTGCCACGCATTTGCAGAGCTTTTAAGTCCCTTCCCCCACCCCATGTGCATTTTAGGAACCTTTTGGAAAGAAATGTGTTGCTAGGAGCTTGGGCTTTCCCTCTCCTTTAGAAAGAGAGAACTGTTTTTGCTTTGAATTGCCTTGCAAACAGATTGAGGTGTCTCCCTACCCATTCTTTCTTTTGTTAAACCAACCCGATTTGCCACGGGTAGTTAAGTGGAGATCATGTTGAAAAAGAGTGCTTAGCACAGGGTCACTACGCAGAGTGGCTCCCATTCCCATCCTTGGCAGAGCATCTCACCCTTAATTTCATTATTAATCTGGAGGGAGAGGAATCGTGCAAGTCAGTTGAAAGCAGATGCCACCTAGGAATTTTAGGTCCATCACGTCATCAAACAAAATGAGAGTAGTTTGTAAATTGGAAAGTTTGGCAGTGGGTGGTTGCCCTTTGGAAGATTCACTGTTTCAGACCAGCTTTCTGAGTCTGGGAGGAGTCCCTGGTGCTACAGTGGGAAGAATACCCACCTGAGGGCCACCGACATGTGGTCTGGCTTCAGCTTTGATACCAACTAGCCATGGCACTTGGGGCAAGCTATTTCCTCAGACTGGGCATCATTTTCTCCATCTGTACAATGAAGGAATGGTGTAGGGGCATCCAAAGGGCTCCTCCAGCTCTGGCATTTCTGAATTCTCCAGTAGCAAGTTAAACTCTAAGTTACTTAAAATATTTGAAAAGGATAAGTAATAATTTGTTCTTTTTGAAATTACCAGAGACTTGAAAGCATGGGGTTGTATTTTTGTTTGGGTAGGTGGGGACTGTGACTGTTACATAAGTGATAACAGTTTTAGAAGTTTTAGCTAAAGACAAAGTTGACATGTATTTATGTAGGACCAAATAATAGAAAAAAATTCCTTTAGAGACCCCTTGTTTTATGCTTGAGGATGCTGCAGCTGAAGAAAAATATCATGCTTGCCCAGGCTTCCCTGGCAAGCTGCTAGGAGCTGAGGTGGTCCAGGACCCAGGAGGCCCAGCTTGCAACCCACTGCTTGCCCCACACCGCACTTCCTAGGATCTTACAGAAGAAGCCTCCAGGCCCTCAACTCCAAATGGGACCTGCAGTCAGCAGAATATAGGGCTGAGTGATTCTGATTTCTAGCTATCAGATACTAGCTTATCAGAATGGAATTTTTATTCTCCACCCCTGCCCCCAACATCCAAGGGTTCTCTGTTAACAGTAAATATTTAATTTTCTTGGTTTTGTACCAATGCCTAATTTAAAATAAAACAGATTTTTTGAATATTGGGGGGTGGTCCTTAGGGGCTTGTTATTTGGATTTATTTTATTTCAAACAGATGGGCTGTTTTAGGTTTGACTTCATATTTGCTAATTTTCATTATGGAAAAAAAAAAAAAACAATCCCAAGCCACCCCACCCTTATTTTTGTACTGAGTAACAGTTTGTCTTGTCTAAAAGAAGCTTTTATTTTCTCAACTGTTTGCACCCAGCGTATTCAGCCTTATTTTGTATTTTTAATCACATAAATGTGTTGGCCACCTATAGCTTATGGGATGTTCACAAAATGCGCCCCACTCATTCCCGAACAGCCACCAACTTTGGGACTGTATCTCTCAGCTCCAGCCCAGCTACCTCTTGTCTAGTTCCCAGCCATCCACTCCTCTGGCCTGAAGCCAGACTGTATGGAGGTGCAGAGTCAGAGAGGCCTTGGCCTTGGAGGGAGGCACCCTGGTGCCTGGCCCAGCTCTACTGCCTTGCTGTGTGACCTTGGGCAAGTCCCTTCCCCTCTCTGGGCCTCACGGTTCCCACTGTTACAAAGAGGAGGCTGACCTAAAGGGGCTTTGTGGAATTTTCCTCTTATTATGTTAGATTGTTATATTTGGAAGATGTGACTTGACCAGTACAGTACATGACCTTTAAATCCTTTCTAGAAGCAATATTTAGTGATGTTTCTGAAAGAGTTAGGAGGTCTATATCTCTGAGATGAACTAGTACTTTCTGAAATTTATGAAAACAACAGTTACCACTCTTTGAATACCCACTGTGCCTGGAGACTCTTGTCCTGCTGTTTCTTAGAAACTCACCCATCAGCTGTGAGCATTTTCTAATGGTTTCCCCTCAGGCCTTTAATCTTTGATCTCAATACCTTCTCCCTAGGAGATTAATTGATCACTTCTAACTCTTTTTTTAATTTAATTTTTCACTTGACATAAATTCAGACTCTCAGAATATTTGCAAGAATAATACAAATAATGTTTAAATACCTTTCACTTGATTCCCCAAATGTTAACATTTTACCACATTCTATGTTATATCTACCACCCCCTCACACACACACACACACACACACACACACACACACACAATTTTATTCTGAACTTTATGAGAACAAATTGTAGGTATGATGCTCTTTTATCTCCAAATACTGCATTATATATTTCCTAACATTTCCTAAAACGTTCTCCTGCATAAGCACATATTGATCAAAATCAGGAAGCTAATAGTGGTACTAATCTATCTAAAGACTTTAATCTAAAGGCTTTATTCAGATTTTGCCAATTGTCCTAATAATGTCCTTTATAGCAAAAGAAAATCCAGGATCATGCAGTGCATTCAGTCGTTTTGTCTCTTTAGTGTCCTTTAATGTTGAATGGTTCCTCAATCTGTCTTAGTGTTTTGTAGCATTGACATTTCTGAAGAGTACACGCCAGTTATTTTGCATAAAGTCCCTCAGTTTGAGTTTGTTGCCTGATGTTTCCTCATAGTTAGATCAGGGTTATGTACTATTGGCAGAAATACCACAGAAGTGATGTTGTCCATCAGTGTATCATATCAGGAGGTCCACGATGTTAGTTCCATTCATCCTATTCCTGGTGATTGTCACTTTGATCACTTGGTTAAGGTGATGTCTGCCAGATATCTCCACTGTCCAGTTCCTATTTCTTCCCGTTGCAATTAATGAGTATCTTGGGGAAATAAATATATTTTGAGGCTGTTAGTATCCTAGTACACCTCAAACTTTCACTCACTAGTTTAGCATTTATTGATGGTCTGTGCCTGGGGCAAGATGGTCAGTGCATTATGCTGGTTGCCAAATAATGAATTTCTGATTCCATCATCCATTCTACATTTATTAGTTGACTTTCTACTATAAGAAAGAACTTTTCTTTCACTCCCATTTATTTACTTATGCTTTTATTTATATTAGGTTGACTTGTGCATTTTTACTTTGAGTTATAATCCTTTCCTATCATTATTTATTTTGATGCTCAAATTGCCTGAGGTTTGTCCCGTGGGAACTCCTTCAAACTAGTTCCTATGTCTTTCTGACATGCCCCTAATCATCCTCTGAGCGCGCCCTTAATTTCTGGCACATCTGCTCCAGGCTCATCTTGTGCTTTCCCTGCCTTAGCCTTAATATCAGCCATTTTCCCATGGAATCTTAACTTCTTTTAGTGAAGAATGGTATTTAAAAACTAAGATCTGGGTACTAAAAGCATGCGCATTTCTACAGATGTGGCATTGTTACTAAACCCTCTCAGTCCACAAAGCTAGGAAAATAATTAACTCACATCTATATCTATTCCTTTTTATTTATTATTTTGGTAATATCTATTTCTCTATCTATCTATCTACCTGCCTACCTACTTACCCATAAACCATGAGTTCACACTGATAACCTCCAAATTCCAATACAACAGCAAAGTTCATTCTATCTTCCCCCTTCCCATATTTGTAGTTTCCTTGCAAAACAGTGAGAAATCTCTCTGCCATTACCATAATATATTTACTCACTTAATCCTAGAATATATAGAAGCTAGTTTCAGAGTTGCTAACCCATGACTCTATGAAGAAGCCAATTGACAAGAGTACAATATTTGTTCAGAATTATTTTTGTCTTTTCGTAAGAGTGAATCCTTCAAGCACTGTTAAAAAGTTACCTGGGCTAGTTCATCTCCCGGGCCCCACTGAGGTCATTTGAATATGGTTTAGTTCACTTGTTTCTGTTTAGATTCCTTTTTGTCTGCCCCCCACCCCTGAACCATCTTTCTTTGTTAATTTTAATTATTTTTCTGTGAGCATGTGAAATAATAACATAGTTTCAAAAGTTAGAACTGTACAAAAAGAAATCCTCAGAAAAGTGACATCTCCCATTACTTCTGTCCTTTCCACCTCATTCCACTCATTTCCTGTAAGTAACCAACTTCATTAGCTTTTCTGTGTTTCCTTTTGCACAAATGAACAGATATCTGTGTATTTTCCCATACCCCTTCCTTACATAAGGGTGGCTTAATAGACATACTCTTTTGAGCTTTGCTTGTTCACTCAAACGCATGTCCCAGAAATCACTCCATATAGAGATCTTCTTCATTCTTTCATTACAGCTGCATAGTACTGCATTGTGTAGATGTACCATAGATTATTCAACCAACCTCCTATGTGTAGCCATTTAGATTGTTTCCAATATTTTGCAATTAAAAATAAAACAAACAACCCAGTACATATGTATTTTCATATTGTTAGAGGTATATCTTAAAGAGTACATTTCTATAAGTGGGATTAATGTGTCAAAATGTAAAAACAAATGTAGTTTTGTTAGGTATTGCCAAATTCCCCTCCAGAAAGATTGTACCAATTTGCATTCCCATTAGCAATGTATGAGAGTGTTTTTTTCCCCAAAGCCTCACCAACAAAGTATTTGCTTTACTTTTTAATTTTTACAAATCTGATAGGTGAGAAATGGTATCTCAGTGTAGTTTAATTAGCATTTTTCTAATTAGGAGTGGCTTGGAACATCTTTTCATATGCTTAAGAGCCCTTTTGATATTTTTATGTGTGTGAATTATCTGTTCATGTCTTTTCTCCCTTTTTCTATTGGGTTTTTAGTCTTTTACCCTCAATTTTAAGAGTATTTTTCTGTGTTAGGTATATTAGCTTTTTTTATTTGTGATATATGTTGCAAGTAATTTCACTTAATTGGTTTGTGGTTTTTTTCAATGTTTGTTTTGTTTTGCCATGCAAAAAATTTTTTTATGTCGTCAAGTATCAGTCTTTTCTTTTATCATATCCGGATTTGAATCACAGTTAGAAAGCCTTTCCTCACATCCAGTTTAAAGAGAAATTCACCAAATTTTCTTCCAGTATTTGTATGGTTTCATGTTTTACATTTAGATTCCTAATCCATTTGGAGTTTATTCTTATGAATGGTATATGGGAGGGATCTTACTTTACCTCTTTCCTTTTTTCTTTTTGTTTCTCTTTTTTATTCTTTTTTAGAGACAGGGTGTCACTCTTTCACCCAGTCCGGAGTGCAGTGGCATAGTCATAGTCAGTGGTGGGGTGGTGTGCCACAACCACACTTGGCTAAATTTTTTTTTTTTTAATGTTTTGTAGAGAGTGGATATTGCTATGTTGCTCAGGCTGGTCTCAAACTCCTGGGCTTAGGCGTTCCTCCTGTCTCAGCCTTCCAAAATGCTGGGATTATAGGCATGAGCCACAGCACCCATCCCCTTCCCTTTTTTCAAGAGACTACCCAGCTATCGCAGCCCCATTTTACAAATGTTCATCTTGCTCCAGTGATTTGAAAAGTCACCATTATTATATATTCAGTCTCCACATATACTTGGGTCTATTTCTACATGCATATTTTATTCCACTGGTCAATTTGCCTATTCTTCTTCCAGTACCACACTGTTTTAATTATAGAGGCTTTATTGTGATTTTTAACAGCCTTTTATTTTGAGATAATTGTAGAGTCACATACAGTTTTAGGAAACAATACTAGAAAGATCCTATTTACCCTTCACCCAGTTCACAGCCAGGACAGTCACATTGATACACTCCATCCACCTTATTCAGAGTTTACCAGTTATACATGCACTTATTTGTGTACATGTGTGAGTATTTAATTCAAAGCAGTTTTATCAAATGTGTAGAGTCATGTGACCACAGTCAAGAAAAAGAAATAGTGCCATCACCACAAGGATATGCAATCCTTTGTGTTGCTGTTTTATACCAAACCCACTTCCCTCCTGATCTGCTCTACCCCAACTTCTGAACCCATGGCAACTAACCAGTAATCTGTTCTCCATTCCTATAGTTTTGTTATTTCAAGAATGTTATGTAAATTCAATCATATAGCATGTGATCTCTTGAGATTGGCTTTTTTCCCTCAGCATAATTCTGATAGTGGTGTAGTGCAATACAGGAGTAGTCCATTCTCACAGGTGTGTAGAGATATCTCATTGTCATATTAATTTGCATTTCCCTAACGCCTAATGAGATTGAACATATTTTCTGGAGTTTATTTTTCATCCATATAACTTCACGGAATGTCTGTTCATGACTTTGGCCCATTTTCTAGTTGGATTATTTGCATTTTTTCTCTTTTTTTTCACTGTTGAGTTTTGCAAGTTCTTTATATATTCTAGATACTTGTATTTTGTCCAATATGTAATTTGAAAATACTTTCTCTCAGTCTGTATCTTATCTTTCCCTCCTTTTAATAGGTTCTTTCACAAAAAGACTATTTTGGGGGTCAGATTTTTGTGGTTGAGTCTAAGAACTCTACCCCAAGTCTTAGGTCCTGAAAATTTTCTCTAATATTTTTTAAGTTTGATGGTTACACATTTAAGGCCATAATCGATTTTGAGTTGATTTTTGTATAAGGTGTGAGGTTTAGGTTGATGTTTATTATTTTTTTGCCTATGGATGCTCAATGGCTCTAGTAGCATTTGTTGAAAAGGCTATCCCCACCTCACTGAACTGCTTTTACACCTTTGTCAAAAATTCGTGGGAAATATTTTTATGGGTCTATTTCTGGGCTCCTTATTCTGCTCCACTGATCTATGTGTCTATCCCTCTGCCAATACCACACAGTCTTGACTAATGTAGCCATATAAAAATGTTAATACTGGGTAAAAGTACTCCTCCCATTGTATAATTGTTTCTCAAAATTGTTTTAACCTAGGACTTGTGCCTTTCCATATATTTTAGAATAACCTTGTCTACGTCTACAAAAAACTTTGCTGAGATTTTGATGAGAACTGCATTAAACCTACAGGTCAATTCAAGAATTGACATCTTTACTATGTTGAGTCTTCTAGGCAGTAAACATAGTATGTCTCCTCTTTTATTTAGGTCTTTATTCTTTTATGAGCACAAAAAAGGTGTTTATTATTATTTCTATTTGATGTTCAACTCTTTTTTTCTGAATTCTTTTTATTAAAATTCAAAAATGTCAATATTTTCAAGGGAAATACAATAAGTGAAAATATTTTAAATATATTCTTATAAATGTATTCATACTTGTTGATGTAGTATAAGACTGCAGCAATAGAGTACAAAATTTGAAACACTTCAGATTACAAATATTTTGTCCCATTTTATTTTATTTTTTTTTTTTTTTATTTTTTATTTTTTTTTTTTTTGAGACGGAGTCTCGCTCTGTCGCCCAGGCTGGACTGCAGTGGCGCGATCTCGGCTCACTGCAAGCTCCGCCTCCCGGGTTCACGCCATTCTCCTGCCTCAGCCTCCCGAGTAGCTGGGACTACAGGCGCCCGCCACCACGCCCGGCTAATTTCTTGTATTTTTAGTAGAGACGGGGTTTCACCGTGTTAGCCAGGATGGTCTCGATCTCCTGACCTCGTGATCCGCCCGCCTCGGCCTCCCAAAGTGCTGGGATTACAGGCGTGAGCCACCGCGCCCGGCCCTGTCCCATTTTAGAGTAGAGTTTTAAAAAATCACTATTTTCATAAAGAAAATATAGAGTTTTTTTAAAGAGAGAAAAGAAATTGCTTATAAATGTCAGTTGCAAGTATAATTTATTGTGATTGGAACTACTATCAAGATTTACTTCGTATGTAAATTTCTTTGATAAATTTTATGGATTTTAATAGGTCACAGGAAATCTCATTGTGCTCCTCTTTGATTTTTTATATTTTATTTTATTTTAAGTTCCAGGATACATGCACAGGAGTCTTTATTTCTTACAAAAGCATTTTGTAACTTTCTGGATGCAGATCCTATACACATTATATTATATTAAATATCTAAGTATTGCATTTTCTATGCAGCAGTTGTAAATGGTATGTGTTCTCTTAACACAGTTTTATTGATACCATTCACATACCACCGAATTCACCCATTTAAAATATTCAGTTCAGTGGCTTTTAGTATATTCATAGTTGTACCATCATCACCAGTATCTAATTTCAGAATATTTTAGTTACCCTGAAAAGGAACCACATATCCATTAGCAAACATCCTCAATTACCCCCTGCCCAAGCCCTTAGTAACTATTAATATGCTTTCGGTCTATATGGATTTACTTATTCTAGGTATTTCCTATAAATAAAACCATAAGATAAATAGCCTTTTGTGACTGACTTCTTTCCCTTAGCATAATGTTTTCAAGCTTCATCCATGTTGTAGCTTGTATTAGTACTTCATTCCTTTTCTTTGCCAAATAATATTCCACATATTATTTGTGATACACCATATGTTGTTTCTCCATTCATCAGTTGATAGAAATTTGAGCTGTTATCACTTTTTGATTCTTATGAATAATGCTGTTGTTAACATTCATGTACAAGTTTTTGTGTGGACATATGCTTTCATTTCTCTTGGGCATATACCTAGGAATGGAATTTTTGCATCATATGGTAACTCTATGTTTAGCATTTTGAGGAACTGCCAAACTGTTCCAAAGTAGTTGTGCCATTTAACAATCTCACCAACAATATATAAGAGTTCCAGTTTCTCCACATCCTTGCCAACACTTGTAAATTTCTGTCTTTTTTATTATGGCTGTTCTAGTGAGCATAAAGTGGTATTTCATTATGATTGTGATTTGCATTTCCCTGTTGGCTATGATTTTGAGCATCTTTTCACGTGCTTTATTGGCCATTTGTATATCTTCTTTGGAGAAGTGTTTATGCAGAGCCTTTGCCCATTTTTATATTGGATTATTTGTCTTTCTATTGTTGAACTGTAAGCATTGTTTATATATTCTGAATTCTAGACCTTCATCAGATATAAGAGTTGCAAATATTTGCTCCCATTCTGTGGGTCATATTTACACTTCCTTGATGGTATTATTCGCAGCACAAAAATTTTAATTTTGATGAAAGCTAATTTATTTAGTTTTTCTTTTCTCACTTGTGCTTTTTGTATCATATCTAAGAAACTATTTCTTAACCCAAAGTCAAAGATATATTTCTATGTTTCTTCCAAGAGTTTTATAGTTTTAGTTCTTACATTTAGATTTATCTTCCATTTTGAGTTTTTAAATTTTAAAATGTTTAGTTAATAAAAATTGTGTATATTCAAGGTGTACATGATTCGATATATGTATATATTGTGTAATGATTACCACAATCAAATTAATTAACACATCCATTACCTCTCATAATTACCATTTTTTTGTGTATATATGTGTGTGGTGAGGACACTTAAAATCTGCCCTCTTAGCAAGTTTCAAGGGAACAATGCAGTACTACTAACTATAGTCACCATGCTGTACATTAGATTCCCAGAACTTATTCATCTTATAACTGAAGGTTTGCACACTTTCACCAAGATCTTCCCATTTCCCCCACCTCTAAGACATTAACAACCACTATTCTACTCTCTGCTTCTAGGAGTTCAGCATTTTAAATTTCTACATATAAGTGAGACCATATATTATTTGTCTTCTTTGTCTGGCTTATTTCCACTTCAGGTCATGCAGGTTCATCCATGTTGTTGAAAATGGCAGGATTTCTTCTTTATGCCTGAACAATACTACACACACACACACACACACACACACACACACACACAGAGTTTATGCTTGAACAACATAGTGGTTTGGGGTACCAACCCCCTGCACAGGCACAAATCCACTTATAACTTTTGACTTCCCAAAAACTTAACTACCAATAGCCTACTGTTGCCTGGAAGCCTCACCAATAACATAAACAACACATATTTCATATGTTATATGTATTATATACTGTGTTCTTACAATTAAGTAAGTTAGAGAAAAGAAGAGGTTATTAAGTAAATCATATGGAAGAGTAAACATATTTACTATTCACTAAATGAAATGGAATCATCATAAAGGTCTTCATCCTTATTATCTTCATATTGAGTAGACTGAGGAGAAGGAGGAAGAGGAAGGGTTGCTCTTGCTGTCTTGGGGATGACAGAGGCAGAAGTGAAGGAGGTGGAAGAGGAGGCAGGAGAGGCAGGCCCACCCAGTGCAAATTTATGGAAATACATCATAATTTCTCTCTAACTTTTTGCTTTTTTATTTCTCTAAAAAATGTTTCTATATAATACCAATCCTTCTTCCACCATTTGCTTTAGCTTCAGGTCCTGTATCATAGAAGGGTTCATGCTGTAAAGGAAGTCAGAAGCTGTCTTGAGTAATCAGAACCCTTCTGTTCAATTGTCTAATGTCAATTTGTTTCCCAGCACTGCTTCTTTTATGTCTTTGTCCTCATGGTCCAGCACTAGTTAGGAAGCACTCATCTCCATAAAGTTGTCTTCTGTTATTTCCTCTGGCATGGTGTCTATTAGCTCTATAATTTCTCCAAGATCCATATCTTGAAATCCTTCAACACCCATCTTTTTTTTTTTTGCCATATCCACAACCTCTTTCATGATTTCCCTGTTTATTGTCATAAATTCTGTAAAGTCATGCACAACATCTGGACACAGTTGCTTTTTCCAGCAGTAATTTACTGTTTCAGGCTTGATGGCTTTCACAGGTTTTTCTAAACAATTATGGCATATTCAATAGTGTAATCCTTCCAGACTTTCATGATGTTCTTTCTATTGAGGTTCTCTTCCAAAACATTGACAATCTTTCTATACAGTAACCTGTGTGGTGAGTCTTAGAAGTCCTTATGACCCCCTGATCTAAGGCTGAATTAGAATTGTGTTTGGGGGCAAGTAGACCACTTCAACACCTTCAGTGTTGAACCCATGGAGTTCTGGGTGGCCAGGAGCATTGTCCAATATCAAAAGAACTTTAAAAGGCAGTCTCTTACTGACAAGGTACTTCCTGTCTTCAGGGACAAAGGATCGATGGAACCAATCCAGAAAAAAATTTTTTTATTGTCCAGGCCTTCTTGCTGTGCAACAAAAAGATCGGCAGCTGGTGTTTATCTTTTCCCTTCAAGGCTCAGGGGTTAGCACCTTTATAGATAAGGGCAGCCCTGATCATGAACCTGGACTGCCTTTGCCCGAAATTGCAAAGTTAGACTATCCCTTCCTGCCTTAAATCCTGGTGCTCGCTTCTCTTCCTTACTACTAAATGTCCTTTATGACATTTTTTTTTTTCCAGTATAAGGCACTTTCATCTGCATTAAATCCTGTTCAGGCAGATATCCTTTCTTATCAATGATTTTCTTTTTTCTTTCTTTCTTTCTGTTTTTTGGATAACAAAGGATCTCCAAATTATATTGAAAAATAAATCATAATTAATATTACTCAAAAATTTTCAGCATACTTTTCAAAAATGATTTATGTAAAAGAGAAGAAAATACACATAATTTTAAAATATCTTAAACTCTTTTATTCCTTACTATAGACATTAATTTTGTCTTTTGTTTTCTTTCAATTTTCTACAATTTTCAACTTGTACCTGTGTTTAATAGGTAAGACATTAACTGATTGCTTTTCTCAATCTAAGGATTATATAGTTTTAGTATAAATATATATCACATATTTTGGTAAAATTTTGACAAAACTGAATAATCATGCCTTGTTTTAAGTCCATACTCCTTCCACTGTTTATCAAATCTGATTTAATGGTCAAAAAATTCTTGGTTGTCATTCTTCTTTTACAAGTCTTCCTGCTAAACTGCCAACCAGTTTTTACGTAGTAATAAAAAGCAGTAAGAAAGCCAAAGAAATGGTGTCTGGGAACATCTCTGCTACCTCTTAGTCAACAGAAGCTGCTTCTCCTGTTATTTTGATATTTTTTAAGCCAAACTGCTTTCTAAAATTTGTGAAAATACAGTATTTGTGGGATGCGTATACAGAGGGCTGACTTTGCTCACACATAGGTTCTGAAGGGCTGACTGTAGGACTGTAGTATGTGTGGATTTTGATATATGAGTGGGGTCCTGGAACCAACCCTTCATGTATACCAAGGGAGGATTGTAAAATATTATCTGTAAAGTTTCTGTAGATGCTTGTTATCAAGTTCAGGATGTTCTCGTTTGTTCCTAGCTTTCTGAGATTTTTTTTATTATTATAAATGGATGTTAAATTTGCTAAATGCTTTTTCTGCATCAACTGTTATGATCCTGTGATTTTTCTTTTTTAAACTGTTAATATTGTGGATAACATGGAGTGTTTCCAAATGGTGAACCAGCCTTGCAATCCCGAGATAAACTCCACTTGGTCATGGTGTATTATTCTTTTTATATATTCCTGAATTTTATTTGTAAATCTTTTGCTGATTTTTAAAATTTAAGTTCATAAAAGATATTTATTTATAATTGTCTTTTTCTGTACTGTCTTTGTCTTGTTTTGGTATCAGAGTTATAAAATGAGTTGGGAATTCTTCCTTTCTCTTCTACTTTCTAGAAGACATTATGTAAAAGTGGCACTAATTCTTCTTTAAACATCTGGGAAAATTCTCCAGTGAAACCATCTAGGTATGGATATTTCCTTTTCAAGAGTGTTTAACTACAAATTCATTTCCTTAAGGTATATAGGGCAATTTAGATTATATATTTCATGTTGTTTAAGTTGTGACAGTTAGCTAATAATTTCTTATAAATTTTTGCATCTATATTCATGAGGGGTTTTGGTCTGTAGTTTTCTTTTTTGTACTCTTTTTGATTTTCATATCAGGGTAATACTAACTTCATAAAATGGATTGGGAAGTAAGTATTCCCTGCTCTTCTGTTTTTCAGAAGAGAATGTGCAGAATTGGTTTGGTTTTACTTTTTCAATGTTTAATAAAATTCTCCAATGAAGCCATCTAGGTCTGGAGATTTTTGGAGGGAGTTTTACAATTATGAATTCAACTTCCTTAACAGTGATAGTGCTATTCAAATTGTTTATTTTGGTAGTTTGTGCTGTGCAAGGAATTGGTCCATTTTATCTAAGTTGTCAAATTTCTGTGTAGAGTTTTTGGTAATATTCCCCTATTTTTCTTTTGATTTCTGTCAGATCTGTGATATTCTCTGCTTCATTTCTGATAGTAGTGATTTGTATCTTCTCTCTTTTCAATCTTGCTAGAGGTCAATTGTATTGACCTTTTAAAAAAACTAGCTTTTTGCTTCATTGATTTTCTCTTGCTTTTCTATTTTCAAATCCATTGATTTTTATCTTATCTTTATTATTTCTTACCTTCTGCTGCTTTGAGTATATTTTGCACTTCTTAGATTCTTGAAGTATAAGCTTACATGATTGATTTAGCTTACATATTAATTTGATACCTTTCGTTTTTCCTAATGTACATATGCTTTTAGTGCTATACATTTCCCTCCCAACTCTGCGTTAGCCATGTCCCACATGTCTTTATAACTGCTGTTTTCATTTTCATTCATTTCAATGCATTTTTTTTTTGAGACAGAATCTCACTCTGTCGCCCAGGCTGAAGTGCAATGGCATGATCTCGGCTCACTGCAACCTCTGCCTCCAGGGTTCAAGTGATTCTCATGCTTCAGCCTCCTGAGTAGCTGGGATTACAGGCACACACTGCCACGCCTGACTAATTTTTTGTACTTTTAGTAAAGATGGGTTTCGCCATGTTGCCCAGGCTGGTCTCGAACTCCTGAGCTCAGGCAATCCGCCCACCCTGGCCTCCCGAAGTGCTAGGATTACAGGCGTGAACCACTGTACCCGGCCCATTTCAATGCATTTTTAAATTTTCTTGGAGACTTCCTCTTTGACTGATGGTTTATTACGAAGTGTGTTGTTTAATTTCCAAGTATTTGGCGATTTTCTTGATTTCTTTCTGTTATTGATTTCTAGTTTGATTCCATTGATCACATTAGAGAATGCTGTGATTTCAATTATTTTAAATTTGTTGAGGTGTGTTTTAGGGCCCAGGATGTGGCCTATCTCAGTATATGTTCTATGAACACTTGAAACAAATGCGTAATATGCTGTTGCTGGATGGAGTGTTCCATAAATGTCATCTAGAACCTTTCAGTTGACGATGTATTGTTGAGTTCTTCATCTTTGCAGATTCTGTCTAGCAGTTGTATCTGTTGTTGAGAGTGGAGTGCTGAAGTACCCAGCTATAATTGTAGATTTGTCCATTTCTCCTTTTAGCTCTCTCAGTTTCTACTTCATGTGTTTTGAGACTCCATTGTTTGGTACATACACATCTAGGACCATTATGTTTTCCTAGTGCATTATTATTTTATCATTATGTAATGTCTGCCTGTCTCCAATAATTTTCTTTGCTCTGAAGTCTTTTTTGATGATAATGTAGCCACTAATGCTTTTGTAAAATTAATATTTGCATGGTATGTTTTCTCCATTGTTTTACTGTCAACTTACCTATGATGTTGTATTTAGAGTAATAGAATAGAGTTTGGCCATGTTTTCGTTTGTTTGTCTGTTTTTGTTTTTGTTTTTTTGAGACAAATTTGCTGTGTTACCAGGCTGGAGTGCAGTGGTGCAATCGTTGCTCACTGTGTCCTCAAACTCCTGGGCTCAAGTGATCCTCCCACCTCAGTCTCCCAAGTGTCTGGGACTACAGACATGCGCCACCATGCCTGGTTAATTTTCGTATGCTTTGTACTCTGCCAACCTCTGTCTTTAATTAGTGTTTTAGACCATATAAATAAGAGGTATTGTTCACATGTTCTGGCTTAAGTCTGCTACTTTATTATTTGTTTACCCTTTGCTTCCTCTGGTTCTTGTCCTCCATTTGTTTCTTCTTTGTATTCTCATGCTTTACTTAAATCTATTTTAGGATTCCATCTTGGTTTATGTTTTATGGTTTTTAGCATATTACATTGTATAATTTTCTTAGCATTTACTCTAGATATTACAGAATATGTATTAATTTATCATAGTTTACAGTCTACATTTTATAAGTTCGAGTGAAGTGTGGAAATTTTACTTCCATTTAGGTCCTTCTACCCTTCCTACTTTTAAAATGTAATTATCTTAAATATTTCCTCTATACACATTCAGTATCAAATAAGATGGCATTATAACTTTTGCTTCATTCATCCAAGATGATTTAATAAACTCGTGAGAAAAATAGTTTATTATACTTATCACTATGTTTGCCTATTCTGAATTTCTTCTTTTCTTTATGTAGTTTCAAGCCTTTTTCTGTTATCATTTCCTGTCTGTTTGAGAACTTCCTTTAGGCATTCATTAAGGGTGGGATTCTTAGCAACAACATCTTTTAGTTTTTCTTCATCTGAAAATACCTTTATTTCCCCTTCATTATTGAAGGATATTTTTGCCAGATACATAATTTGGGGTTGACAGTTCTTTTCTTTCAGCACTTGAAAAATGTACCACTTCCTTCTGTACTCCATGGTTCCTGAAGAAAAATCCACTGTCATTTGAATTAGTGTTCCTCTTTAAGTAATGTGCCATTATTCTCTGATTGCTCATAAGGGTTTTTTTCTGCTTCTTTTAGTTTTCAGAATGTTAAATGCAATGTGCCTTGGCATGGATTTCTTTGGGTTTATTATGTTTAGATCCCTCAGATTCTTTAATCTGTAGGTTTATGTTTTTCATAAATTTTGAAAATTTTCAGCCATTATTTCTTTGACTAATTTTTCTTACTCTCTCCGCTCTTCCTCTCTTTCTGGGTTTCCAATGATAGAAACGTTTGGATCTTTTGTTATTGCCCACAGATCCCTGAGCCCCCTCTTCTTCTTCTTCTTTTTTTTGTTTTGTATTGTTTTGTTTTGTTTTCTTTAGATTACTTTCTCTTTGTTGTTCAGGTTGGGTGAATTATACTGATGTGTCCTCAAGCTCATTAACTCTATCTTCTTTCATCTTTACACTACTAATTAACCCATCCAGTGAGTTATTTTATTTTTGTTATTGTATTTTTCAGTTCTTTAATATCCATTTGTTTCTTTTTTATAATCTCAATTTCTTTGCTGAGATTTTCTATTTCATTAATTTGTTTGAAGTGTATTTGTGATTGCTGGTTGAGCATTTTTATGATGATTTATTTAACATTCTTGTTAAATAATTCTAATATCTGAATCACCTTGGTGTTGACATCTGTTGATCATCTTTACTCATTCATTGTTGTGATTTTCTTGGTTCTGGGTATGATTAATGATTTTATTATCATACCCTAGACAATTTGCATATTATATTTTGAGACTTTGGATGGTATTCAATTTTACTTTTTAGCGGGCAGTCTTTGTGTTAAAGTGTAATGTAAGGGCCAGGTGGACATATTGTTCATTTTCTTGCTAGGCCCCACTAACACCACTCTGGCAAAATAGAGCGCTGACTGACAAAGCCTTATTGCTGATAGGTGGAGTGGAAGTTCAGCTTACCCTGGGCCCTGCTGGGGAAAGTGGGGTACTAAATTGCCCTGCCTTGTTGCCACTGAGTAGGATGTAAGCCCAGCTTCCCACCAGCCCATGCTAGGGAAGAGGGAAATAGAGACTGATCCATATTGCCTTTTTGCTGCAAGGTGAAAGAGAAATCTCAAATCCCTGCTGGGTCCATCTGATACCAAGTTGAAAGGGAGGAACAAAAGTGCAGTCTAGAGCTGCCTATTCTTCCTTATTCAGTCTTGTTGCTGCTAGGCAAGGGTATGGAGGTTCAGCTCCCCACTAGTCTTTGCTGATACCAGTGATTGGGTGGAAAATGGACTGCTGGCCATCCCTGACTTGCAGGACTGAGTAGGGGTGGAAGTAAAGGTTTCCAATCCACCTCACTAATACCTGAGGTGGGGGTTACTTGGTAAAGTCTAGTGCTGATTTAGCCCCATCTCGTACCACCTCATTAAGTCTGCCAGGTGGGAGTGGAGACTCAACTCCCCTCCTGACCTTCCTTACACTACCCTGATGGGGAAGTGGTAGCATGCTTGGGCCCCTGACACCTCTGGGCAGGGGAATCAGAGGACCGACATCTGCTTACATGAGAATTGGGGATGGGGTGGAGTGGAATATCAACTTCCCACTTTGCTAGGCTGAAACCACAGGAGAGGGATGGTTTTTCTGTTGGTGTTGACTAAAGTAGGGTGGGTAATTTCAGAAAGGTTTTCTGTTATTTAGGCCACCTTTTCCACAGTCCTTTTACTAGGGGAAAAGGCTTTTCCTGGAGGAGTTTTTTAATTAAAAAAAAAATACTTTTTTTAACAGCAGCTTTAATATTACAGCAAAATTAAAAGAAAGACAGAGTTCCAATATACCTCTTGCCCCTTCATGTGCATAGCCTCCCCCCTCCCCCATTACCTGCATCCTGTATCAGAATAACACATTTGCTACAATTGATGAACCTACATGGACACATCATTGTCACCCAAAGTCCATAGTCTACGTTAGGGTTCACTTTTGATGCTGTACATTCTATAAGTTTGAACAAATATATGATGACATGTATCCATCATTACAATACACAGATCACTTTCATTGCCTTAAAAATCCTCTGTGCTCTGCCTATTTATCCCTCCCTTCCAATCCCTGGCAACCACTGATCTTTTACTACCTTCATAGTTTTCCTTTTCCAGAATGTCATATAGTCAGAATCATACGGTATGTAGCCTTTTCAGATTGGCATCTTTCACTTAGCAATATACATGTGAAATTCCTCTGTGTCTTTTCATGGCTCAATAACTCATTTATTTTTAGTGCTGAATAATATTCCATTGCCTGGATGTGTCACAGTTTATCCATTCACCTACTGAAGAACATCTGGGTTGCTTCCAAGTTTTGGCAATTATAAATAAAGCTACTATAAATATCCATGTGCAGGCTTTTGTGCTGACATAGGTTTTCAACTCCTTTGGATAAATGTCAAGGAGCATGATTGTCAGATCATATGGTAAGAGTATGTTTCGTTTTGTAAGAATGCCAAACTGTTTTCCAAGTGTCTGTACCACTTCGCATTCCCACCAGCAATGAATGAGAGCTCCTACTGCTCCACATCTTCACCAGTATTTGTTGTTGCCAGTTTTCCAGATTCTAATAGGTGTGTAGCCGTTATCTCATTGTTGTTTTAATTTGCATTTCCTTAAAGAAATAAGATGTGGAGCATCTTCTCACATTCTTATTTGCCATTTGTGTATCTTCTTTGATGAGATGTCTGTTCAAGCCTTTGGCCCATTGTTTAATCAGGTTGTTTGTTTTCTTATATTGTTGAGTTTTAAGAGTTCTTTGTCTATTTTGGACAGCAGTCCCTTATCTGATGTGTCTTTTGTAAATGTTTTCTCCCACTCTATGGCTTGTCTTTTCATTCTCTTTGCAGAGCTGAAGTTTTCCATTTTAATGAAGTCCAGGTTATTAATTCTTTCTTTCATGGTTTGTGCCGTTAGTGTTGTATCTAAAAGTCATTGCCACATCCGGGGTGATTTAAGTTTTTTCTTATGTTATGCTCCAGGAGTTTTATAATTTTTTCTTTTGCATTTATGTCTATGATTCATTTTGAGTTAATTTTTGTGAGGGGTGTAAGGTCTATATCTACATCCTTTTTTTTTTTTTTTTTTTTTTTTTGCTTATCAATGTCCAGTTGTTCTAGCACTATTTGTTGAACAGACTATCTTTGCTCCATTTTACTGCCTTTGCTCCTTTGTCAAAGAACAGTTGAGTATATTCCTGTGGGTCTATTTCTGGGTTCTCCATTCTGCTGCATTGATCTATTTGTATATTCTTTTACCAGTAGCACACTGTCTTGATTATTCTATCTTTATAGTAAGTCTTGAGGTCAGGTAGTGTCAGTCCTTTGACTTTGTTCTTCTCTGTCAATATTTTACTAACTATTCTGGATCTTTTGCCTCTCCACATAAACTTTAAAATAAGTTTGTTGGTGTCCACAAAAGAATGTGCTGGAGTATTGATTGGGATTGCACTGAATCTATAGATCAAATTGGGAAAAACTGGCATCTTAACAATATTGAGTCTTCCTATTCATGAACATGGAATCTCTTTCCATTTATTTAGTTCTTTGATTTTTTCATCAGATTTTTTGTTTTCCTTATATAGATCTTGTGCGTATTTTCTTAGATTTATATGTAAGTATTTCATTTTGGGGGTGCTGATATAAACAGTAATATGGTTTTTTTTAATTTTAAATTCCACTTGTTATTGCTGGTATGTAAGAATGTGATTGACCTTGTGTCCTGTAACCTTGCTATAATGACTTATTGGTTCCAATGGTTTTGTTGCTGTTGTTGTTGATTCTTTCAGATTTTCTACATAGAGGATCATGTCATCTGCAAACAAAGGCAGTTTTATTTCTGCGTTCCCAATGGGTGTACCTTTTGTTTCCTTTTTTTGTCTTATTGCTTTAGCTAAGACTTCCAGAACAATGTTGAAAAGGAATGATGAGAGTGGACATACTTGCCTTGTTCCCAATCTTAGTAGGAAAGCTTCTAGTCTCTTACCATTAAGTATGATAGTAGCAGTTTTTTTTTGTAAATATTCTTTTTCAAGTTGAGGAAGTTCTCAATTCTGAGTTTAATGAGAGTTTTTATCATGAATGGGTGTTGGATTTTGTTAAATGGCTTTTCTGCATCTATTGATATGATCATGTGATTTTTCCTCTATAGCCTGCTGATGTGATGGATGACGTTAATTGGTTTTTAAATGTATAATCAGTCTTGCATACCTAGGATAAATTCCATTTGGTCATAGTATATAATTGTTTTTATACATTATTGGATTTGACTCATCAGTATTTCATTGAACATTTTTCCATCTATGTTCATGACAGATAGGAATCTGTAGTTTTCTTTCCTTGTAATGTCTTTGTCTGGTTTTTGTATTAGGGTGTTGCTGGCCTCATTAAATTGAGTTATAACATATTCTCTCTGCTTCTATTCTCTGCAAGATAATGTAGAGAATTTGTGTCATTTCTTCCTTAAGTGTTATGTAGAACTCACCAGTGAACCCATCCAGGCCTGGCGCCTTCTGTTTGGAAAGGTTATTAACTATTGATTCAATTTCTTTAATAGATACAGGTTTGTTTTGATTGTATATTTCTGCTTGTGTGAGGTTTGGCAGATTGTGTCTTTCAAGAAATTGGCTCATTTTATCTAGGTTATCAAACTGGTGAGCCTAGGGTTGTTCACAGTATTATTTTATTATGCTTTGAATGTCCATGGGGTCTGTAATGATGTCCCCACTTTCATTTATAATATTAATAGGTCATGTTCTCTTTTTTTCCTTAGCTTTGTCCAGAGGCTTATCAACTTTATTGATCTTTTTAATAAACTAGCTTTTGGTTTCAATGATTTTTCTCTATTGATTTCCTGTTTTTAATTTCTGCTCTAATTTGTATTATATATTTTATTCTGCTTACTTAGGGTTTAATGTGCTTTTTTTTTTCTTTTTTCTTTTTTGAGACTGGGTCTCAGTTTTTGCCCAGGCTGGAGTGCAATGGTGCGATCATAGCTCACTGTAATCTCAAACTTGTGCACTCAAGCAATCCTCCCACCTCAGCCTCCTGAGTAGTTGGGACTACAGGCATGCACCACCATACCTGGCTAATTTTTTTTTTTTTTTTTTTTTTTTTTTTGTGGAGGCTTGTCTTGCTATGCTGCCCACACTGGTCTTGAACTCCTGACCTCAAGTGATCTTCCCAGCTCAACCTCCCAAAGTGATGGGATTACAGGTGTGAGCCACCATGCCTACCTAGCCTCTTCTTTTCTAATATTTACATTCAAAGCTATAAATTTCTTCTTTATCACTGATTTTGCTGCAGTACACAAAGTTTGATAAGTTGTGTTTTCATTTTCTTCAAAATATATTTTCAACTTCTCCTGAGATTTTTGACCCATGTGTTATTTAGAAATGTGTTGTTTAATCTCCATGAGTTTTGGCGTTTTCCCATTATCTTTCTATTCTTGATCTCTAGTTTAATTCCATCGTGGTCTGAGAGCAGACATTGTATGAATTCTGTTCTTCTAAATTTGGAAAAGTTTATTTTATGGCCCAGAATGAGATCCATCTTGGTGAATGTTCCATATGAGCTTAAGAAGTATGTGTATCTACTGTTGTTTGGTAAATGTCAGTTATATCCAGTCGATGGTGTTGGTGTTGAGCTCAGCTACGTCCTACCTGTGTGGGGTTTTTATTTCTTTGTTTTGTTTTTTGTTGTTTTTCTTTTGCCTGTGCCTGTTGACAGTTCCATGTTGGAAGCTTCTGTAGTGTCCTGTCCAGAATATATGGGAGTCAATATGGAAACCTATGGAACTCATTGCTATGTTATTTCCCAAGTCTAGGACTCTAGGTTGGTCACCTTTTCTTTCTACTTTCTAGAGGCTTTTTATGCTTTTTTATTATGTTATGCCCAGATTTTTGTTTGTTTCTGTAGTTTGCTTTTTAAAACACTTTAAATTGTGGTAAAATGCATATGACATAAAATTTACTATCTTAATCATTTGCAAGTGTATAGTTCAGTATTGTTAAGTATATTCACATTGTCGTGCAATGTCTCCAGGTTTGTTTAGTTGTAAGGAGAGAGACATGGGAGAAGTAAGGCTACTTCATATTGGTCAGAACCAGAAGTGACCTATAGTATGTTTTCCTGGCTCTTCTTTTATGTTTTATTTTTTTCCATATGGAATTTAGTATCAAATTGTCTAGCAAAATTAAAAAACTTGTTGGTATTTTAAAAATTGAGATTTCATCTTATATGTATAAATTGTTAAACAGAACTGACATCTTTATGATGTTGAGTCCTCCTATTCAAGAGCAAGGTGTGTCTTTCCATTCATTCATGTCTACTTTTGCATCTTTCAGGAGTGTTTTAGAATGTCCTTTGTAGAGGTTTTGTACACTGCATGTCACGTTTATTTCTAAGGATGATTTTTTTTGTAGATAAGGTTTTATTTCCTATTGTGTATTCCCCTTTCATGGTTGTTTGGGAATATGGAATAAACTAGTGACTTTCAAATCTGGATCTTAGCCCTATCACCTGAGCCCAGACCCAGATTTGTGACAGTTCATCCCACCTACCCATTTAGCTAGTCCTCTCATACCTTCAACTCAATGTGTGCAAAGGTCAACTTGTGTTCTTCCCTGATCACTCCAACCCTCACTTGGACACTCACCAGACACTGAATTTATTTCTGACTCATCCCTCTACACCCCCTTACCAGCTAATTGGTCATTCAGTCCTAATAATTCTCTAGCATTCTGGAAGCTATGGTCATGAAATCTATGTGTTAGATGGAACCATCAAGTCATCTATCATAACCTCATTTCTGATGCCTAAATTCACTATTCAACATCCCCATTAAGAAGTTTCATGGCATATGCTTGGACATATATTTCCAGGGACAGGTAACTTACTACCTTATGAGGCAGCCCATTTTATTTCTGGCCATTTTGATCATCACATACTTTTCCATGTATATGTCAGTCAAATCCATCCCCTTCTTTCTAAAATTATCACCCCGTGCTTGCTCAGCACCCACTCCACCCACAGTGACCCTTCTGCAACAGTTCTGCCAGGTTCCAGCACACACAGACTGAAGGGTAAAATTTTTCACCTAATATCCATCGCATTTTGTGATGCTGGCCCCAGCCTACATCTACCACTTCATGGCTTACCACAGAGAGAGGAGAAGAAGGAGAAGGAGGAGAAGGAGAAGAAGAAGAAGAAGAAGAAGAAGAAGAAGAAGAAGAAGAAGAAGAAGAAGAAGAAGAAGAAGAAGAAGAAGAAGAAGAAGAAGAAGAGGAAGAGGAAGAGGAAGAGGAAGAGGAAGAGGAAGAAGAAGAGGAAGAAGAAGAAGAAGAAGACAGGGAACGAAGGAGCAAAAATACACTAGCTTTCCAAAGGTCCATACGAACATTAGTTGTGGATATTCCTTCTTTCCTGCTGTATCAGTGGGGGTTGCAGGGAACTGGGAGCACTGGTATTTTCAGTAGGAAGGCTGTCAGTGATAGTAATTACCCTGGGGTACTCTCAGTGTGGACTCAATAATGGATGCTACTAAGCACTTGACACAATTGGGATATAGAGATATACACACTGCTATCAGACCAATAACTCAATATAACACCAATGACTATAAATACAAAGCAGACTATAGATTACTACCTCCTCCGTGAACTCTCATAGGACATTTCTATGTCCTATGACATAGAAGGTACAGAGTGCTTGCAGCCTTATGGTGTAATTATTTATAGAAGGTTAGTTCCTGTAGGGCAGTTCTTTTTTATCCATGTCTGCATCTCCCACTCTGTCTTCTTCCCTTATCAGAATCTCATGCACTCTTTAGGGTCCCACTCAGATGTCACTTCTGCTGGAAATCTTTCTCTGGTCTCTTTAGCCAGAAGTCAGTCTACAAACACTTCCCTAAGCACCCTCTCTGTGCTAGGTACTGTGCTAAGCACTGAGTATGACATGCTGGTAAACCTTTGGAACTTTCCCTGGAGAAAGTGGGAAGCCACCATATTTTCAAGCAAGGAAGATGGTCAGAGCAGTGTTGTGGAAAGGTTTCTCTACCACAGTATGGAGGACAAATGGGAAAGCCAAGACTGGAGGCAGGGGAAGCCCCCTGGGAGGTGGCTGTGGCAGGAGTCCAGGGAAGAGATGATGAGGATAAACCGGGGCAGTGGAAGGACACAGACCTGGCAGACGGTTGAGAGGCAGAATTAACAGATGGCTATTACTCCAAAGACAGATTTGAATGATGTGTCACTCATACAGAGATGCGGGCTGGAATCTGTGATAGAAATATTATCATCGGCAACTGTGGATGGTATTCAACACAAGGACTTGAATTGGGCTGTGAGTTGAATTGTGTCCCCCAAAACAATACATTGAAATCTTAACCCTTAGAACCCGTGAATGTGAGTTTACTGGGAAATAGGATCTTTGCAGATGTAATCAAGTTAAGAAGAGGCCATTAGGGTAAACCTTAATCCAATATGACTAGTGTAGTTATAAAAAGAGGGAAATTTGGAGACAGAGAAGGACACAGAGACATACAGGGAAGAGAAAGCCATATGAAGACAGAGGGAGAGATAGGAGTGATGCATCTTTAAGGAACACCAAGAACTCTTGGAAGCCACCAGAAGCTAGGAGAGGGCAATGGGGCATGGAGGCCTCAGAGCCTCCAGAAGGAATCAGCCCTGCTAACATCTGGATTTCAGACTTCTGGCTTCCAGAACTGTGAAAGAATGAATTGCTGTTGTTTTAAGCCCCACAGTTTATGGTCATTTGTTATGGCAGCCCCAGCAAATGCATACAAATGGTGCGAAAGAACAATTGAGCAGGCTTTCAGAGGCTATTGAGGGGCTGATGAGGAGACATTCATTTTGTAAAACTCTGGCATTGGTGGTACTCAATCATCTTATATTTAGGACCCAGCCTGCCCTGTTTTCTTGCAGGGAGGTTCGCTCATTAGAATAAAAAGTTGTCACATGCTGTTGTCAGAGAAACAAGACGGTGGCCTAAGAGATCTACAAATTCACTCTGCTCTAGGGCTGAAGTAGCTCCCTCTTGGTCACAGACTGGAAGGGTTCAGCACTCTTTTGTGCAGAATGGAAGTTCCCTGGGGAGGTCAGAACTCAGAACTTCCAGAGGAATGTACTTCTTGCTCTATCTCAGCATCCCTTATCTCATCTCTTATTGTGACAGCTACAGAGACTTCAACTAATTTGAGTTATAGTGAGAGGATTTTGATCTAGAAAGTGGAGAAAAGGCAAAGATGTTAAAAGTCATTGTGGTTTAAGGAGATTTTGGGCTGAGACAATGGGGTTTTCTAGATATACAATCATATCGTCTGCAAACAGGGACAATTTGACTTCCTCTTTTCCTAATTGAATACCCTTTATTTCCTTCTCCTGCCTCATTGCCCTGGCCAGAACTTCCAACACTATGTTGAATAGGAGTGGTGAGAGAAGGCATCCCTGTCTTGTGCCAGTTTTCAAAGGGAATGCTTCCAGTATTTGCCCATTCAGTACGATATTGGCTGTGGGTTTGTCATAGATAGCTCTTATTATTTTGAAATACGTCCCATCAATACCTAATTTATTGAGAGTTTTTAGCATGAAGCGTTGTTGAATTTTGTCAAAGGCCTTTTCTGCATCTATTGAGATAATCATGTGGTTTTTGTCTTTGGTTCTGTTTATATGCTGGATTACGTTTATTGATTTGCATATATTGAACCAGCCTTGCATCCCAGGGATGAAGCCCACTTGATCATGGTGGATAAGCTTTTTGATGTGCTGCTGGATTCGGTTTGCCAGTATTTTATTGAGGATTTTTGCATCAATGTTCATCAAGGATATTGGTCTAAAATTATCTTTTTTGGTTGTGTCTCTGCCTGGCTTTGGTATCAGGATGATGCTGGCCTCATAAAACGAGTTAGGGAGGATTCCCTCTTTTTCTATTGATTGGAATAGTTTCAGAAGGAATGGAACCAGTTCCTCCTTGTACCTCTGGTAGAATTCAGCTGTGAATCCATCTGGTCCTGGACTCTTTTTGGTTGGTAAGCTATTGATTATTGCCACAATTTCAGCTCCTGTTATTGGTCTATTCAGAGATTCAACTTCTTCCTGGTTTAGTCTTGGGAGGGTGTATGTGTCGAGGAGCAACTTCAGCAAAGTCTCAGGATACAAAATCAATGTACAAAAATCACAAGCATTCTTATACACCAACAACAGACAAACAGAGAGCCAAATCATGAGTGAACTCCCATTCACAATTGCTTCAAAGAGAATAAAATACCTAGGAATCCAACTTACAAGGGATGTGAAGGACCTCTTCAAGGAGAACTACAAACCACTGCTCAAGGAAATAAAAGAGGATACAAACAAATGGAAGAACATTCCATGCTCATGGGTAGGAAGAATCAATATCGTGAAAATGGCCATACTGCCCAAGGTAATTTACACATTCAATGCCATCCCCATCAAGCTACCAATGACTTTCTTCACAGAATTGGAAAAAACTACTTTAAAGTTCATATGGAACCAAAAAAGAGCCTGCATCGCCAAGTCAATCCTAAGCCAAAAGAACAAAGCTGGAGACATCACAGTACCTGACTTCAAACTATACTACAAGGCTACAGTAACCAAAACAGCATGGTACTGGTACCAAAACGGAGATATAGATCAATGGAACAGAACAGAGCCCTCAGAAATAATGCTGCATATCTACAACTATCTGATCTTTGACAAATCTGAGAAAAACAAGCAATGGGGAAAGGATTCCCTATTTAATAAATGGTGCTGGGAAAACTGGCTAGCCATATGTAGAAAGCTGAAACTGGATCCCTTCCTTACACCTTATACAAAAATCAATTCAAGATGGATTAAAGACTTAAACATTAGACCTAAAACCATAAAAACCCTAGAAGAAAACCTAGGCATTACCATTCAGGACAAAGGCATGGACAAGGACTTCATGTCTAAAACACCAAAAGTAATGGCAACAAAAGCCAAAATTGACAAATGGGATCTAATTAAACTAAAGAGCTTCTGCACAGCAAAAGAAACTACCATCAGAGTGAACAGGCAACCTACAAAATGGGAGAAAAGTTTCACAACCTACTCATCTGACAAAGGGCTAATATCCAGAATCTACAATGAACTCAAACAAATTTACAAGAAGAAAACAAACAACCCCATCAAAAAGTGGGCGAAGGACATGAACAGACACTTCTCAAAAGAAGACATTTATGCAGCCAAAAAACACATGAAAAAATGCTCACCATCACTGGCCATCAGAGAAATGCAAATCAAAACCACAATGAGATACCATCTCACACCAGTTAGAATGGCGATCATTAAAAAGTCAGGAAACAACAGGTGCTGGAGAGGATGTGGAGAAATAGGAACACTTTTACACTGTTGCTGGGACTGTAAACTCGTTCAACCATTGTGGAAGTCAGTGTGGCGATTCCTCAGGGATCTAGAACTAGAAATACCGTTTGACCCAGCTATCCCATTACTGGGTATATACCCAAAGGACTATAAATCATGCTGCTATAAAGACACATGCACACATATGTTTATTGCGGCATTATTCAAAATAGCAAAGACTTGGAACCAACCCAAATGTCCAACAGTGATAGACTGGATTAAGAAAATGTGGCACATATACACCATGGAATACTATGCAGCCATAAACAATGATGAGTTCATGTCCTTTGTAGGGACATGGATGAAACTGGAAATCATCATTCTCAGTAAACTATCGCAAGAACAAAAAACCAAACACCGTATGTTCTCACTCATAGGTGGGAATTGAACAATGAGAACACATGGACACAGGAAGGGGAACATCACACTCTGGGGACTGTTGTGGGGTGGGGGGAGGAAGGAGGGATGGCATTGGGAGATATACCTAATGCTAGATGACGAGTTACTGGTGCAGCACACCAGCACGGCACATGTATACATATGTAACTAACCTGCACATTGTGCACATGTACCCTAAAACTTAAAGTATAGTAATAAAAAAAAAAGTCATTGTGGTCCATACACTGAAATATGATTCAGCCCCCAAAGGAAATAAAGTACTGATCCATGCTACATCATGGAGGAATCCCCAAAACATGATACTGAGTTTAAGAACCCAGACACAAGAAGTCACATACTGTATGATTCCATTTACATGGAATGTGGCAAATCAGTAAATCATAAGAACAAAAAACAAGTTAGTAGTTGCCAGGGACTGAGGTGGGGTGTGGGGGATGATGAGTGACTGGTAGTGACTAGAGAGTTTTCTTTTGGGGTGACATAAATGTTTTGGAACTAGCTAGAAAGTATAGTTGCACAGCAGTGTGAATGTACTAAATGGCACTGAATTGTAAACATTAAAATGGCCAATTTTATGTTATGTAGATTTTACCTCAACAAAAAAGTCATTGCAGGCTTGAAATCATATTTTTGTACTCAGTTTATGGAAATTGAAGGTCAAATTTGTGGCCCTAAGGAGGGCAGGGCAGTCTTCTCACTTTCAGCTAAGCAGTGGGCAGCACAGACAGCCCAAGTGAGCCAACATTAACTCCCATTTGCCAACATGGAAAGATGAGCAAGGCCAGTCACTGTGGCTCATGCCTGTAGTCTCAGCACTTTGGGAGGCAGAGGCAGGAGGATCGCTTGAACCGAGGAGTCTGAGGTTGCAGTGAGTTGTGATAGTGCCACTGCACTCCAGCCTGGGGTGACAGACTGAGAGAAAGAAAGGAAGAAAGGAAGAAAGAAAGAAAGAGAGAGAGAGAGAGAGAAAGAGAAGGAAAGAAAGAAAGAAGAAAGAAAGGAAAGAAAGAAGAAAGAAAAAGAAAGAAGAAAGAAAAAGAAAGAAAGACAGAGAAAGAAAGAAAAGAAAGAAAGAAAGAAAGAAAGAAAGAAAGAAAGAAAGAAAGAAAGAAAGAAAGAAGAAAGGAAGGAAGAAAGAAGAAGGGAGGGAGGAAGGGAGGAAGGAAGGAAGGAAAGGAAGGAAGGAAAGGAGGGAGGGAGGAAAAGGTAGGAAGGGCAAGGCAGATCAGCCCTTCTGAGAGCCACCACAGGCAGCCCACATGGCAAAACATTTCACAGGACATCTTACTTCTGAATGGATCAACTGCACCCTGTAATGGAAAAAGGTAAAAACTGAAGGGTAAGGAGGCAAGGTCCACTGTATTCATTGGATCTCTACTAAAGGTATCACAAATGATTGTTATTTTAAAGAACAATTTCCTTCATAAACAGCTTCTCTCTAGGCTGTGGCTTCCTGAGAGCCCTTCAGAAAGTACAAGTGAAAATATATTGGAGATTCTCACCCAGAAAGCTAAGAAAGCACAGGGCCATCAGAGCAATGAACAAAGCATGTTAGTACATTATATATGAAAACATTGCACACATTCCCATTTTCTGAGGCTCAGGGATGTCACCAACAACTGCAAGATGAGCTGCTGGGGTGATTATTCTACAGCTTTGTTGAGGTGTAATTGATGTACAGTAAACTGAAAATATCTAAAGTACAATTTGATCAGTTTTGCATATGTGTACACCATCACCCCAGTCAAGATGATGAATATATTCATCAGTCCCCAAAGTTTCCTTGTGGCCCTTTGTAGTCCCTCCCTCTGGCCCCTCTCCATCATCTGCAGGCAACCACTGATCTGTAGTTTGCATTTTCTAGAGTTTTGTATAAATGCAACCATAGAATAGGGAATCCTTTATGCCTGGTTTCTTTCATTCAGCATAATGACTGAGACCCATTCAGGTTGTTGCATGCATATTCATCATTCATTCCTTTCTACAAATTACTGAATAGTATTCTATTATATGAATTATACCACAATTTATTTATCTATTTACCTGTTGATGGGCATTTGGATTGTTTTCTGGTTTGGGGTGACTACAAATACAGCTGCTATCAACGTAGCTATACAGGTGTTTGTATGGACATACACTTTCATTAGTCTTTGGCAAATACCCAGCAGTAGAATGCTTGGGTTATATGGTGTACGTTTAACTTTTAAAGAAATTCCCAAATTGTTTCTTTCAAAGTAGTTGTACAATATTACATTCCAGCACTGGTGTAATTGTTTAAAAATCCATGGCTCTCTATGGAGTTGGCAGAGGTTCATGATTTTTCACACATGTTCTGCAGCAAATTAGACATTGGGCTGGATCCAGAAATAACCTGTGACCTGATTCTGGAGGCTATATTATTACACATGATTGGGAGGAGGGTCAAGTGGTGAAGGGAAAACTGGATGTGGGGAATAGGGCTGCATTGGGAATAGGGGGCCATCAAAAGGAGTCAAACTAGGTCCTTTGAGGGGAAGGCTGACAGCTGCAGGTGGATGAAGGAAGGGAGGGGACAGCCAAGTGTTCAGAGCCCCTGATTGCCTGCCTAAGGAATTGGAACTCCCTGAAGAATGAATGGGCAGTTTTTCTGGGCACTCACTTCCAGATCCTGGAGCCCACCTGTGCAGCCATGTTATTGCCTGGATCTGGGAACCCATCGCAATGGGACAGGATATACTTGGCCTATAACTTGGAATAAGCTAGAAAGAGAGGGTGGTTGTGATGTTATATGTTTTCCACGCTTTGAGCACTTACTGTTTTTTACAGCCCTTCTTCTCTTTTCTTATCATCTCTTTAGAGGTCAGTTGGAGAGAGGCAAAGTGGGGAGTAGACGAGGCTTAATATCAGCGAATTCCTCACCTTACAGAGGCCCCCTGCTGGACAGAGGCCTTTGTGCTGGGCATTCTGAGGCTCTGGAGGTGTGTCAGAAGGTGCCTGAGGACTGTCAAAGTGGGGGAGCAAAAAGAATGCCAGACCTGGAGTCAGGAGACTTCCACTCTAAGGTCACCAACCCTCCCCAGCGTGGCCATTTTCAGCTCCTCTGCTCCTGAGAGCAGACTCTGACCATCCTTGGATTTAAAGTGATGGGGTGAGAGGGTGGGATGAGGAGGAAGAGAAAGGTCTTGAACGTTTATTCAGCCTACCCTCTTGGCCAGGCATATGTGCTGTGTGTCTTTCGCATCATGCTAAGAACTATGACAACAGTTGATCTTTACTGAGTTCTCCCTCTGGATTGAACATGGTGCTTAGGACCTTATAGTGTCTCTTTTTAACCCTCGCAGCATCTGATGGGTAGATGCTATTATTGCCTCCATTTTACAAAGGAGGACACTAAGGCACAGAAAGGGTAAAAGCCTCACCCCCATCACATAGCAGGTAATGGAAGAGCTGGGAAAAAAAAAAGAAAGGAAATCTTTCCCAGACAGATGCAATCTAAAAGTACAAGTCAGAAAGGAAAGGCACACTGCTCCAGACCCCATCACCTCAAAGAGCCTTCATTGTGAGGTAGAAATGACCAAAACCAAGTAACCCCACATCCCAAGCTGCAGCTTCAGCTTGTTAGTCTGTTGAAATACAGGTGTCCCTGGGCTCATGATCCCTGATGGTCAAGTCAAGCAGACGTGGGTCCCATAGTCCTTGGAAGACCCCCACCATTGATATTTTTCCATCAAGATAGTAACACACATGTTCTAGAATTTCTCTTTGGCACACATTGGCTGGGTTTGGGGCCCTTCATTTTGGCCTCAAATGAAGGCCTGGAGCCCTACCAAGGGAAATTCAGGCAGAGGCAGAAGAGCAGAGCCACCCTGGTATGATTCAGCCCCAAGAGGATGAGACAGTACCCCTAGAAGAGTGGTCGAGGGTCTGACTCAGCTTCTCCCCTGCCCCTCCTTCATTTGCGCTCTCCACTTCATTTTCATCTCTGAAAGCTTCTTCTCAGCCATTTCCCAGGAAGGACTGACTCATGGCTCCCAAACTCTCTCAGTGGGGAAAAATGGTGGAGTGCCCATCGACTATTACAGGCGACGGCTGTGTCCTCTGTCCATATGGGCCCAGCCATTCCGGAACTCAAACATAAAGCTCTCAGGAGAACCTCTCTAACTGGCCATAAAAAGTTTCATTATACCTGAAGAGGAAGCAGAGAGGCTATAGATTCATGGATGCCCTCGATTTTCTGGTGAAACTTAATGACCCCATCTCAGGAAAAAAATAATAATAATAAATAAATGTTTTTAAAAGCATAAAATAAAACAATGGGATCAAAATAGTTATTAACATATTAACAAAACAAATTTGCGATATATTAATTTATGTGCTTCTTAACTCATTAAATAAGACCTAGCAGTAGGTCTCATAATTACTGTAATTTCAAGGTAGTGATATTTGAAGATTCCTGCTATGACTGTAATGTGAAATTAAAATATCTATGATTTCTCTTGGCGACAAAGTCACAGATTATGTAAATACTACTGTGGTTTGTTGCCAACATGCATAATTGAAGAAAGGCTGAATTTCAATTAGAGGTTAGTGAAAACAGAAATATAATTTTTTCCTCATTCAAGTTTACAGACTCCCTGAATTCTATCCTTGAATCCTAGGATAAGATCACCTGCTAAAGAAACACTGAAACCTATTTGATTACTTAGGCTTTTTTTTTCCTGATTCCTCAGCTAAGCCAAACTGTTGTCCTTACCACTTTTTCTGATACTGTGTTTTCTTCTTACTGCCAAAGCACAACCAAGGAGCTTAGGTTCTAGTCCTAGCTCACCCACTTACAAGCTGTGTGACTTTGAATGAGTTGCTGAATCTGTTTGAACATCAGTTTTCTCCTCTGTGAAATGGGGATACTAATAGTACCTACTTCTTGGTATTGATTAAATGAAATGCTTGTAAAACATTCTGGCACTCTGTTAGCACATAGAGGTTAGTTTAGCCACAATAATTAATGTTGGGGAAAGAGTTTATAAACCAAAAGGTAGCATGTGTGTGTTGATCATTATAACAATCTGTCTTATTCTTATGTGATTTCTCTCTTTGCTGGCTCTATGATCCCAGAGTGGAGAGCATAGGAAACATACAGGCAGAGGAGGGGACAGTGGTGGGCTAGAGTTATCTCAAACGGGCTCCCAAAAGCCAACTGTTATGTTTTCAGGAATTTTGCAAGGTGGGTGACATCATGTTGGTAGCTAGAAATCGGCCACAACAAGAGTATTTACAACACGGCAGTCAGTGCTATCACTTTAATCAGAGCTTTTTTTTTTTCCTCCTAGAGAGCCCCTTGTTAAACACTTCACAGTGCATCACTGGGAGAGGGTGACTGGGGCGCCGCTCTTATCAAAATGATGGTGAGGCCACCTGTACTATATCTGGGGAAAATGAAACATCAAATGGATTTCAGGGGCAAAAACATTAAATATTCTTTGTGGTCCAAGTTAATTTAATTTGCTCTCCATTTTTTTTTCATCTTTTTCTTGATTAATGCTCTCAGTTCTTGACAATTACTTCCATTTCATCAATTCTACAAAAAGAGTCTGTTTTGAGATAAGAAAAAAAGAATCTCTGTTCCCTTTATCTGCAGAGTGAAATATACTTTACTTAAAATCCAACATTTCTATATATTAGTAACTTGCCTCCATGTCAACTTTTATCTGTAAGAGTCTACTGCATCTTTCCCAGAGAGTGTTGCAAAGGCACAGAGCAGAAAAGTGAGTTTACTGATTATGCAGCCCTGTTGGTGTTACTTGAGTCCAAATGTTGGCTTAGATGGTGTTTTCAGAACTCCTAAGTGGATGTTTATGTCTGCAAATGGAAGCACTGAGTAGCTAGATTTTCAGGGCCAACGCGGGGGAGTCAGTCCTGAGTGGTGGTTTGCTCAATCATTGGCATTTGGTTGCATGAGCTGTTTTCAAATGTGCCTCTGCTACCTTGACAGTCCTGTAAGCCACTTGTATATGCTGTTCTCCATCTGTTAAGTATGCTAACACACAATGGAGAAAGGAAATAAGATAGGGAGTGGCAAAGGAAAAAACTTAAAGCTATGAAGATGTGGAATCTGGCGGAGAAGAATGGCTATAGAGTCGTGGGCTCCCATGAGTCCTGGAAGGGACTAGACAACCTCTTCTGCGGGGCTGCTATACAGGTGCTCCAACAGGGAAGGCATGTCACTAAATTTGCTCTGGCCTTGAGTTGTTCCATGGAGACTTTGGGTGGCTGTTGAGCTATTGGCCCAATGCTATCCCCACGAGGATTCCATTTCTCTTGGATTGTGTTGGGTTTTATGCAATGTGGTTACAGTCAGTGTGGTGCTTCAGAGTGTCTCAAGCTTACCTTTGCTGGGTAGTCAGCATCATTGTGCTCCATGCGCCAGTTCATGTCTCTGGCTTTTCCCCTTGTTAAGACCCCATTCAATTGAATAAGGCTGCCTGTGGCAGGCAGGCCTGGCAGGCTGCCGTGGCTGGACTTGAGAAAAGTGAGGACTACAAGCCTAAAGCCAAGCTCGCGATTGGAGGCCCGCCCATCTGATCAGTTCTGGTCTCTCAGTGGGAAGTTCAACCCCTCACCCCAGATAAGTATTGCATGTCTGAAAAAGGCTTTGAAGAGAGATGCAAAGGGCTTAAGGGTGCACTGGGACATTAATATTATGATTACCTAAAGACAGTAAGGAGCCAGGGATGTGAACCATTGCTGCCAGAATGGGATCTGGTTTCTGAAAGCAAAGGTGATAAAATTAGCATCCAGCCACTTGACTAGTCCACACTCATCCTTTCCTCTGATAATGGCATGGCTGGTATACTTCATTCAGATAGTCACTGGCTCGGCCGGCTCTCCACTAAACGGGGCTCTCAGAAGCAAACCAAACAGTATCCACTTGTATGTGTTTATGCCTGTGGCAATTTCAGATTGTTCCTGTCAAAATGTACCTGTTTTCCAAAATGTCTTTTTAAATCCAAGTTTCACATTTGTGGGGAGGTGGGGGAAGTAATTAACATTTTATAAAGTAAGCTGGAGAAACTGGCTCCTATAATTGACATAGAAATGGTATGTGGATATTGCTGTCAGAAATTGAGCAGGACCTTGAACCTGATAGTAGTGAGCCCAGGCCTAGGAACTGGGTGTGTTCCTTGATCTCTTGTTTGTTCTGGGCCCTGATAGGAAAGGAACTCCCTGGAGGTCGCAGACCTTGGTCCCACCTTACATTGTTTGTCATTCAGAGAGGACACTGAAGCTCAGAAGAAGTCAGGAGCTGGCTCAAGGCCCCACAGCAACGAAGCAGTAAAGCCTCTCAAAAGCCAGCCTCTTGACTCCTAGGCCAGCTCTTAAGTCTACCCCAGTAGAATGTCTGGCACCTTTATAGGTCCCTTTGTTCTCTGCTACCCAACTGCATTTGCATTGAAGTTAGTAATTTTTTAAGGTTGGCATTCTTTCCAGAGCCATTTGCCACAAGGGGGAATTCTTGCACTCACTCATTAATTTATCATTGTGCACCTGCCACATGCCAGGCTGGCTTCTACGGACTGGACATTCAGCATGAGTCTCCTATTTTGGAGGGGAGAGACAGACAGAAAAACAATCAGCATTGTTTTCTGCACCATGACAATGTTTCACTCCATCCAGCAGCTATCATCACAGTGGCCAGGTTTCCCTCTGCTAGGACTGGAATGGAGGCTTGGAGGAAGACAGTGCCACTAGCTAACATCGGTAGGGCTTACCACATGTCAACAACTGTTCTAAGCATATTACAGATGTGCCTTTGATCCTCACCACATCCTTACAAGGCAGATGCTATTATTATCATCTCTCTTTTACAGATGAGGAAATAGATAAACACAGAGAGGTTGAATATCTTCCTGCAAGGCCACACAGCTCATCAGTGGCAGAGCTAAGATTCAAACACAGACCACTGGGTGCCAGAGTTCAGCTTGAACCACCTGACTACACTGCCTGTCAGGATGGCTTAGAACAAGCTTGTCCAACCCATGGCCGGTGGGCTGTGTGGAGCCCAGGATGGCTTTGGATGCGGCCCAACACAAATTTGTAAACTTTGTTAAAACATTATGAAGTTTTTTTTGATTTTTTTAGCTCATCAGTTATTGTTAGTTTTAGTGTATTTTATGTACGGCCCAGGACAATTCTTCTTCCACTGTGGCCCAGGGAAGTAAAAAATTGGACACCCCTGGCTTAGAGTCTAAAGCCTCTCCTGCATTCCCAGACCCCGCTAAGTCCAAGGAGGCATACCAGCCAGGCCAGGGTCCTCCCTACTAAGGGTAAGCACCTTCACTCTGGAAGGAAGTCAGAGGCAGCCATGTACTGGCTAGGTATCGCCAGGCCTGACCAGTGCTCCGTTCCCCTTCCTCAGCCAAAGTGCTTTCCTCTGGGATAGGAACCACAGCCCCATTTGCTTCACAGGATGGTTGTGAGGCTCCAGGGAGCTGGCTCCAATTACACCAGCCCCTGTCCCCCACAAGTTTGCCAGCACTGATGGCCCCCCACCCCAACTCTGGATTCCAAGCTGGGACATCAGGTTTAGCAGAGGATGATAGATTGTTGCCTTGCTTGATGAGTTCTTTGCCACTGCTCCCTGTGCTTTGGAGCAGTCTTGCCAGCAGCAAGTCCAGTTCAGCCTTTGGTATGCACAATGCCTCTTGGCCTCCAACCACCTGGAAAAGCTCTAGCTGAGGCCGCTTTAATGAACAGAGGGGATATGTACAAGTAGGACCAGAGGTTGCTCAGAGGCTGTCTGTCATGTCTAGGATGCTGCCACCACATCCCACATTGCCCCAATCTCAAGATTTCCCTAAAAACCTGCCCAGTGAGACCCTTTGCTGCCAAGGACACTTTCTCTGGCTGATTTCCTTGCTTCCCCGGTCCCAGCAAGCCACCTGTCAGGAGTTGTGAGCCCCAGAAGCAGAAACTAAACTTACTTATTGACAGGAACAGCAGGCAGGCTGCCAGTGAATGGAATTCACTTCATTTAACTGGCCTGTTTGCTGTGCAAATCACATGATTTTTAGTCAAATTTAGGGAATAAAAATTTAATAATTAAAACCATATGATCGAGAACCATATTTTTAAAAGTTAATGATTTAAAGTGCCCCCACAAAATGTTCTAAAACTAAAATGGTGTTTGTGTGGGGATACAGATTTTCATAGAAGGAAACATAATCAAACACTTATTAAGAAGAGAGAAGTCCATGTGTCAGCATGTTGACAATACTGGGATTCTATTTTGTACTTTTGGCTACAAACAACAATGTGAAGGCTCTGAGACTCGTGACTTGACATCCAAACACATCAAAACAATTAGGAGTGTGAGAGGGAAAGATTTCAGTTCTCCCTGAAATCTCATACCTAACTAACTGGGAACAACATGTGAAGCTCTCCCCAGTCTTCCTTGCATTGTACCCCCACCCCTCCAGGCTTCCCCTAAGCTTCAAGCACTGACACAGACGGAGAAACCACCTGCACTCCCTGCAAATCTACCTCTTCAGCTCCATCATCAGGCTCTTTCCCTTCTTGCATCCCTCAAGATGGACTCTACATCTTAGCTGGCTCTCCACCAGCTGAAACCTTTTAGGTGCTTCTTGCCAGTTCTTCCACTGGTCCAGCCATACTTCTCACTGGCATCTCAAGCTCAACCCCATAGACTCCATGTGGACTGATGGAGTTTGCCTTAAGCCCTTACAGAGTTGTTACAACTTCCCCCACTAACTTGATTTCACGGCTACCCTTTATTTCCTCGCCCTCTCTTCCCCGCCCCATCCATAAACAGCCTTACGAGTTTTTGTTTGTTTTTTTGTTTGTTTGTTTTTTTTAATGAAACAGGGTCTCATTCTGCTGTTATTTAGGCTGGAGTGCAGTGGCACACTCACAGCTCAGTGCAAACTCGACCTCCTGGGCTCAGGTCATCCTCCCACCTCAGCCTCCCACATAGCTGGGACTAGAGGCGCCCACCACCATGCCCAGCTAATATGTTTTTTGTGTATTTTTTGTAGAGGTGGGATTTCCCTATGTTGCCCAGGCTGGTCTTGGAACCCTTGGGCTCAAGTGATCTGCCTGCCTCAGCCTCCTAAAGGGCTGGGATTACATGCCTAGACCACTGTGCCTGGCCTGCTTTTAAGTTAAGGTAAGTACTATTAATTTTACTCCTATCACAACTCTCCTTTAGCTACCTGAGGCATTGCAAACCTGACTTGGACATTTTTGGGGTGTTCACTTGCTGGTATCTGTATTTCTTGTTACTGTGGGTGATCAGATCACCGCTCCTACTTATTCATGGATCTTGAGAGATCATCTGAGATGTCTTTTTGCTTACAGACCACTCAGTTGCCCTTACTTGACTTCTCTTCCACAGTATTTCTTGAATCCTTCCCTTCTGTGTAAGTGTCATATGGTCGCTGTTTTGGAAATGCAATGATGGAAGCTCAGCCATCACTGGAAATCTGTGGGCCCAGGGCAATTCATAAGCCTGGACATTGATGAGTTTGCTACGGAGGTGCAGCTTCTCCCTTTCCACGCTACCCAGGAACACTGTTTGAGAACAAAAGACTGAATCAGGAATGCAAAGAGAAGCACGAGGCAGGGGAGAAGAGAAGAAACCCTGTTCCACTAAAAAGAAACAAACAGTTGAAGGCTCATCACACCAAGAAGAGGAAAGGGGAGAGGTAGCAGCTTCTTCAGGAGAGGCAGCAGCACCTGATGAATGCAACCTATCTATATGAATCACAACCAGAGTCAGGGGGAAAGGGGGAAGGGGTGGGAGGAGCTACAAGAATGTACCCCTGAAAGAGAAAAGAGATAAAGAGACACCACACCCCTGGAGTCCCTGAATAGCAAAGAGACTGTCATACCCCACAGAAGGAGAAACCAGAGTCTTTGGAGAAAAGTTTCAGGCTTCTTCATAGAATAGGAGAATGATCTTTAATGTACAAAGGATAGAACTCCTCAGTTGGCCTTGAAGTCTGTGATGGAGGAAGTGATTGTGAGAGAACTGCCTGGTCATCGATGGCCAGGGCAAACGACATGCTAGGGTGCTGAGGGAGAGAGAGAGAGAGCACTTGCTAACAAGACTGTGAGCTTTTATCATGGAGCATTAAGGAACCACAGAAAACTGCAAAAAAAAAAAAAAAAAAAAGAGCCATAAACTACTAGATGGGCATGTACTGCCAAATTTCCGAAGGAAAATTCCTTTAACTGAATATCTTATGTAGCTATGGTTTGCTTGATGTGGCCCCCCTGGAAAAATTCAGGAACATACTATTAAAAGAATAGTGAGTGAGTGCTTAGAAAAGGAAGCCAGCGCAAAGTGTGTTTAAGACAAAAGCAAAAAAGAGCTCATTAGGAGTAGCTTGCTGTGTTAGAATAGCTTACCTTTTTTGTTGGAAGAGCTCACCAGGCAGGTGGATCACAGAAAAGCAGGCAAGTGTTTTTGAACCTCAGCAAAGCACTAGGCAGCATCTGTTGTAAAATCTTCATTTACAGCCCAGTTATGTGATTGCGTAACCAATTAAAAGACTGAATCTAAAGGCCATGGATAATGGATTAACACCCTCCCTTACAGAGAGGGACCTGGAGGCAAGTCCCAGGGCTGCCTCCCGGCTTCCTTCACTTTTTCTCAATGATCTGGAGGAGGATTGAGAATTCACTCTTACCACATTTGCCCCTGAGATAGTGCCAGAAGGTGATGAGTTCTCTGTAGCATGAAATTGAGATCCAAAAAGATCTTGACGAGCTCAAGATGGTCATGGGAAATTTAACAGGGATAAATGGCAAGTTCTACATTTGGGTTATCTGCTGAAGTATAGTGTGGAGGAAATGTGGCTTGAGAAAAAAACTAGGGACTGTTAATTGCAGTCATCTTGGTATAATTCAGCGGTGAGCTGGGCCTGCCAGCAATCCAGTACCATCATCTCAGGCTGCTCTACAAACTATGACCTGTAGGCATCAGGGTGAAGGTGCTGCTTTTTGACAACCCTTAAGCATGGAGCTCAGTTCATATCAGTCATATAGACAAGTAGAGGTATCCAGGCTCTTGAGACACCAGGGTGATGAGGAGGCTTATAACTGCATGCATGCATGCAGCCAGTGAATGATCTCCCTGGGCTGAGACTTGAACCCAGGGCTCCCAGTTCCAACTTCAGCGCTTTTTAGAGAACATCTGTGCAAGACTCAGCAGGCAGCATGTCTGCTGCATACTGGATACCAAGCCATGGATTCATTTTATTCTGATTCTTCTGGGTATATTGACAAATGCTGTGAGAATTGGAAAACATTTTAATGGAAAGCAAAGACCCTATTGACCTTCGCAGATGTGTGGGCTACCCCCTCTAACTTCCAATGCCCAAGAGAAACTCAGCAGAAATACTCTCTCATAAAAAGCAATTTCTTAAACGAATATAAAATGAATTCCATAAACCGCCAGAGGCATCTTCATCATTTAAAAGGTAAGCGTCATTAAAACAATACCTTTCAGATGCATTAAGGTTACATCGTTAACAGGACTTTACTGTACCTTAACTTTGAATACAGAATGCAATACAGAATGAAAAGTTTGTCTCTTTTCTATACCTTTTCTACAATTCTCTCATACTTGCTTTGCATAAGCAAAAAGAGGAAGGATGAGTACTGGAATCAGTATGACATAGGCAGCTTGATTAGATGAATAAACAAATGGCTAATTGGATGAATGAACTGCAAAGTCTTGGCACACAACTGCTTATTCGGAGTGTTTCTGAATTGATAATCAACTATGCTTACAGTCGAGGAATGGTAGTGGATGACATTCCACTGGACAGCTCTGTGGGTCTGAAACATGTTAAAGTAACATGCCTTTCAAGCTCTAGCTGTGTGAATCCTTAAACCCCAGAAATATAAGTTTGTATTTGACCCAAAATGGAGTTAAATATTTATCCTTGAAGGAATTGGAGCAAAAAAGGCTATCAAAGTTGTGGAGGTGCTACAGATTTCGATTTTGGAGAAATCAGTTCAGAAGAAATAAATACAATGGACAAAGTCAAGCTCAGGAGAAACTAGAGCTGCTTACTCTCTGGCTGGCTCAAGATGTCTCTTCAGGTGAGCACAGTTGACTGGGGGCCCCTGAGAAGAATGGAATAAGCCTGAAACCAGATGTTGGTCGTTTTCCTGGAACTTCCTCCTCCTAGTTAACTAGCACATTGCACATGTGGCCTCAACAGTTATAAGCTTTGTCCAGGGGCATGTTTTCCTGTTGACTCCAGGAGGAGAGTTTTGGTTTTTTTCAAATGTCTTGTTCACCCTGATATGAGCTCTTGGGCTTATGGGATAGAATAGTTTTGAGCAACGGATCAAATGATTTACATCTAAGATCTGCTTGGGACTCGGCAGGTTCTCCTTTGCTCACCATAGATCACAACAATGGAACTTTGTGTTTGATAAATAGGGGAACTCGACGTAACACAGGCAATAGAAATAGAATCATATTGTTTTAACTGTGGAAATAAACTCTTCCTAATTTCAACCAGGGTAGCCTGTTGAAAGTGTTCATGTCAGTTTTCCCTTCCAGCTCTCTTAGAAGCCAAAAGCTGGCTGGCTGCAAAACACTCGTCTTGTCTATTTATCATGCCATGCAACAGAATGGCTGCCTATAAAATTGCATTTGTCTTTAATGCCTGCTTGTATGCGTTTGGTTGCTTACGTTTTCGAAGGGAAGTGTCTGGGAACCATTTCCGAAATGCGCAGCAATTTTCCCACTGTCTTTGGAAACCAGAGCCATTGTTGCCAACTCACAATAGATACATATCTTGAAAATTAAATTGTTCCCTCCAAAGCTGGTGGTAGCAGCCTTCTCTGTTTTCTTTCATTTGTGAAATAATATCTAAAATATTTGCAAAGAAGTGGTTCCAAGAATGGAGATAATTTATTTCATCATTATAAGTAATGAAAGCACATTTTCTTCACATGAGATGGGATTTCACATGAAGTCTCTAAGCGCAACACTACGGTTTTTTTCCTATTATTCTAAATCCATCTAAAGAGTGGAATGTATTAAGGAAGACAACTTAAATGTGAACTCTTCACAAATCTTTTCTTGCCTCACATAGTCTTTTTTCTTTCTTTCTTTCTTTTTTTTTATTATACTTTAAGTTTTAGGGTACATGTTCACATTGTGCAGGTTAGTTACATATGTATACATGTGCCATGCTGGTGTGCTGCACCCACTAACTCGTCATCTAGCATGAGGTATATCTCCCAATGCTATCCCTCCCCCCTACCCCACCCCACAACAGTCCCCAGAGTGTGATATTCCCCTTCCTGTGTCCATGTGATCTCATTGTTCAATTCCCACCTATGAGTGAGAATATGCAGTGTTTGGTTTTTTGTTCTTGTGATAGTTTACTGAGAATGATGATTTCCAATTTCATCCATGTCCCTACAAAGGACATGAACTCATCATTTTTTATGGCTGCATAGTATTCCATGGTGTATATGTGCCACATTTTCTTAATCCAGTCTATCATTGTTGGACATTTGGGTTGGTTCCAAGTCTTTGCTATTGTGAATAGTGCCGCAATAAACATACGTGTGCATGTGTCTTTATAGCAGCATGATTTATTGTCCTTTGGGCATATACCCAGTAATGGGATGGCTGGGTCAAATGGTATTTCCAGTTCTAGATCCCTGAGGAATCTCCACACTGACTTCCACAATGGTTGAACTAGTTTACAGTCCCACCAACAGTGTAAAAGTGTTCCTATTTCTCCACATCCTCTCCAGCACCTGTTGTTTCCTGACTTTTTAATGATCGCCATTCTAACTGGTGTGAGATGGTATCTCATTGTGGTTTTGATTTGCATTTCTCTGATGGCCAGTGATGATGAGCATTTTTTCATGTGCTTTTTGGCTGCATAAATGTCTTCTTTTGAGAAGTGTCTGTTCATGTCCTTCACCCACTTTTTGATGGGGTTGTTTGTTTTTTTCTTGTAAATTTGTTTGAGTTCATTGTAGATTCTGGATATTAGCACTTTGTCAGATGAGTAGTATCTGAATGATGCTGGCCTCATAAAATGAGTTAGGGAGGATTCCCTCTTTTTCTATTGATTGGAATAGTTTCAGAAGGAATGGTACCAGTTCCTCCTTGTACCTCTGGTAGAATTCGGCTGTGAATCCATCTGGTCCTGGACTCTTTTTGGTTGGTAGGCTATTGATTATTGCCACAATTTCAGCTCCTGTTATTGGTCTATTCAGAGATTCAACTTCTTCCTGGTTTACTCTTGGGAGAGTGTATGTGTCCAGGAATTTATCCATTTCTTCTAGATTTTCTAGTTTATTTGCATAGAGGTGTTTGTAGTATTCTCTGATGGTAGTTTGTATTTCTGTGGGATCGGTGGTGATATCCCTTTTATCATTTTTTATTGCGTCTATTTGATTCTTCTCTCTTTTCTTCTTTATTAGTCTTGCTAGTGGTCTATCAATTTTGTTGATCCTTTCAGAAAACCAGCTCCTGGATTCATTAATTTTTTGAAGGGTTTTTGTGTCTCTATTTCCTTCAGTTCTGCTCTGATTTTAGTTATTTCTTGCCTTCTGCTAGCTTTTGAATGTGTTTGCTCTTGCTTTTCTAGTTCTTTTAATTGTGATGTTAGGGTGTCAATTTTGGATCTTTCCTGCTTTCTGTTGTGGGCATTTAGTGCTATAAATTTCCCTCTACACACTGCTTTGAATGCGTCCCAGAGATTCTGGTATGTTGTGTCTTTGTTCTCATTGGTTTCAAAGAACATCTTTATTTCTGCCTTCATTTCGTTATGTACCCAGTAGTCATTCAGGAGCAGGTTGTTCAGTTTCCATGTAGTTGAGCGGTTTTGAGTGAGATTCTTAATCCTGAGTTCTAGTTTGATTGCACTGTGGTCTGAGAGACAGTTTGTTATAATTTCTGTTCTTTTACATTTGCTGAGGAGAGCTTTACTTCCAACTATGTGGTCAATTTTGGAATAGGTGTGGTGTGGTGCTGAAAAGAATGTATATTCTGTTGATTTGGGGTGGAGAGTTCTGTAGATGTCTATTAGGTCCGCTTGGTGCAGAGCTGAGTTCAATTCCTGGGTATCCTTGTTGACTTTCTGTCTCGTTGATCTGTCTAATGTTGACAGTGGGGTGTTAAAGTCTCCCATTATTAATGTGTGGGAGTCTAAGTCTCTTTGTAGGTCACTCAGGACTTGCTTTATGAATCTGGGTGCTCCTGTATTGGGTGCATATATATTTAGGATAGTTAGCTCTTCTTCTTGAATTGATCCCTTTACCATTATGTAACTGCCTTCTTTGTCTCTTTTGATCTTTGTTGGTTTAAAGTCTGTTTTATCAGAGACTAGGATTGCAACCCCTGCCTTTTTTTGTTTTCCATTTGCTTGGTAGATCTTCCTCCATCCTTTTATTTTGAGCCTATGTGTGTCTCTGCACATGAGATGGGTTTCCTGAATACAGCACACTGATGGGTCTTGACTCTTTATCCAATTTGCCAGTCTGTGTCTTTTTATTGGAGCATTTAGTCCATTTACATTTAAAGTTAATATTGTTATGTTTGAATTTGATCCTGTCATTATGATGTTAGCTGGTTATTTTGCTTGTTAGTTGATGCAGTTTCTTCCTAGTCTCGATGGTCTTTACATTTTGGCATGATTTTGCAGCGGCTGGTACCAGTTGTTCCTTTCCATGTTTAGTGCTTCCTTCAGGAGCTCTTGTAAGGCAGGCCTGGTGGTGACAAAATCTCTCAGCATTTGCTTGTCTGTAAAGTATTTTATTTCTCCTTCACTTATGAAGCTTAGTTTGGCTGGATATGAAATTCTGGGTTGAAAATTCTTTTCTTTAAGAATGTTGAATATTGGCCCCCACTCTCTTCTGGCTTGTAGGGTTTCTGCCGAGAGATCCGCTGTTAGTCTGATGGGCTTCCCTTTGAGGGTAACCCGACCTTTCTCTCTGGCTGCCCTTAACATTTTTTCCTTCATTTCAACTTTGGTGAATCTGACAATTATGTGTCTTGGAGTTGCTCTTCTCGAGGAGTATCTTTGTGGCATTCTCTGTATTTCCTGAATCTGAACGTTGGCCTGCCTTGCTAGATTGGGGAAGTTCTCCTGGATAATATCCTGCAGAGTGTTTTCCAACTTGGTTCCATTCTCCCCATCACTTTCAGGTACATCAATCAGACGTAGATTTGGTCTTTTCACATAGTCCCATATTTCTTGGAGGCTTTGCTCATTTCTTTTTATTCTTTTTTCTCTAAACTTCCCTTCTCGCTTCATTTCATTCATTTCATCTTCCATTGCTGATACCCTTTCTTCCAGTTGATCGCATCGGCTCCTGAGGCTTCTGCATTCTTCACGTAGTTCTCGAGCCTTGGTTTTCAGCTCCATCAGCTCCTTTAAGCACTTCTCTGTATTGGTTATTCTAGTTATACATTCTTCTAAATTTTTTTCAAAGTTTTCAACTTCTTTGCCTTTGGTTTGAATGTCCTCCCATAGCTCAGAGTAATTTGATCGTCTAAAGCCTTCTTCTCTCAGCTCGTCAAAGTCATTCTCCATCCAGCTTTGTTCCGTTGCTGGTGAGGAACTGCGTTCCTTTGGAGGAGGAGAGGTGCTCTGCTTTTTAGAGTTTCCAGTTTTTCTGTTCTGTTTTTTCCACATCTTTGTTGTTTTATCTACTTTTGGTCTTTGATGATGGTGATGTACAGATGGGTTTTTGGTGTGGATGTACTTTCTGTTTGTTAGTTTTCCTTCTAACAGAGAGGACCCTCAGCTACAGGTCTGTTGGAGTACCCTGCCATGTGAGGTGTCAGTGTGCCCCTGCTGGGGGTGCCTCCCAGTTAGGCTGCTCGGGGGTCAGGGGTCAGGGACCCACTTGAGGAGGCAGTCTGCCCGTTCTCAGATCTCCAGCTGTGTGCTGGGAGAACCACTGCTCTCTTCAAAGCTGTCAGACAGGGACATTTAAGTCTGCAGAGGTTACTGCTGTCTTTTTGTTTGTCTGTGCCCTGCCCCCAGAGGTGGAGCCTACAGAGGCAGGCAGGCCTCCTTGAGCTGTGGTGGGCTCCACCCAGTTCGAGATTCCCGGCTGCTTTGTTTACCTAATCAAGCCTGGGCAATGGCGGGCGCCCCTCCCCCAGCCTCGCTGCTGCCTTGCAGTTTGATCTGACTGCTGTGCTAGCAATCAGCGAGACTCCGTGGGCGTAGGACCCTCCGAGCCAGGTGCGGGATATAATCTCGTGGTGCGCCGTGTTTTAAGCCCGTGGGAAAAGCACAGTATTCAGGTGGGAGTGACCCGATTTTCCAGGTGCCGTCAGTCACCCCTTTCTTTGACTCAGAAAGGGAACTCCCTGACCCCTTGCGCTTCCCAGGTGAGGCAATGCCTCGCCCTGCTTCGCTCGCGCACGGTGCACGCACCCACTGACCTGCACCCATTGTCTGGCACTCCCTAGTGAGATGAACCCGGTACCTCAGATGGAAATGGAGAAATCACCCGTCTTCTGCGTCGCTCACGCTGGGAGCTGTAGACCGGAGCTGTTCCTATTCAGCCATCTTGCCATTTTTCTTCTTTCTTTCTTTAATGGCTATTCTGGTTCTTCTCTTAACTCACTGCTACTTTTGGCCACTTGTTAAACACTCTTTCTCTCCCTACCCACCTTCTTAGGTAGTTTTCTCTGTTGGACTTACCACCAGTATAATTGGAGACAGAGGCTAGACATGTATGCAAACCTATAGGGACATCCCCTCAAAATGCCGAGTGACAACTGCCCACATCTCTTTCTTAGCTGTGAGTTTGTTTTCTGACACTTTCTTTTTAGAACGTGTTGGGCTCTAAGTTTGCTGAATAATCTTGAGCATTGTCCCAATTAATGATTCAGGGCTTCAATTCCCCAGATTGCTTTGCTTGAAATCTGGGGGAAGAGGGATGTCTCACTAGTCTTTGGTTTAATGTGGAAAGAAGGGACCCCAAGCTCCACCCAACCCCACTGGGAATCTGGAGGCGGTCTAAGATCTTTCCAGCAGCCACTGAAGGGAAGTCTGTTCGTACCCTCCTCTGGCTGGGGAATTGTAATCGGTGGATGACCATAGAGGAAAGCTAGTCACCAACACAGGGATGATGCCAGCTGGCAAGCCTCGTAGAGTCCTCCTGGCCAAGCTCTTTAGTACATCGAAAGAAAGTGCAACTCAGAGAGGTGAAGCTACTCGTCTGTCAGCTTGCCAGGGAGAGGTTGAAACCTCAGTGATGTCGGCACTTCTTTAAGGAGAGGCGGTCACTGGACAGCCTGGGAGGCTGCCTTGCAGATTTATGAGGCTTCTATCCAGGATCTTTCAGAATGTGGACCCAAGGAAATATTACATAGAGCGTCTGTCTTTAAGTCCGGTCTGCTGGGCTCATGCCCTGGCTTGGGATTCAGGGAATCTGACTTCTAGAGTCATCTCTCACCATCTTTTGCTAGCATATGTTCCTGGGTGAGTCTCTTCCTCAGTTTCCCTATCTGTACAAGAAGGGGATTGGACCTTTTTGGTGTGTGTGACAGAGACTCGCTGTGTCTCCCAAGCTGGAGTGCAATAATGTGATCTGTGCTCACTGCAACCTCCACCTCCCGGGGTTCAAGCAATTCTCCTGCCTCAGCCTCCCAAATAGCTGGGATTAGAGGTGAGCACCACCATGCCCAGTTAATTTTGTGTGTGTGTATTTTTAGTAGAAATAGGATTTCACCATGTTGGCCAGGCTGGTCTCGAACTCCTGACCTCAAGTGATCCACGCACCTCGGCCTCACAAAGTGCTGGGATTACAGACGTGAGCCACTGGGCCTAGCCTGGACTTTATAATCTCTAGTTTTCCCTCCTGATATTAACATTCTAGGATTCTAACCAAGCTTTGCTATAAAAAAGGAGGAGAACAAAAAGGGATTGCTGTCCTTCAGCTCAGTTGCTGTCTCCATTGCCTGCATTGAAAAAAAAGGGCTGCCCTTCCCTTGTGCCTTTAGTGCACACAGCACCACCCTGTCCAAGGGGCTTTCTGGTTCAAGGTCTCATTTGATCCTTATGTGCACCATGGGAGGGGAGGAGAGTAAAGAGGATCAGCCCCATTTTGTAGATCAGGAACCTGAGACTCAAAGAGGTCAAATGACCTATGGATGGAAGTGGAACTCAGGTCTCCTGGTCCTCAACCCCATGTTCGTTTCATTATTTCTCCTAGACCGCCAGCTAAAAATGCTTTGCAAACCTTTGTTGGGCCAGCTGGTATGACTGGCACCTGGGCCCAAGTGTAACATGTTTGCAAACTGTTTCTACACTCTGAGGCAACTGCCTGCTGAAATTACTACAAAACCAAACAATTTCCAACATTTTCCTCCTGCCTAGTGCAACATTTCCAGTTGTTCCTGTAGGGTAAGTCTAGGGACACATTGTTTTTAAAATCATTTCCAGGGGGGAAAAACATTATACTCTGTGTGTGTGTGTGTGTGTGTGTGTGTGTGTGTGTGTTTGCACCTTTGGGGCTACGGTTGAGCAGTCCATAAGGGCAGAAAAGGAAAAGACCAGCTGCTGCCCGTTTCCTTTGCTAGTCAGCTGTAGAACAACCGGAGTAGCAATTTGAGAGGAAGATAGAGGAATCTATGCCTACCAGTACTGATGGGGATAACCCCAAGCTTAAAGAGGGGGCCCTTTTCCTCCAGGGCTTCTAGTGCCATAGTGCTTTCCAGAAGAGAGAGAAAGAGAGAGAGAGAGAGAGAGAGAGAGTATACCAACTAATGAGTGGTATGTTGTGTCCCTGCAATGGACACTGGAACAGCACCCTCCAACACACACCAACTTTGGTGGTCGACTATGGAAAAGCTTAAGGGAATTAAGCCTGTAGGCATTTAGCTCATGAGAAAACTAGCACGGAGATCACTTGAATTTTCAGTTTGGACTGCCACTTTAAATCCAAGGTATCTTTGAATTCTCAAAGTGTATGATGTTTATAGCATAGGAAAAGATGATGCTTATAGCATAGGAAAAGATGATGCTAAACAAGTTCAACTTTTCTTTTTCAAGAAATAAGGACTTGAAAAAACTTGGACTCACATTACTTTGAAGGCTAGTTCTGCAGTCAATCATGTGACAAGATGAGCATTGCTATTGTTGGTGTAAGATAGTCTTGCTCTGCCTTCGTTTCTTGATGTCCCCAAGTTCCAGAAAACTCTGTTCTCTGCCATAATGGGAGGTCACTGTGTGCTGTTTGATTTTAGAGTCAAATAAGTTTTCAGCACATGGTCAGCTTGAGAGACAGTTTGCCCTCAATTGGCTTATTGGTTTGTACAATTCTTGGCTCCTTCAAGCAGGGTCCTGCCATCTGAGCCCACTCTGTGGGATTATGGGATACCTGTACTTGCCAGGAAGTCCTGGCCTCAAGCTGATTCATCACTGGGTAGCACATGACGCCCAGATGAGAGGGGGGCATTTTTAACCTCAATGGCATGAAAATTTCCTGAAATCAAAAGGACAGAGATTGGGAGTTCCTGGGGAGCAGCAGCAGCAGCAATGTCAAAAGTAGGATCAACCAGAGCTTAGAATATTCCTACACCAACTTTGCAAGTTGTTCATTGATATGTGGGTTGCTGGAAGAAAGTTTCCAGCACTGCTAGGTCAGCATATAAACAAGGAAAAAAGGGTGTGTTGATGGCCCATTTCAAAGGGAACCAGTCTTGCTAATGGTAGAGGGTATAAACATTTTTCTCCTTCAAAACTTAAAAGATTTTGTTGTATCTTTTCTCTAAAAGAAACATCTTTCTAAAATGTCAAATTAGAGCAAAGAGTGATAACAATTTGGACTAGAAAAAGCAGCCTCATTAAGATATAATTCATATACCATTCAATTAATCCATTGAAAGTTTACAATTCAATGTGTTTTAGTGTTTTCACAGAGATGTGCAACCATCACCACAATTAATTCAAGAACATTTTCATCACCCTCAAAAGAAACCCTGTACCCATTAGTAGTCAGTCCACATTCTCCCTTCCTTCCCCTAGCCCTAGGCAACCACTAAGCTACTTTCAGCCTCTATGGACTTGCCTATTCTGGATATTTCGCATAAATTGAATCATACAATATGTAGTTTTCTGTATCTGGCTTCTTTCACTTAGCACGATGTTTAAACGGTTCATCCATGTTATAACATGGATCAGTACTTCATTCTTTTTTATGGATGATAATATTATACTGTACAGCTAGACCACATTTTACTTATCCACTTACCTGATGATAGACATTTGGGTTGTTTCTACTTTGGGCTACTACTATGAGTAGTGTTTCTATGAACATTCCTGTTCAAGATTTTGTACGAATCTCTGTTTTCAATCCTCTTGGGCATATATCTAGGAGTGGAATTGTAGGATCATATAGCTACTCTATGTTAGTTTTTCATAACAACTTCACTGTTTTACATTCCCACCAACAATGTATGAGGGCCCCAATTTCTCCACATCACTTTGAGCTTTTTAAAGTCAACTTTTCAAAGCTAAAAGTGATGTTTTAGAATATTGATATATCTATTAGCACAAGGCTATAATTATATGCCTCACAGCTCTTGTATAGTGTCAAAACAGTCCTTTAAAATTCACAGAAATATTAAGCAATGTGTTATGCATTGCTAAGCTCACTTGTGCTCCAGCACACCAAGTCATCCAGGCTCTAGGTTGGGTGATGCCTTCAGAGAGTTCTAGTCCAGCCCTCCACCCAAGCTTGAATCCACCCTGCAGATCCATTCGGGAGATCATTCCCGAGACCTTACTATGCTCTGAACACTCTGGGGCTACAGCCACATATAAGACATGTTTCCTTCTCTCACAAGAATTTACAGTCTAGAGGAGGAATCAAATGCTAGACAAATACTTCCTGCCAAGGACCTGGGGAACACAGAGGGAGCACCTGTACAGAAGGCTCTTCCTATGTACCTTGTGGGGTTGTTGGAGCGAGCCAGTGAAATGCTCTGTGTAAATTGTCAAGCCCAGTGTCTGGATCATAGCAGGCACCCAAAGATAGCTGTTATATTCCTGTATAGAACTTTGCATTTTACCTATGAGGAAACTGAGTCCTAAAGTTTAAACAGCTTTCCCAGAGCCCTGTAACTCATGACTGAGAAGCCAACCTTTCTGTTTCAGGTCCTGCTTGTTGGGCTCCAAAGCCTTGGCTATACTGACATCTAGGAGGCCAGCCTTATTAACCTTGCCCTGCCTGTCTCCAGACTGGGCTCTTCTGCTTCTCCCAGGTCTGGTTTCCTGGATCAAGGCATCCTACTTTATTCATGTCCTAGCATAACACTAAGATTGTTAGTGGTATACAGTAACTAGTAACAGTTAGCTAGTCCCTAGTACAGCAGGGTGATCTGCTCTAATTGCAGCCAGAAGTGGTCATGACTGATGACAGTGGCTTGAGGAGTCTATTGCTGGTGCAGCATTCTCTGCCTATCAGCAGCCCCACATTTCTTCCCAACATCCAGGCCGGAAGTCTGGAAAGTAGGAATGGCCTTAGCCTCCTGGTCTGTATTCAGCTGGCCATCAAGCCATGCAAAATTTCCATGAAGATGCTGCCTTCCGATTGCTTCTTCTCCATTCCCATATGGCCCCTGTACCACAGTTTTGTCTACAGAAGTTTATAAGCATTTGCCATGAGCAAAGTATTTTGTTGGGTTTTCTGGTTGAGAGCCACCTGAGATAAATGATCCCTGGTTTCAGGCTCATAGGGATAGCAGAATAATAAGAATCCAGAGCTAGGTGTCCTCTAAATGCCAAGAGCCAAGGACTGCTCTGGGCTCAGGATCTCAGGATGTTCCAGCTCTTATTCATCATAATGAGAGATGGTCAGTCCCTCACCACAGAAGACTAAGCAGGCCCAGAAGCTCAAAGTAACCAGCAAGTATGGTCTGCTGTGGAAATGGGCCAGTCTCCACTGGCATCTTCACCTTGCCTGCAGAAACATTTTTATCCCCAATGTATTAGTTTGCTAGGGCTGTCATAACAAAATATTAAAACTAGATGACTTAAGCATCAGAATTGATTGTCTCACAGTTCTGGAGGCAGAAGTCCAAGATCAAGGTGTGTCAGCAGGGCCACACTTCCTCTGACAGCTCTAGGGAAAGACCTGTTCTAGGCCTCTTTCCTTGGCTTGAGGCAGCAGAGCTCCAATCTTTACATAGTGTTCTCTCTGTGTGCATGTTTCTGTGTCCAAATTTCCCCTTTTTATACAGACACCAATCATATTGGATTAAGGGCCCACCCTACTCCAGTAAGACTTCATCTTACCTCATTATATCTGCAATGGCCCTATTTCCAAATAAGATCACATTATGAAGTACTGGGAGTTAGAATGTCAACATATTAATTTGGAGGACATAATTCAATCCATAACATCAACATGCATGTTTGAAGATAGACTTGAATTACTCTGCCATCAACATTATCTTCACCCAAGTAGATGTGTTCCATTCTTCTGCAAGCTCATTTGAAAGCAGGAGTTCTTTTGGCTTTTCTTTTCTTTGAGGGCCAAATTTCACCCTTGAAAAATGATGGCTCTAATATTCAATGTCTTCTGCCTTAACCCCAAATCTGCCCAATAGTCTGGAGACTCCAGGTAGGACATGATGGCCTCACCTCAGAACTTTTCTTGGGAATGCCTGAACCACACCTGTCTCCTCATCCTCACCCTATCCAGGGAACAGAGGAAGAAGCTATTAGGATGAGGGACAGACTCAGGCATGTCCAGCAACTTACCTGGAGTCACTAAGAGTACAGCTCAGAAACAGGCACAGAGCTTGACTTCACAATGCAGCTCACCTTTGGACGTTCCAGGCTGAAGCCCAAAGTTGTTTCTGCCCCTTAGTTCATTTTTCCTCTGATTTGGTGAGGGTTGTGGGACTCAGACACCTTTGAGCTTCTAAAGATTTCAGCCTTTTGGGGTTGCTCAATCAATATCCACATACTCCTCTTCCTTTCTTGCCAGGTGCCTTTGATTTGGTTCCTCATTTACTTCCTGTCATGCCTAGAGTCAGGTGGCAGCAAGGTAGATCTAGCTCCAACTGGCACTTTGAGATGGGCATTAGGGATCCAGCAGGGTCCATGGTCTGGGAGCTAAAGGTCCCAGATAAGCAAGAGGTCGTAGATAATGTAAGGAGGGGTAAACCAGTGATAACTCTGGGGTTACTGGGGTGCCTTCAGAGCCCAGCACAGAGGGTCTTTGCTCTCTTTCATATCTTCTTCTGGGTATGGGTGGCTAAGGGCTCCCAGGTGTGTACTTAGAGCCTGATGTGGGAAAAGAGACTGCCCACAGGCCTCTGTTTCTGTGACTAAGGTGTGAGTACAGTACTCACTCCACTCCACTTCCTGGGTCCACAAGTAACAAAGCCATAGAGCAACACATGTCCCTGGAACAACCATTTACTTGAGGACGCAGGCATTTTTTCCTATATTAAAGCAAACATGGATGTAATATAAAATCGAAAGTTGAAGACCCACAGATTTATTTGACTAAACTCCAAATTGCATGTGGCAGATGGCTTTGGAGTTCCTCTTTATCCCTGGATTGTTCATGAGTGAGAAACATTGCTGAGGATTTGGTTTCTTTCTATCAGAGGCATAGGCTTCCTGGGCAGGTGCTCATGAACATTGCCATGGGAAGATGGTACACAGCCAGGCATTTGGATGCAAAAGGTGGCTTACTCCTGCTTTGGACAGAAAGGTCTGCTTAAGGGCTATTTCATAGGCTTGGATTCATCTAGAGGGAAAGAAGAAACAAAGCTGTGTCCACAGGCTAATGTGCTGAGGTTGTGAGATACCTTTCAACTTGGACCAAAGTCAATGTACAGGCAGTGATCCCTCTCCAGTGTCCCCTCCATTGGCCCTGCTTCCTGGGTCCAGCCAGTACCTGATGAAGATTGTGGTGGTGAGGGAGTAGGCAGCTACTGCACACCAGAGAATTGAGCCTTTGTGTAGGAAGTTTTGGCCACTACCTCACCAGTCCCCTTTACATTGGCTCCGGGTGTCACAAAGGGGGAAGGCATAAAATCAATAGAGTGGAGTCTTTGAAAGCCAAAGCAGCATTTTAAACCTTTTTTCTTTAGGGCTGAATGGGCAGCTTGCTTGAAGTTGATAGGTTTTGTGTTGCCAGTCCTATAATGAGATCTGAGCTTCCATCCTCCAGAGAAGCTGGAGATGCTGGGCCTATCTGGATGAGGGAGTTAGTGATGGCCTTAGCAGTATCAGAGGCCTCTTTTTTTTCTTCTTCATTTGGGTGCATTGTATATCATGCCATTTTATCTTTACTGGGATGTCTCTAGACCCTCACATTTGTATGAGGTCACTCCTGAGGCCTCAGGCTTGGCCCCTGAAGCACCCAAGAAATATTTGGGTGGGAATTGGTTTTTTTTTAAATAAGAAAGTCTGTACAAACATCAAAAGTTGATTGAAAAAAATAGTGCTATGTAGGAAAGGTCCCAAAAGCAGTAAGAAGAATTGATGTCCCCCTGCATCTGGACCCTGAAGTCCTTTTGGAATAGCAGTTAGTTTCTTACTTGGGAAAAATTAGATTCACAGGAAGTTGCAAACACAGTAAAGAGGCCCCCCTGTACCTTACATCTAGTTTTCCCCAGTGGTTACAACTCATATAACAATAGTGCAATATCAAAACTTGGAAATTGATATTGCTACAGGTTTCCGTATAAAAATTTTAAAAATTTATAAGAAACATTTTCTATTCTAAAATATAAATTTTTATATATAAATTTTTGATATAAACTTTCATGTCTCTGGGATAAATGCCCAGGAGTACAGTTGCTGAGTCATATGGAAGTTGCATGTTGAGTTGTGTAAGACACTGTCAAACTGATTTCCACCAGCAGTAAATGAGTGATCCAGTTTCTCCACTTCCTCACCAGCATTTGATGTTGTCATTGTTTTTTAGCTTAGCCACTCTGTTAAGTAGGTAGTGGTATCTCATTGTGGTTTTAAATTGCATTTCCCTAATAGCTAATGATGTTGAACGTCTTTGCATGTGTTTACTTGCCATCTGTATATCCTCTTCAGTGAAATTCAGTGAAATGCCTCTTCATATCTTTTGCCCATTTTCTTTTCTTTCTTTCTTTTCTTTTTTTTTTTTTTTTTTTTTTTTGACAGTCTCACTCCTTTGCCCAGGCTGGAGTGCAGTGGTGTGATCTTGGCTCACTGCAACCTCCACCTCATGGGTTCAAGCGATTCTCCTGCCTCATGAGTAGCTGGAATTACAGGTGCACACCACCACACCTGGCTAATTTTTGTATTTTTAATAGAAATGGGGTTTCGCCATGTTGGCCAGGCTGGTCTTGAACTCCTGACCTCAGGTGATCCACTCACCTTGGCCCCCAAAATGGCTTCTGCCCGTTTTCTAATTAGATGGTTTGTCTTCTTACTGTTAAGTTTTGATATTCTTTATACACTCTAGATACAAGTCCTTTATTAAACATAAGGTTTGCAAATATTTTCTCCCAGTCTACAGCTTGACTTTTCATTCTATTCACAGGGTCTTTCACAGGGTCTTTCACAGAGCGAAAGATTTTATTTTTGATGAAGTCTAGTTTATGAATTTTTCCTTTTATGGGTTATGCTTTTGGTGTCACGTCTAAGAAAGAACTCTTTGCCTAGCTCTAAATCCAGAAGATTTTCTCCTATTTTTCCTAAAACTTTTATAGTTTTATATTTTAAATTTAGCTCAATGATCACTTTGAGTGAATTTTTGTGTAAGGTATAAGGTATAGATTGAAGTTCATGTTTTGCCTATAGATATTCCAGAACCATGTGTTGAAAAGGCTATTATTCCTCCACTGAATTGCTTTTGCACTTTTGTCAAAAATCAGTTTGGCGTATCTACGTGAGTCTATTTCTAGGTTCTCTGTCCAGTTCCAATTATCTGTCTGTCCCTCTGCCATTACTGCACAGTCTTGATTAATGTAGCCCTATAATAAGTCTTTAAATCAGGTACACTGGTTATTCTTCTTTTTCACAATTGTTTCAGCCCCTCTACTTCCTTTCCATAAAATTTTGGAAAAATCTTTTTTATATCTACAAAAAATCTTACTTGAATTTTGATAAGAATTGGTTAAACCTGGATGTCTATTTGGGAGAAGTCAATGTCTTTACTATGTTGAGTTTTCCAATCTATGAACATGGTATATTACTCCATTTCTTTAATTCTTTGATTTCTTTCATCAGTGTTGTGTAATTTTCAGTTTATACGTCCTGTACATGTTTTCCTTGATTTACACGTAAGTGTTTTTTGAGCAATAGTATATGGTATTGTGTTTTCATTCCGATGTCTGTGTGTTCATTGCTAGTATACAGGAATGCAATTAATTTTTATATGTTGATCTTGTATCCTGAGAATTTGCTGAACTCATGTATGAGTTCTAGCAGTTTCTCTGTAGATACTTTGAGATTTTTCAGATAGACAATCATGTCAACTGCAATCGTTTTACTTCTTCTTCTTCCTTGTTTTTTTTTTTTTCTACTTTTTAAAAAAAAATTAGGTCAAGGGGTACATGTGCGGGTTTGATATATAGGTAAATTGCATGTCACAGGGGTCTGGTGTACAGGTTATTTTGCCACCCACGTAATAAGCATAGTACCTGATAGGTAGTTTTTTGATTCTCACCCTCTTCCCTCCGTCCACCCTCAAGTAGGCCTCAGTGTCTGTTGTTCCCCTCTTTATGTCCATATGTACTCGATGTTTACCTCTGACTTGTAAGTGAGAACATGCAGTTTGTGGACTTTTGTTCTTTTCACTTAGGATAATGTCCACCAGCTCCATCCACATTTATGCAAAGGACCAAAGGACATGATCTCCTTTTTTTTTTTACAGCTGCATGGTATTTCACAGTGTATATATACAACATTTTCTTTATCCAGTCTACTTTTGATGGGCATTTAGGTTGATTCCATGTATATGCTATTGTGAATAGTGCTGTGATGAACACATGCGTGTGTGTGTCTTTATGGTAGAATGATTTATATTCCCTTGGGTATATACATGATAATGGGATGGCTGGGTCAAGTGTTAATTCTGCTTTGAGTTCTTTGAGAAATCACTAAACTGTTTTTGTTCTGTAGATGTCTATTAGTTCAGTTAGTTATATATTCCCACTAGTAGTGTATAACTATCCCCTTTCTCCACAACCTCTGTTTTTTTTTTATGTTTTAGTAATAGCCATTAAATGTCTGGGGTGAGATGGTATCTCATTGTGATATTGATTTGCATTTCTCTAATGATTAGTGATGTTGAGCATTTTCTCATATGCTTGTTTGCCACATGTATGACTTCTTTTAAAAAGTATCTATTCGTGTGCTCTGCCACTTTTTAATGGGGTTATTTTTGCTTGTTGATTTAAGTTCCTTATAGATTCTAGATATTAGACCTTTGTTGGATGCATAGTTTGAGAATATTTTGTCCCATTTCGTAGGTTATCTGTTCACACTGTTGATAGTTTCTTTTGCTGTGCAGAAGTTCCTTAGTTTAAATAGGTCTTATTTGTCAATTTTTGGGTTTTTTTGCAATTGCTTTTGGCATATTTGTCATAAAATCTTTGCCAGAGCCTATATGCAGAATGATATTTCCTAAGTTATCTTCCAGGATTTTTATAGTTTGAAGTATTACATTTAAGTCTTTAAACCTCCTGGAGTTGATTTTTCTATATGGTGTAAGGAAGGGGTCAAGTTTCAATCTTCTGCATATGGCTAGCCACTTATCCCAGCACCATGTACTGAATATGGAGTTCTTTCTTCATTACTTGTTGTCAACTTTGTTGAAGATCAGATGGTTGTAAGTGTGCAACATTATTTCCGGGCTCTCTATTATGTTTCACTGGTCTATGTGCCTGTTATTGTACCAGCATCATGCTGTTTTGGGTACTGTAGCATTGTAGTACAGTTTGAAGTTTGGTAACATGATGCCTCCAGCTTTGCTCTTTTTCCTTAGGATTGCCTTGACTATTTCAGTTTCTTTTAGGTTCCATATGAATTTTATTTTTTTTTCTAATTCTCTGAAGAATGTCATTGTTAGTTTGATAGGAATAATATTGAATCTGTAAATTGTTTCAGGCAGTATGGCCATTTTAACAATATTGATTCTTTCTATCCATCAGCATGGAATGTTTTTCCATTTGTTTGTGTCATTTCTGATTTATTTGAGCAGTTTTTTTTAGCTCTTGTTCTAGAGATCTTTCACCTCCTTGGTTAGCCATATTCCCAGGAATTTTTCTCTTTTTGTAGCTATTGTGAATGGGATTACATCCTTAATTGGCTCTCAGCTTGGATGTTGTTGGTGTATAGGAATGCTACTGATTTTTGAACATTGATTTTATATTCCGAAACTTTGCTGAAGTTGTTTATCAGATCAGGTAACTTTTAGGCAAGAATATGGCATTTTCTAGGAATAGAATAATATCGTCTGCAAATGGATAATTTGGTTTCCTCTTTCCCTATTTGGATGCCCTTTATGTATTTCTCTTGCCTGATTGCTCCTGATAGGACTTCCAATACTATGTTGAATAGAAGTGGTGAGAGAGAGCATCTTTGTCTTGTCCCAGTTTTCAAGGGGAATACTTCCAGCTTCTGCCCATTTAGTATGATGTTGGCTGTAGGCTTATCATAGATGGCTCTTATTATTTTGAAGTATGTCCCTTCAATGCCTAGTTTGTTGAGATTTTTTAACATGAAAGGATATTGAATTTTATTGAAAGCCTTTTTATATCTATTGAGATGATCATGTGGGTTTTGTTTTTAGTTCTGTTTATGGGATGAATCACATTTATTGATTTGCATATGTTGAACCGACCTTGCATCACAAGGATAAAGCCTACTTGATCATGATGAATTAGCTTTTTGATGTGCTGCCGGATTCAGTTTGCTAGTATTTTGTTGAAGATTTTTGTATCTATATTCATCAAGAATATTGGCCGTAAGTTTTCTTTTTTGTTGTGTCTCTGCCAGGTTTTGGTATCAGGATGATGTTGGCCTCACAGAATGAGTTATAGAGGATTCTTTCCTCCGCAGTTTTTTGAAATGATTTCAGAAGGAGTGGTACCAGGAATTACACATCTGGTGGAATTTGACTGTGAATCCATCTGGTCCTGGGCTTTTTTCTGGTTGGTAGGATTTTTATTACTGATTGTATTTCAGAACTCATTATTGGTCTGTTCAGGGATTCAATTTCTTCCTGGTTCAATCTTGGGAGGTTGTATGTTATCAGCAATTTATCCATTTCTTCTAGGTTTACTAGCTTTTGTGCATAGAGGTGTTGGTGTAGTCTCAGGGGATTTTTTGTATTTCTGTTGGGTCAGTGATAACATGCCTTTTGTCATTTTTTATTATATTTATTTGGATCCTCTCTCTTTTTTTCTTTATTAATCTATCTAGTGGTCTATCTGTCTTATTAATTCTCTGAAATAACCAACTTCTGGATTTTTCAATCTTTTGTATGTTTTTCACATCTTTTCCCTCAATTCAGCTTTGATTTTGGTTATTTCTTGTCTTCTGCTAGTTTTGGGGCTCATTTGCTCTTGTTTCTCTAGTTACTCTACATCTCCTGTAGTGGCGATGTTAGGTTGTTAATTTAAGATCTTTCTAACTTTTTGATGTGGACACTTAGTGCTATGAAATTCCCTCTTAACACTGGTTTAGCTGTGTCCCAGGGATTCTGGTATGTTGTATCTTTGTTCTCCTTAGTTTCAAATAATTTGTTGATTTCTCCCTTAATTTCATTATTTACTCAGAAGTCATTCAGGAGGACGTTGTTTAATTTCCATGTAATCATATGATTTTGAGAAATTTTTAGCATTGATTTCTTTTTTTATTGCACTGTGATCCAGGAATATGGTTGGCATGATTTCAGTTTTTTTGAATGTGCTGAGGATTGTTTTATGTCTGATTGTGTGGTGGATTTTAGAGTATGTGCCATTTGCAGATGAGAGGAATGTATATTATGTTGTTTTGGGGTGGAGAGTTCTGTGGATATCTGTTAGGTCCATTTGGTCAAGTTCTGAGTTCAGGTCCTAAATATCTTTGTTAGTTTTCTGCCTCGATGATCTGTCTAATACTGCCTGTGGAGAGTTGAAGTCTCCCACTATTATTGTGTGGTTATCTAAGTCTCTTTGGAGGTCCCTAAGAACTTGCTTTATGAATCTGATGCTCCTGTGTTGGGTGCATATGTATTTAGGATAGTTAGGTCTTCTTGTTGAATTGAGGCCTTTACCATTATATAATGCTCTTCTTGTCTTTTCTTATCTTTGTTGGTTTAAAGTCTGTTTTGTCTGAAATAAGAATAGCAACCCCTGGCCAGGCACGGTGGCTCACATCTGTAATCCCAGCACTTTGGGAGGCCAAGGCGGGTGGATCATGAGGTCAGGAGTTCAAGACCAGCCTAGCCAAGATGGTGAAACCCCATCTCTACTAAAAATACAAAAAATTAGCTGGGCATGGTGGCAGGCACCTGTAATCCCAGCTACTCGGGAGGCTGAGGCAAAGAATTGCTTGAACCTGGGAGGTGGAGGTTGCAATGAGTTGAGGTTGTGCCACTTCACTCCAGCCTGGGCAACAGAGAGAGACTCTGTCTCAAAAAAAATAAAAGAATAGCAACCCCTGCTTTTTTGTGTTTTTTGTTTGCTTGGTAGATTTTTCTCTATCACTTTACTTTGAGCCTATGGGTGTCGTTGCATGTGATATGGGTCTCATGAAGACAGCATACCATTGGGTCTCACTTCTTTACTCAACTTGGCACTCTGTGCCTTTCAATTGGGGCATGTAGCCTATTTACATTCAAGGCTAGTATTGATATGTGTGCATTTGATCCTGTCATCATGTTGTTTACTGGTTATTATACAGGATTTTTTGTGTGGTTGCTTTATAGTGTCACTGGTCTATGTACTTAAGAGTGCTTTTGTAATGGGTGGTAACAACCTTTCCTTTCCATATTTAGCACTCCCTTCAGGATCTCTTGTAAGGCAAGTCTGCTGTTAATGAATTCCCTTCACATTTGCTAGTCTGAAAAGGATCTTATTTCTCCTTCACTTATGAAGCTTAGTTTGGCTATAAATAAAATTATTGGTTGTAAATTATTTTCTTTAAGAATGCTGAATATAGGCCCCCAATCTTTTCTAGCATGTAGGGTTTCTGCCGAATGGTCTGCTGTTAGCCTGATGGGGTTTCCTTTGTAGGTGACCTGCCCCTTTTCTTTATCTGCCTTTAACATGATTTTTTTTTTTTTCATTTCGATCTTGGAGAATGTGATGACTGTGCATCTTGGGGATGGTCTTCTTGTGTAGTATTTTCAGGGGTTCTCTGTATTTCCTGAATTTGAATGCTGGCCTGTCTAGGTAGGTTGGGGAAATTCTTGTGGACAATATCCTGAAATATGTTTTCCAAATTGTTTGCTTTCTCTCCTTCTCTTTCAGGGATGCCAATGAGTCATAGATGTGATCTTTTTGTATAATCCTATATTTCTCAGAGGTATTGGTCATTCTTCTTTATTGCTTCCTCTTTATTTTTGTCTGAGTTATTTCAAAGAGCCAGTCTTCAAGCTCTGAGATTCTTTCCTGAGCTTGGTCAGTCCTGCTGTTAATACATTCAGTTGTATCCTGAAATTCATTAAGTGAGTTTTTCAACTCTCTCAGATCAGTTTGGCTCTTGCTTAAGATGGCCATTTCGTCTCTCATTTCCTGTATTGTTTTATTGTATTCCTCAGAATCCTTGGATTGAGTTTTGACTTTTTCCTGAATCTTGATGATCATCATTTCTATCCATATTCTGAATTCTATTTCTGTCATTTCAGCCATTTCAGCCATTTCAGCCTGGTAAAGAACCATTATGGGGAAGTAGTGTGGTCACTTGGAGGTAACAAGACACTCTGGCTTTTTGAGTTGCCAGAGTTCTTGGCCTGGTTCTTTCTCATCTTTGTGGGCTGAAATTCTTTCAGTCTTTGAAGTTGCATTCCTTTGCATGTTTTTTTTTTCTTTTTTGATGTCCTTGGGGGTTTGATTGTGATATAAGGTGAGTTCAGTTGGCTGGTTTTGTTTCTGGGAGATTTTAGTGGGGCAAAGCTCAGCTCAGGACTTCTGGGCTGTGTGTTCTAACTCTGAGGGGCTGGTATCAAGTCCTCAGTTTTGTTCTCTGGCCCTTCAAGGTTAGAAACCTGCTGTGCTGAAGGGGCTGAGGTGTTCCTGGACTGCTGGTCACAACACTGCAATGGATGGTGCCAGCCAAAGCACTCCATCGGACAGTAGCAGCAGGATCCATGCTCATTCACATGTGCCAGCAGCAGTAGCAGAACGGCAGGGTGCACTTTCTTTGGTTGGGGTGGGTGCCGGTAGGTGCAGGGGTTGCCAGCCTCCATGCAGATGTTCACAGTGTCAGCGATGGCAATGTGGCATGGAGGCAGCTACTTCTTCTTTTTTAAAATGTGTGCATTTTATTTCATTTTCTTGCCTTATTGGACTAGCTAGAGCTTCCGGTATTATGTTGAATATCAGTGTCAAGAGCAGATAGCCTTGCCTTGTTGCCACTCTTAGAAGGAAAGCAGTCAGTCTTTAACCATGAAGTGTGATGTTAACTGTAGATTTACTGTAAATATTCTTTATCAAGTTAAGGACATTCCCCTCTGTGCCTGGTTTTTATCATGAATAAGTGTTGAATTTTGTTGAAGGCTTTTTCTGCATCACATAATAGGATACTATGATTTTAATTATTTTTTTGAGATGATGTAGATTCAAATGAAGTTGTAAGAACTAATACAGATAGATGCTATGTACTCTTCAGCCATATTCCCCTAATGATAACATCTGGTGAAATGATCATACAATATCACAAATGGGATATTGACATTGACACAGTCAAAATACAGAACATTTCAATCACCATGGGTAGCTCTCATTTTGCTCACATATAGACATATCTACTTCCCTTCCATACCCACTCTCTCCTTAATCTCTGGAAACCACTAATCAGTTCTCCATTTCTATAGTTTTGTTATTTTAAGAATGTTACATAAATAGAATAATATAGTATGGAACCTTTGGGGATGGTCTTTTTTTTTTTCACTTACAATCATTCTCTACAGATTCATCCAGGCCGTTGCTTGTATCAACTGTGTATTTCTTTGTATCGCTGAGTAGTCTTCCATAGTATACATGTACCATCATTGAAGCATTACTGAGTTGTTTCCAGTTTTTTACTATTATGAATAGTGCTACCACAAACACTTATGTGCAAGTTTTGTGTCAACACAAGTCTTTATTCCTCTGGGATAAATGCCCAGGAGTGCAATTACTGGGTCATATAGTTGCTGGATATTTAGTTTTTAAGGAAACTGCCAAACTGTTTTCCAATGTGGCAATACCATTTTACATTCCCACCAGCAATGTTATGAGTGATTCAGTTTCTCCACATTCTTACCAGCATTTGGTGTTGTCACTATATTTTTACAAAGATGAAATTCACATAACAATCTGTGATATTTAGTACATTCACAATGTTATGCAACCATCACCTCTATCTAATTTCTAAACATTTGCATCACCATAAAATAAAACCTCATACTCATTCGGCAGTTAGTCCTCATTCTTCCCCTCCCCTCAGTTCGTGGCAACCACCAATCTGCTTTCTGTCTCTATGGATTTACCTATTCCAGACATTTTATGAAGATGGAATCATACAGTATGTAACCTATTATGATTGGCTTCTTTCAGTTAGCTTAATGTTTTCAAGGTTCATTCATGTTTCAGCATGTTATCAGTACTTCGTTCCCTTTATGGCTGAATAATATTCCACTGTGTGGATATACCAAAATTTTGTTTATCTGTTTATTAATTGATGTACATTCGGTATGTTTCCACTTTTGGTGCTGCTAAGAACATTTGTGCAAAAGTATTTGTTTGAGTCCTTATTTTCAATTCCTTTGGGTATATACCGAGGAGTGGAATTGTGGGGTCAAATGGTAATTCTATGTTTAACTTTTTGAGAGACCGCCAAACTGTTTTTGATAGCAGGTGCAACATTTTAAATTCCCACCAGCAATGTATGAGGGTTCCAATTTCTTCACCTTCTCACCAACACTTGTTATTTTCTTCTTTTTTAATTATAGCCATTCTAGTGGGTGGGAAGTGGTATGCTGTGGTTTCGGTTGTCATTTTTCTGATGACTAATAATGTTGAACATCATTACATATGCTTGTTGGCCATTTATATATCTTCTTTGGGAATAAATCTATTTAAGTCCTTTGCCTGTTTTTTATTGTGTTGTCTTTTTTATTGTTGCATTTTAGGTGTTATGTGTATATTCTAGAGACTAGGTTTTAATTAGCCATATGATTTGCAAATGTTTTCTCCCATTCCGTAGGTCTTTTCATTTTCTTGATAACGTCCTTTGATGCCCAAAAGTTTTTATGAAGTCCAATTTATCTATTTTGTTGTTGTTGTTCATGTTCTTAGGGTCATAAAGTTCCATTGCGAAATTCAAGGTCATGAAGATTTACTTCTATGTTTTCTTTTAAGAGTTTTACAGTTTTAACTCCTATGTTTAGGTTGTTGATCAGTTTTGAGCTGAATTTTGTATATGATATAAGGTAGGAGTCCAACTTCATTCTTTTCTCTGTGGATATCCAGTTGTCACACTACCATTTGTTGAAGACTAATCTTTGCCTCATTGAGTGGTGTTGGCACCCTGGTTGAAAATCAATTGGCCATAGATTAATGGGTTTAGGGGCCAGGCATGGTGGCTCACGCCTGTAATCCCAGCACTTTGGGAGGCTGAGGCTAGCGAATCACTTGAGGTCAGGAGTTCCAGACCAACCTGGCCAATGTGGCAAAACACCGTCTCTACCAAAAATACAAAAATTAGCCGGGCATGGTGTAGTCTCAGCTACCTGGGTGCCTGTAATCCCAGCTCCCCAGGAAGCTGAGGCAGGAGAATCGCTTGACCTGGGAGGTGGAGGTTGCAGTGAGCCTAGATCGAACCACTGCTCTCCAGCCTGGGAGACAGAGCAAGACTCTGTCTTAAAAAAAAAAAATGGATTTATTTCTGAATTCTCAAGCCTATTTCATTGGTCTATATGTCTATACTTATACCAGTGCTACATTGTTTTGATTACTATTGCTTTGTGGTAAGTCTTAAAATCAGGACGTGAGTCTTCTTGTTTTTCAATATTGTTTTGAGGTGATCACATGATTTTTAGTCTTTGCCTGTTAACATAGCATATTATGGTAATATGGTGGTATGTATGATTAACATGGATTGACTTTTGCATATTGAACTACCCTTGCACACCAAGAATAAACTCAACTTGATCATGGTATATAAATCTTTTTTATAAATTGCTGAAACTTTCTTAAGGATTTTTGTGTCTATATTCATGGGAAATATTGGTCTGCAGGGTTTTTTTTTTTTCTTGCTTGTACAGTGTTTGTCTTTGCTGTCAAGGTAATACAATGAGTTGGGAGGTGTTTCCTCTTCTCTTTTCTGTAGGATATTATGTAGAATTGGTGCTAATTCTTCTTTAAACAACTAATATAATTCTTTAGTGAGGTCATCTGGGCTTAAAGTTTTCATTTCAGATTTTTAAATTATGAATTTGATTTCTTTCATAATTATATAGCCATTCAGATTATTTCATATTGGGTAAATTTTGGCAGTTTGTGCTTTTATAATGATTGGTCCATTTTATCTAAGTTTCCAAATTTATATGTGTATTCATAGTAGTAGTCCCTTATTATCCTTTTCATGTCTGCAGTCTATAGTAACATCTCCCTTTTCAATCAGAGTATTGGTAATTTGCATCTTCCCTTTTTCCTTTGTCAGTCTTGCTAGAGATTGGTACATTTTATTAATTTTATGAAAGAACTAGATTTGTATTGGGTTTCTCTATTGTTTTTCTCTCTTTAATATTATTATTAATATTAAATTATTATTTATTTAATAATTAATAATATTTAATATTTAATATAATATTTATTAAATTTAAAATATTATTTATTAAATATAATATTATTATTTATTATTAAAATAATTTAATAAAAATTATTAAATATAAAATAATATAATATAATATTTAATATAAATATTAATATTTAATAATTTAATAATTAATAATAATAAAAATATTATTAATATTATGTTTATTGATACAAATATTTGTACATCTTCATGCGGTACATATGATATTTTGTTAAATGCATAGACTGTGAAAGTATCAAGTTAGGGTACTTGGGGTGTCCATTATCGCTAATATTTATCATTTCTATGTGTTGGGAACATTGCAAGTCCTCTCTCCTAGCTATTTAGAAATATACAATACATTGTTGTTAGCTATGGTCACCATATACTCTGCTATCAAACTGTCTTCAGTATTATTGATTTTTATTATTATTTTCTTCCTTCTGCTTGCTTTGGGTTTATTTTATTCTTATTCTTGTAGGTTCCTTAAGTGGAAGCTTATATTATTAATTTTAGATTTTCCCTCATTTCTAACACAAAAATTTAGTTTTATACATTATCATCTCAGCACAGCTTTACCTGTGTCCCACAAATTTTGATACATTGTATTTTCACTTTAATTCAGTTCAATGTAATTTTTATTTCTTTTAAGACCTCGTTAACCCATGAATTTGTTTCAAAGTATGCTTTTTAATTTCTAAGTGTTTGTAGATTTTCAAGTTGTCTCTCTGTTATTGTTTTCCAATTTGATTCCATCATAGAGAAAACATCATTTATTATTTGAATTCTTTTAATATTTTGTGGATTGTTTTATCACCAAAAATATGTCTATATTGGTATATATTTCTTGGGTGTTTGAAGTAATGTAAATTATATTCTTTTCAGGTGGAGCAATCTATACATTTTATTTAGGCCTTATTGAAACCTGTTGTTGGGCTCTTATACATCTTGCTGATTTTCTGTGTAGTTGTTCTATCAGTTGTTGAGAGAGGGTGTTGAAGTCCCCATCTATAAAGGTGAATTTTTCTATTTCTCCGTTCAGTTCTAAAAACGTTTGCTTCCTATATTTGCAGGTCTTCTGTTTAAAGCATACACATTTAAAAGTACTATGTCTTGTTGGTGGATTGACACTTTCAGCATTATGTAATGTCCCTATCTGTCGCTGGTATTTTTTTTTTTTTTTGCTCTGAAGTCTACTTTATCTAATATCACTAGAGCCACCTCTGTTACTTTTTAAAATTAATATTTGCATGGTGTATCTTTTTCCATTATTTTACTTTCAGCCTTTCTAAATCATTATATCTGAGGTGAGCATCTTGCAACAGCATATCATTGGATCATGTTATCTTCTTTGCCAATCTCTGTCTTTTAATTGGTATGTTTAGACCATTTTCATTTATTGTATTTATTGATAAATTAGTGCTTAGTTCTGCCAATTTATTTTTGTTTTCTGTTTGTTCTCTGGTTTTTTGTTTTTCTATTTTCTTTTTTCTGACTTCCTGTGGGTTACTCAAACAATGTTTAGAATTCCATTTGGTTCATGTATAGCATTTTTGAATCTATCTTTTTGTATAGCATTTTTAGGGATCACTCTAGGTATTACATTATATATATGCATAACATAATAATCTACTGGTGTCAACATTTTGCCAGTTTCAGTGAAGTATAGAAACCCTACCTCTCCTTTCACCCCTTTACTTTCCTCTATTTATAATGTAATTGTGTTAAATATTCCTTCCACATACATTTACAGACACATCAGACAATGTTATAATCGATGATTTAACCTTCAAACATAATTTGGAAAACTCAAGAGGAGAAGGAAAGTCCATTATATTTACCCATAATTTTTTCTCTTTCCATTGGTCTTTATTCCCTTCTAATGTTCAATATCCTTTCTTTTATCATTTCCTTTCTGCTTAGAGAATTTTCTTTAGATATTCTCTTTGTAGAGGCATATTGTTGACTAATTTTGTTAGTGTCTCTTGATCTGAGAATGTCTTGATCTCCCTTTCATATCTGAAGCATATTTTCACTGAGTATAGGGTTCTGGGTTGACAGTTCTCTTTATTCAGCATTTGAAAAATATTATGCTACTTCCTTCTGGAATCCATGGTTTATGAACAAAAATTCACTCTCATTCAAGTTATTTTTCTTCTATAGGTATCATTTCTCTTTCACTGTATTCAAGGCTTTTCTCTTCATGTTTCAGAAGTTTTGTTGTTACAGGTCTTGGAGTGGATTTCTTTATATTTATACTGTTTGAGGTTCACTCAGCTTCTTAAATTTCCAGATGTATGTCTTTTGTCAAATTTGGGGAGTTTTCAGCAATTATGTCTTTGAATACTTTTTTTTTTTTTTTTTTGGTCTCATTCTCTTTCTCATCTCCTTCTGGAATTCCAGTGACATGAAAGTTAGATCTTTTGTTTGTAATTCTGTATGTCCCTGAGTCTATGTTTACTTTTTTTTCCAGGATATCTTCTCTCTGTTGTTCAGATTGATCATTTCTTTTTATTTTATTTTATTTTATTTTATTATTATTATACTTTAAGTTTTAGGGTACATGTGCACAATGTGCAGGTTAGTTACATATGTATACATGTGCCATGCTGGTGTGCTGCACCCATTAACTCGTCATTTAGCATTAGGTATATCTCCTAATGCTATCCCTCCTCCCTCCCCCCTCCCCCCACCCCACAACAGTCCCCAGAGTGTGATGTTTCTATTGTTCTATCTTAATTCTTTCCTCTGTTCTTACCATTATCCTCTTGATTTGATTCACTGAATTTATTTCCATTATTGTATTTTTCATTTCTAAAATTTCCATTTGGTTCTTTTTTATATGTTCTGTTTCTCTGCTGAGAATTCTGATTACTTTGCTGAGACTTTCTATATTTTTTTCATTTGCTTCCAAGCATGGTTGTAATTGTTGGTTGAAGCACTTTAATGATTACTTCTTTAAAATCCTTGTCAGGCAGTTCTGACATCTGTGTCATCTTGCTGTTGGCATCTGCCGATAATATTTTCCATTCCATTTGATATCTTACTGGTTCTTGGTCTGACAAGTGCTTTGCTACTGAAACTTGGGCATTTTGGATATTGCATTATAAGACTGGATCTTATTTAAATTTTCTGTTTTAGCTGACTTCCTCTGACACTGCTCTGGCAGGGAAGGCGGGCACCATCTTATTCTTCATTGACATCAGGGAGGATGGAGCTCCTCATTACTGCTGGACAGGGGTGAGGATTCCAACTCCCTACTAGGCTTTTACTGATACTACTCTAGTGCGGATAGGGAAGGGCACCTCATTACTGCTATGTGGGGGTGGAGTCTAGGCTCCTCATTTGGCTTTTGTTGATGGAATATAATGGGACTGCATTTTCTTCTATGGTGTTTGGCTGGAGTAGAGCAGTTATTGTCTAAAAGTTTTCTGTCTTGCTAGGTTACCTCTTTCCTGGTCTTTTGGCTAGAAAGAGCAGGCTTTTGTTGGGGCTTCTTTGTTAGTGCCCATTGGCATTCTGGGTTTCTGGCTTCTTCAGCTCCAAGTCTGGTATATATGAGGCAGAAACAAAATCCAGAGAACTCGCCACTGCATCATTGCTCAGGTCCCAAGGTCCCTAACCAGTATACTTTTTTCTTTCCACCTTTTAATGTCTTATTATGTTTGTTTTATATATAATGCCCAGAGGTTTTAGTGATACTCAGTGAGAGAATGGGGAAAAGTACTTCTCCATATTTCCAGAGGCAGAGGTTTAGACTTGAGATTTTAGAGGCTGATGCTGTACTGCCAAGGAGGTTTATGGGAAGTAGAGCTGTCCTTATATATTAATGTCTTAGTGGAGCTCTTATTTCATGTCTACATCATGAAAAACAAAAAGAAATGAAACTTTACCTGGGTTTGCATATGTCTGCTTATCTGTCACTGGAGGAGTAGCCATGATCATAACCTGCTCAGTCAGTTTCCTTTACATCAGTGCACCAGGGTTTCATGAGCCCCCTTTCAATATCTGTTGCTCCCTTCCTGTGTCTGTCAGGCTTTGAACTGTTAGCTCACTTGGCTGTATCCTAACAGTGCCACAGTTGGTGGCTGCTTCTTCTATGAACCATAAGGCTTACTCTAGTAGAGCTGAAGAGGCCCTAAGCCATCACCTAATTTAGCCACCATGTTTTCATATAAGGAAATTGCATCTCAGAGAACAGAGGAAGTTTTCCTGGATCTCACTGCATATCACACAAAAGCAAATCCAGACGTAGGACCCAGATATCATACTTGTAGGCCCAGTGTTATTTTAGTCACATGAAGCTGCTCCTCCATCCACCCCTCTACCTTCCAGTGAACTTTGTTCTTTCCTCTGGTCAAGGACTGTCATTTTATCCCAGCCAACTGTCTCACAAAAATGCCCCTCATTCTTGGGGGTGGGGGTGCTCAATGAGGGTGGTGGGTGGGAGGAAGGGAAAAGGAATGTGGCTGACTCCACACAAACCTGTCTTCAGAGTGAAAGTCTGTGATTCACGGGGTCAGTGGTCTCATCTTCATATCTGAAAGACAGTGTACTTTTTGTCTCCCTAAGCCCTGTGTCTAGGTCGTTTGGGAAACGCCTTGGAGAGTCAAGAATAAATTTGCAGGTCAAACAATGGATGACTGGAAAAGTCGGCTTGTAATCAAGAGCATGCTTCCCCATTTCGCCATGGTGGGAAATCGTCAGGAGCCCAGAAAGCTCCAGGAATCGGTCAGACAATGGGCCATGGGGGGAGGGGGGTATTTAATGCTTCTAATCTTAAACTTGAACGTAAGATGTGTTATTGAAATTTTCTGTGCAAACTTGGTGGCAGGGATCCAACTCAAAATATAAGGAATTCAAATGTGATCTAGAAGAGATCTAGGAGATGAGCTGATCCCACCCCTTGTGGGTTTCTAGAAGAGCTGGAAATATAGTCTAAGGTTCCATATAGCCTCCCAGTCTAGTAGTGATCACTGCATTGCACCCATTCAATAAGAAAAATGAGGAAGGATGAGAGAGGGAAGACGAGTTTACTTTTTCTCTTAATAGAAGCCAGTCAGAATGGCAAGCACTAGATATATTGCATGAGCTTCCTAGTATGACTGAGAACAAAAAGCTAGTGAGTAGGCACAGAGAGGTCTTCCCATTCAACTTTCTGGCCCTGTTGTCCTTTTAGAAACTCATCTGACACACTTCTACTTTCCTCCCTGGGAACTCAGACATCATCCAAGTGTTCTGAACCTCAGGATTAGGGATTCCAGTGGTAGTTCTAGGAGCAGGATGATGATAGAAGGGACTATGAGAGCCATTGACTAGTTTAATTTGACAATAAAAGCCTGCAACACCACCAATCTACCAAGATTAGCTCTGTTAGCAGGAATTGCAGCAAACACAATAGCTGTTATCTCAGGGTATTAGGGCCACAGAGGAGTGGCTTGCTTAATCTCTGGAATTAATAGAGCAGAGAGGAAATGGCTCTTATAGAGCCGTGGGTCGGCTTCCTTCCTTTTCATAGAACTGGAAGCCCTGGGCTCTGAGGTAATGCCATTTCACATAACTAGAGGGCCTGTCTTCTCCAATTCCCAGGGCAATCCACTTTCAGCAAGTCAGCTTTCAATTTATTTTAAAATTCTGATATGTGCACAGATGTGGATGGAGGTGATTGAAATCTTGTTTTCTCTTTGTTTCCTCATTGTCAACCACCAACAATGTATTGAGAATGTGCTATCAAGTTGAGCATGTAGACATTTACAAAACTGTTTACTGCACTCCCCAGCTCTCACAGAGATTGCAGTCAGGTGGGATGGCAGAGATGGAGACATTACTTGGCCAGCAGCCTGTCCAAATTGCCAGGCCTTAGGCCTCTTCTAGAAAGAAATCTCTAACCTCCATCCTAATTACCCTTTATATTTCATGCTTCTCTTTTATGATCAACAATTGAGTCAGTAAAGAAAAACCTGATAATGCTCCCAGAGTCCGTGATCAGTTTTAGCATGACTTTAAATTTCTCTTTTATTTCCCACTTGTTTCCATTCACTTGGGCCAAATTGTAGAAGAAAGTGTTGATGGATTGTGGATGCAGGGGTCCTCTTCCCCTTCTCCCCAACTCCATCAACACTCTTAAAAAGTGTGGCCAGTAAGTAACTGCTTTGGTTTTGATCAGTGTACAGTTGAATGCACAGATTCCAGTGGGGGTTGTCCTTAGAATAGGTCCTTGGAGTGGCCATCTGTGCATTTACTCTGGAAAAGTTGTCATTGCTTACGTCATTTCCAGGCTTGGCTTCTCTTTGCAGATGGCCTTTAGAGCCCTTTGTAAGCTTTGCCAAAAATTCACATTCATTGCTTTAGAGTCACACTTTGGATTTGATCAAGATCAGCCCTCTGCCTCCTCTATGCCACACCTTGTTCTCTGAAAGAGTTCTCTGTTGGTTCTGAGTGGCTTGACTCTTTCTAAAACTTCAAGCTGTCCTAGAAGACCAAGAATTCACCCCAGTTGAGGAGAACAAAGAATTTTAAAAATTTGCCTCAGCCTCCAAAAGCAACTCTCTCAGATGGTCTTCTTCACAGTTGAAACAGCATTGGATGACATTGAGAGAGCCCACTCCTTTGGCTGGACGTGACAGGTGCTGCTGTACGGTATCCCTGTAGCCTCAGAAAGGTACCCAGTGCTAATATGAAACTCTGCTGCACATGCTGAGGATCTCAGCATCTGGGTGCTTGTGAACTGAGGTTGACCAAATAAAAGCAGAATGGCCTGTGAGTCCACCAAGAAACCTGCAGTCCAAACAAGTTATTGTAAGGCCTGGAAGGTGAGTGGCCAAAGGAGGTCCTTTGCAAGAGCTGGGCTTGCATTTCCAGGGTGTAGCCTTAGCTGGATCTCAGATGTTTCCCTTGTTTGCTCTCCTTCTGACACTTAATAACACCCAGGGATGACACCCTGAACCCTAGTCCCAGGAAACCATGTGCATCTGGAAGCACGTTTCTTGCACCACTCTCCCTCATCCTGAAAACATCGCTAACAGAGATTTGCTTCAGGCATTCAGCTTAACTGGTTCTCTTGTTCTTTCCTAGAAAACAAACAAACAAACAAAAAACATGTTTCAAATCAATCTTGAAATAAAATGATATCAGTCCCAGAGGAGAGTTCTCTTTTAGCAGTCCTTGAATTTACATGGAAATAATTGTGAGCTCCCTTGAAGGAAAACGTGCATCTCACGTAACAGTTGTTCTTGGCCTAAGACTAGGGCTCAGAACACCTGGGTTCTAGTCTTGCAGCTACTCCTCACTAGCTATGGGGCTTTGTCTATCCTTTGCCCTCCCTGAGAACAAAGTTCAAATGAACGAAAAGTAAGAATAACCACCTTTAATTCAGCATTGACTAGGTGCTAGGCACTTTACTAAGCATTTTTGGGGCATTATCTCCTGTAATCCTCATGATAACCCTGGGAAGAAGAAGCTATTATTATCTCCAGGAAACCGAGACTCAGAGAGATTAAGCAATTTGACCAAAGTCACAGATATAAGAAGTGGCAAACTCAGAGGCCAATGTCATCACCACTATACTCTAATGCACATTGAAAACTACAAAATGCTGAATACATATCAGGCAGGGGCCATCACCATAAGAAATCTCAGTAATGCAAGTACCTTTTCAGCATCTGTTCATTCATTTAATAGTGTGACTGGTTAATGACTCTGGCGATCTGGGGAACAGAAGAGTTTGACCTTTTGAACATTTGGGCATCTACCCAAGGTTAATAAGGCATCCAGTCTCTGCACTTAGTGTATGGAGTTTTAACAGGAGGCAGAACATTTTGTCCTTCCCTTTGAAGTTAAGATCACGATTCTTTCCCTAGATCCCTAGATCAGTAGGTCAAAGGATTGCTAGTGTGAGAATTTAAAAGGCATTAGTACTCCAATTTGAGAGTGCTCCAGAGCCTGCATGGAGTTGAGACTCAGTGCGCATGTCACATGCCATCTCTGTCTCAGTCCATACCCCACCATAAGTGGCAAAGATTCCTCCAGCTCGGAGCAGGTACCTATTCCCTTCATAAGGCAGCTCCTAGACAAAATGAGGGTGCAAAGGGCATGAAATGTTCAGTTGGAGGAGGAAGGGGACACAGTACTTTTTGCACATCTTCTGTGTTCAGCCATTTAATATTAAGAAGCGACTCACTCTATAGATTACAATGGGATGCCGTGCCCAGTATTTCTTCTGAGCTTCCCAACCAGTCAGTGGTTGGGCAGGGTGGGGGGATTATTATTATTCTCCTTCTTTATGGATAAAGAGAATAAAGTCTGAGAAATTCAGTGACTTTCAGAAGGATGGCCATCCAGAAGGTGGGGTGCTACATCAAGGTCCACATTTGGATGGCCCCAAGGGCAGTGTGCTTTCCATCTACAATACGATGAAAAACAACCCCTCAGCCCATATCTTTCTCACCTCTAAATGCAAGTAGGGCTGAAGACGGGGGAGAGAGGAGCCCTCAGTGTAACAGCGTATGTGGACATTTGGATGGCTGCAAAAATACTGGCCTCATTCTATCCATCCCTTTTCTTTAGACTGGTGACCTTAGACATATCCAGTAGGAGGAGCTCTAGTCACCTCCTCCCTTTGTGTTTATGTGACGGGGTTCAAGATTTGCGCCCATCAGCTTTGGAGGCATATACTTCTTGCAGAAAAAGTGCTGGACTCAGGAAGGAGTCCTCAGACTCGATTCAGGGTTGGAACAAGCTCTTTGTGAGATTTTGAGCAGGTTTCTTTCTTCTTGAGGTCAGAGGGCATGGGTATGAGCTCTAAGGGCCTGTCTATCTCTGGCCTCCTGCCACATTTCCAGGGTCCCTTCTGTGTGCCTGGCCCTGTGCTCGATCTTGAGCCCCAGGAATTCATAGTCTAGGGGCAAATTATTCCCAGGCTTCCTCCACTGGGAACAAATCTATCTTACTCTGTAGTTCTCGGTGAAACCTGGAGGCAAGTGTTTGAGCGTCTCTCTTGTGCAAGGTACTTTGTGCACATTCGCTCATTTGCTTCTGTGTCACAGAGATTGATATTTCCACTTCCCCAGGGTGGAGACTGAGGCTCAGAAAGGATGGAGACTTTCCCAATGTCACACAGGCAGGAAGTTGTAGATCTCAAACTCAGGTGCCCTGCCTCCAAAGCTCTTCCTACTCCTATTCCCAGATTAGGAGCTCAGGTATTTCCAGGGCCTTCTGCAGGCCAGGCACTGTTCTCAGTGCCTTTCATTCCAGTGGCAGAGACAGCCCATAAACAGGTAAAGAGTAGAAGCAAACTTACTTCATTCTGGTAGCTCTCTGGGATGTTCTGACCAGCGTTGTCCACTGCCAAGCCTGGCAGAAAGCTAGGCTGCTTTAAAACCCTATGCAGGGGCAGCCAGCTGGGAACAGAGTGAGTTGTCGAAACAGCTCCCTTAGAAGCCTCAAGAGAAAACCCAGATTTACAGCTTTGAGTCTTTGCCAGCAGCCCCTGCTTCATGCAGGCTGAAGGCGCGGCACAGGTGCAAATCTGGCCCCAAGAGAGGGGAGCTCATGTTTATGGGTCCCCTTCCAAGACCCAGGTGATCCTAGGGGCTAGTTAATCTAGAGGCAACTGTCCCTGCCACTTACTGATAACTTGCATGAGCCTCTGGGCCTCAGTATCCACATCAGTAAAGTAGGGTTAATAACTCTGCTCTTTGCCTGCGTCAGGGTTTCTGGGATGGTGATGAACAAGGTGTGGTTGTGCACGTGTTCCAAACCACACAGGGCATGATCCTAAACCACACACTGCTGTGAGCACTTTTTTTTAATGATCAGAGGTTGGCATTGGCTCAGAGGTTTTTTGCCATCAGAAGAGTGATGGAAAATGTGTGTCCTGACCCCTGAGGATGCCACAGTCTCATCAGCAGCCCCACTACACTGAGGAGACCTGAATCTGTAATGTAGCTGTGAGCATTCTGGGTCAAGGGCTGCAGTGTGTATGCGCCTTTCTACTTTGGGGATCCTCCCCATGGAGCACGCAGCTGTTCGCTCCCTTTGCTCCCTCCTCCTTTTTCTGCAGTAAGGGCTCCTTCCTGTTCCAGACACCCAACTGGGGTGAGAAGCCAGGCAGAGGCCTTGCCTTCACACAGACCTTTTTTTGCAAGAACTGAGCACTGCTCAGCTTGCAGGACACCACTGGGCTTGGCATCTGGGTCCTGCCTGGGTAGCCTGGCTTGGTAAACCAGTGACCTGCAAATCACAGTCTGTTTGAAGGGAGAGTGCTGGTGAGGGGAGCTCCATTTTTCAGCTGGTTTATGCAGGCACCTGGGAGCATGACACTGCCTATTTCTAAACTTTTAGGAGCCCATGCTGGCCTCATCTGCATTCCTGCCTAGCTCTTTCCCACAGTTTCCTTGACATAAGGCCCAAGGTAACAGGTTTCTGGAGGTGGAACTGCCCCAGGAAGGAGAGGGATGCTGTTAGACTCCAGGACAGAGTTGAGGCTCAGAAGTGTGCACATTTCTAGGGAGTATGCAGACCCAGGGGCCAGCCCTGTGGGTGTGGGCCTGGGGTTCCTCAAACTCTGGGCTGGCCTGTGTAGGCTGAGGCCTCTTGCTTTTACTGGGAATCCACAGCTGGAAAGCCCAATGTTTCTCTTTTTACAGATAGATATTTGGGTTATAAGCTACCCCTGGAGTGCTGCATTCCAGACTTCTGGGGAGGAGGGACATGAGCTTCTAAGATTTGGGCAACAAATTTTGATTTCCGCAGTTGATATAGAATAATTTGTTGGAAACCTTCCTCCTCCCCTTTTGCTTTTCCTTTCCCTCCCCTTCCTTCCTGCCTTTCCCTTCTCCTCCTCATCTCCCTCCTACCTTCTCACCAGATCTCCAACCCCTAAATTCCAAAGTTAGAAAGGCAAGCATCAGCCACAGGGAAGTGGATTTGACCACTGGGCACTCAAACCCAAGGCGCAGGCATGTCTCTGCTGTCATTGCCTCCCTCTCTCTTGCTCCGGGCCCCCTCAGCACAGGCCTGTCTTTGTCTGCCTCCCTCCAGTGCTGCAGGCTTCCATCACCCTCTCAAGTCCCCATCCAGAGGCAGGGCTGGCATAGGTGCTCGCTTGCTCACTCACTGCCCTGACCCTGAGAGCTCCTGCTTCTATGCCCCTAGAGCTGTGGCTGAGTATATGGCACATAGTAAATGCTCAGTAAGATGCAGCTGCTGTTCATCTTGGCCAGAAGTCCCTTAGAAATCATCTAGGCCACCCACATTGCTGGACACAAGAGAAGGCCAGTGTCATACAGAGGGGAAGGGGTGCAATTAAAAAGTCATTGTCTCTAGGCCTTACACAGGAAATGGGAAAATAACAGAGTTATTTGCAGAGTACCATTTTCTCCAATGGTTCATTCACATCCGCAGATGCCAGCTGAGCCCTGTCACGAGGCTTTGGGGTTACCAAGATGAATAGGAAACTACCTGGCCTTCAGAGAGTTATGTGGTGGAGGTGGGAAATGCATAGACCTAACATGGCAGCCTCAAGGTTGGCCATAGCACCTAGGATGGTGATGGAAAGGGTAGAAGGTGAGACTGTATTATCATAGAGACCCTTGAGGGCCTGAGGGTGGAGGGTGTGCTTTAATCCACTAGCCCATGCAAATTGTTCAACAATGTACAAGACTATAAGAACAAGGCCCAAGGGTATCCTGGAGGGGATGATGTTTCTCTCCTCTCTTTTTTTTTTCTTTTATTATTATACTTTAAGTTTTAGGGTACATGTGCACATTGTGCAGGTTAGTTACATATGTATACATGTGCCACACTGGTGCGCTGCACCCACTAACTTGTCATCTAGCATTAGGTATATCTCCCAATGCTATCCCTCCCCCCTCCCCCCACCCCACAACAGTCCCCAGAATGTGATGTTCCCCTTCCCGTGTCCATGTGATCTCATTGTTCAATTCCCACCTATGAGTGAGAATATGCGGTGTTTGGTTTTTTGTTCTTGCGATAGTTTACTGAGAATGATGATTTCCAATTTCATCCATGTCCCTACAAAGGACTGGAAGCTTCGGAGCACCTGAGAACGGGCGCACAATGAGAAGTGAAACAACTTTTGGGACTGCTGGATCACTTGCACGGTTTAGAAATGGTCACCTTACTTGCACTACGGAAGAAATCTTTACGTTTTTCTGCTCCAGAAAGGTTGCCCACCCACTCTTCTGTGAATAATGGGCCTACATGGCCCCCTGCAATGTGAGGAGGGCAACTTGGAAAGAACTTATTTCCCTCCAAGAAGATGCTCAGTTCATGCTCTAGGTCAGAGGTTGGCAAACTACAGCCTGTGAGCTAAATCCAGCCCACGGGCTGTTTTTGTAAATAAACTTTTATTAGCACACAGTCACGCCCAGTCATTAACATATTGTCTACTACACAGAGCTTCAACAGAGACCACATGGCCTGCGAAGCCTGAGACATTTACTACCTGGGCCATCACAGAAGAAGTTTGCCAACACTTGGTCTGTATCACTGGGCATTTGGTTCATTTGTTTACCCTAACAAATGGTACCCATTTCAGGTAGAATTACAGGCCCTCATGCGGCCACGTGTTTAGCTTCCCCTCCTGTGCCAAAGCTGGCCCCAACTCCACACTCCCAATTCCACCCTTCTCAAAAGTTCTTGCCCCTAAAAGTGTTTCTTTTCCTTCCATTTCTCCTCCCATCAGCATCCAGAGAGAACTTTTTCAAAGAGATGAAGCCAATCCTTCCTCTGCTTAAGTCCCCCGATGGCTTCCCTACAAACAAAATACAATCCAATCCCTTTCCCATAGCCTGCAAGACCCTCTGCAAATTCACGACTACTTCCCTGGTGCATTGTGTGACAGGCACACTGGCTGCCTGCCCGTCACTGGAACAGTCCAAAAGCCCCACCCCAGGGCCTTCCCACTTGCTGCCCTCCTGCCTGGGATGCTCTGCCCCCAGTCCTTCTCCTGGCCTGCTCAGAGCCACCTGCCATTCTATCACATCACTATTTTTTCAGTCTTTGAAAGAATACTGCACACACTCTTAACTTGTTCTTGTTGTTCACTTACCGTTTGTCCTACTAGAATTCCAGCTCCTTCTCTCTGGTTCCCCACTTCTCTCCCTGGCCTGTGCTCATTCTAATGGAAGTGTCAGTTCTGGGCCCCCTAGGCAGCCCTGCCTGCCCTTTACTGTCATATGACTTCATCTCTATAGTGGAGGGGAGCCCAGTGCCACTCTGTAGGTGCTTCTTTCCTAGAATAAGCTTCAGGCCCTAAAGTTGTCTAGCCTTAGGGCTGCCCATGTGATGCTGTCAGCAAAACTAAACATGTTCTTGCCTCTTTTCCTCCCTCAAGTCAAGCCCTTAGAGTTTAGAACAATGAACTTGGCCTATATAAAATACCTCCAGGAAATCAGTCCTCAAACACCAACTCCCAACATCTGCTTTCTGAATATATGGCTTCAAACAGCTAAGTGTACAGTATCTAACTGCTGTCCATCCTTTTGTTTTTTTTAGCCACATGACATCTAAGGAACTTAGAAAATGCCTTGCCCTTTCCTGTAGTTAAATTTGACATAAAATTACTTTATTGGCAGCATATTAACAAACAAAAATCTCCTGTGTTTTTCCCGGTAATTCAGTTTCAGTTTTCCAGGTAAGAAAAAGATAATTTTGAATGACTACAAGGAGACAGACTGTTTTGAGGTTTCTGTTAATAACACATTCAGAGTGTGCCTTCTTCCTCTGTCCCAGTCAGTGGTGCTGTTGACAGAGTGGTACAACAAGAATGAAATATACTGTGGGAACTCACCCTGATCCCAACACCCTCATCAACACCATCACCACCATCACTATTGCTACCAGCACCACCACCTCCACCACCACTACCCTCACCTTCACTACCACCACCCTTTAAATCAACACCATTACCACCATCACCATGGCTACCACCATCCCACCATCCCAATTGCCACCACCACATCCACCACCATTACCACCACCACCATCATCACTACCACCCTTACCTCCGTCATTACCACCTCCATCACCTCTACCATTACCATGATTACTATCGCCATCCCCTCTACCACCACCACCCTACCACTTCTCTCTCTATCTCTCTCTCATGTACACGTACATGGTTATATGACACTTCATGATGCAATCATAGACACTGTCCACATACACACATACAGTGAAATAAGTACATGTTTTTAAATTGTCATTATTTTCAATATAGAACCTACTCTTGTTGCTATGTGCTTTGGGGTGGGGAACATCAACGTGTGTTTATGGCCAAAATTGAATTAGGATTCATAAGAAAGGGCTATATCTCCAAATGCGCACTTTTAAAAAAGTTAAGTTTGGATGAGGGATCTTTCATTTCATAAAAGGATATACTGAGGATTTCCTTTCAGTGACAAATTTTTGCTGCATTTTATTTTGATTTGGTTTACAAAAGTTAGCCTTTCACACAGCTGTTCAGGAGCGCAGCCAATGACTAAAGGCAGATCTGCCTTGAATAGCAAATGCTGCTGAGTAAACCATGTTACAGGCTATTTTAGGACCACCAAGAATGTGTTTGCATTTTCAAGAGTAGAAGGAGAGATCATATTTATTTGGTATCTACACTATGCCACACACTATGCTAATTACATTTCTAAGCTCATGTAATCCTTACAACAAATTTACGAAGGCTTTACTTTCCCCATTTTGTAGGTAAGAAAACAGGCTCACAGAGGGAAAAATGACTTGCCCAAGGTGACCACCAATTAGAGACAAGGTTTAAACAGACCATGAGGGCTCAGGGCCTACCTCAAGCCCTCTAATCACCCTACACTGCTAAGTTCTTCTATTAGAATTTGTTGTGCAGAAGGTTTTCTTCTTCTTCTTCTTCTTTTTTTTTTTTTTGTATAATCAGATTATCCATTTGCCTACAAAGCCTATAGTGTGCAAGGAGTGTGTAGTGGTCCAGTCAGTGTACCCTGGCACTTGAGAGCTCATTAAGGGCCCAGGAGAATCAGCAAATTCTCAGCAGCCAAGCTACCCTAACGTATATCATAGAAACTACAATAGGAGATTTCTTCTCTGAGGTCACTGCTATCTGGCACTATCCTGTGATGTATGGTTTGGAAAACCGTGGGTCAAATACAACCGTCCCTACAGGCAAGTCAAAATATCGTGGCTGAAACTAAAAGTGATTTTTTATCCTCAGTCTAAGTGTGAAGAGCTGAAGTGATCTGCCTTTCCTTTAGCACCCCAGAATTACCTCTGGGTTCATTCGGGGAAGGCTGGCTTACTGCTGAGGTGTCCACACATCTACCACTATACATGCCTGGGGTTCTTGGGGGTTCTGTTACCTGGGCTGAACTCTGGAGTCCTGAGTGCCAAGCTCTTCTCTGCCACTATCTATATGACTTTTAGTAAGCCACCTGCAACTCCTTCACCTCAGTTTACCCATGTGTAAATCAGGGACCCCAAGCAAAGCCCTGCCTACCTCCTAGGATTCTTGTTAGAATCAAAGGCTGATGAATGAGAAAGTACACTGTCCACTGAAAGGGCCTGGGATTTTATAAAGGCCTGTAGTTGGTAACACCAAGACTTGGATCTGAAGGTCTAGAAAAGCACAACATCCTGAGACTCTGTGTGGATCCCTTTAGCCTACTGTGAGTGCTTATGTCATGTCATGAACATGATATACCCCCCATACAGCCCTAAAAAGTCTTTGCTACTAGAAGCCGCATCCTGTATGTGTATAAAAATACAGAACCAACCTCCCAGGTACACACCCGTTGCACAGGCAGTCTCTGCTGAGTCATTGTGCAGACACGTCTCTTGCTGCTTCTGGCCATGTTGTTCCCAGAAATGGCTCTAGAGGGATTTCCCGCATGGCTGAATAGATGGGGAGCATACGAGGAGCTCACCTTTTCAGGGTTCCAGATATACAGCTGGGCCGGAGGGGCTGGGAGGCAGAAGAGTGGGTGCAGCAGAGTAGGCTTGTGGAAGACAAAGCCTTCAGAAAAGTTTCTTGCCCGAGGCAAATGCAGTCCATGCTAGATGGTACATTCCCAGCCAGGAAGAGAGTGCAATGTCCTCTCCAACTCAAATGGCAGTGACCAGTGGGTCTCCCCAAACTCTGCCATAGGACATTAGGGCTTTACCAAGCACTGTCCAGGTTGCAGTTTTAGATGGGAAAGGGCACTTGGCCTTGAGAAGGTACAGAAGCCAACTCCCTGGTCACCGCATTTGTTCATGCTTTTTCCCTTGGCCCTCAGCCTCTGGATGCCATCATTTGGCCTGGAGATAGGAAAAGTGTTGCCTACATCTGCCTCTGGTACTAGCAAAGGGCATGGTACAGTGTGGTGCAGACCAGCAGCAGGAACAGAAAGGTGCTTCTCTAAGGAAGCTGCAGAGATTTCTCTGCCAGTCTGGAGATCAGCTTTGGGTCCCAGCTCTCCCTGCTACTCTTCCATATACCTCCAATGATGCAAGTTTCCAAGAAGACCAAGGCTGTGAAAAACAGTGTGGTGGTTCCTCAAGAAGTTAGTTCAACATAAAATTACACCATGACCTAGCAATTCCACTCCTTGGTATACACCCAAAAGAACCGAAAACAAGTGTTCAACAAAAACTTGTATGCAAATGTTCACAGCAACACTATTCACAATAGCCAAAAGACAGAAACAACCCAAATGTCCATCAGATGAATGGACTGACCAAGTGTGGCACGTCCACACAATGGAATATTATTTGGCCACAAAAGGAACGGAGTACTGAGGCATGCCACAACATGGATGAGCCCAGAAAACATGATGCCGGGTGAAAGAAGCCAGGCACAAAACGCCACATATTGTATGATCCCATTTATATGAAGTATTCAGAATAAGCAAATTCATAGAGACAGAGGGTAGATAAATGTGTTGCCAGGAGCTGGGGGTTTCCATTTGGGATGATGAAAAAGTTCTGGAACTAGATAGTGGTGATAGTTGCACAACATTGTGAATGTCCTAAATGCTACCGAATTGTACACTTTTAAAAAGTTAATTTCATGCTATGTCTATTTTACCTCAATTTAAAAAGAGAGGACCTAGACCATGGGAAGAGTCTTTGGACTGACTCCTTATCCCATGTTCCCTCCAAGTTTCAGCTGCTCTGATGCCAAGACTCTCATGGCATCAGAGCTCACCAGCCTGGCTCTAAATCTACTAAGTGGGGTCGATATCTCTGCAGGCTAAAAGTTGGCACTCAGGAGCTAAAATGTGCTTATTCAATAAGCATGTGACCCCTCTGCTAAGCTACATAGGCATGTTCTGGACATAAATTGTTTTAAATGTGGCCATTGATAGCAGCATCTCTCTTTGGTGTGTCCTAGCAGGAAGAGGTCATAGACAGGATGCCCCTCTAGAAGGTTCTGAACTAATCAGGTGTCTCTGGAATCTTCTCCCACCTACATAGCAGTTGAATTTCTCAAGCAGGGAAATATTCTGCATGGTCTGAAGCTTGTTGCCATTTTATTTAGCCTACTGTTGGGGCACAGAGAGAGGTAAGGTCACCTCTGGCCTAAGCTTCAAAGTTCATCCCTCAAGCCTTCTAAGACCCGGTACCTAATTTTGTTTTAATTTTATATTCTGTTTCATAAAGAGGGCCCCAGATTATAAAAGCTTCAGTCCCAAAACTAGAGACCCAAACACCTCACTATAGGAAAGAAGGCTCTGATTAACCAGCAGCTGTTTTTTTTCTTTCTCTTTATTCTTTCCAGCTCTATTGAGGTATAAGTGACAAATTAAAAATGTATATTTAAGGTATACAGTGTGATGATTTGATATACATATATATTGTGAAATGATTACCACAATCAAGTTAGTCAATGCATCCATCCATAACTTCATCTAGTTATATTTGTTTCTGAACTCATAGAACTGTTTTAAAATCATAGAAACAGTAGAAGGCTGGTTACCAAGAGTTGCAGGGGGTGGGGTGTGAAATGGGGAGATGTCAGTCAATGGGTACAAATTCTCAGTTATAGGATGCATAAATTTGGGCAATCTAATGTACAGCACTGTGGCTATATTTAATAATGCTGTATTGCATATTTGAAATTTACTGTGAGAGCAGATCTTAAATGTTCTTATAGCAACTATTTTTCTATTTGCCCCATTTAAACTACTCTAGTTGGTGTCCTGGCAATGAGGAGGACTGTCACCTTGTTTCCTGACCTTGCCACTGCAATCCAAATGGGGTCTGTTTTTATCATGCCAGGAAAGGAGGGGGAGGCTGCGTGGGTTCAGCAGGGGTGTCTCCTGACTGCGCCTTCCAGGCAGTCTGTCACTGTGTGTTCCCCCAGGAGGCCCTGGACCAAAGGCCTTTTCATCTCAGTACCCCAATTTCTAACCTCATAAGGTTACACTGAAGATGAAAGGAATTGATGTAGTTAACAGGGCTGAAGCAGAGGCTTGGTAACTAGTTGCTCTTGTTATTTCCTCTGCTTGTAGAGGAAGTTGGTATAGTCTCTCTCTCTCTCTCTCTTTCTCTAGCTCTGGCTCTCCTTCAACCATTGCCCTATCATCTGAATGGCACCTTGGCCCATTTCCTCCAAGCCCCACTTCTGCTTGAGGACAGGGCTCTGGAGGCTGACAAACCCAAGTTCACTCCCTGGTTCCACCACTTTTTAGCCAGCCAAATGCCCTTAAGCAAGTGACACTCCCTGTCTTCAACTGGGCACCCTCATCTGTACAATGAGGGTGGGGGTGATCACATTAGTACTGACTTTCTTGAGTCACTGGGAACATTAAGGTAAAGCCTAAAATGCATTTGGAACTGTACCTGTCACTTAGTAAGTATTCCAAAGTCACTCTTGAAGTCTACTTATAAATCAGGTCTCCCTTACTAAAACAAAAGGAAATGGAGAAAGAGAAGAAAGGAGAAAGATGGGAATAAGAAAGGAAGAGAGGGAGGGATGGAGGGAGGGAGGGAGGGAGGAAGGAAGGAAGACAGGCAGGCAAGACTCTTTAATCTTTGCTCCTTGTTCTCTCTAGCCACTCACACTCAAGTTCCAGCCCCCACCAATTTGGAGATGATTCCCTGATAAACCTCTAAACTGCAGGCATCTCTGTTCTTCATTTCTAAGATGAGGATGATAATGGGAATATCTTTCTCATAGAGTTGTGAAGATAACTATGTGAATGCATACAAAGTGCTTAGTACCACAATAGTCATTTGTGTCTTGTGATTCCAGGAGTTTTGGGCAGAGGATTGTGTGCCCTGGTCAGGGTGCCCACAGGCAAGGTTGCCACTGATCTGATGGGGCCAATCCAACAGGCATGGAGCCCAGAAACAGGCTTCCATGTCCAATCCCATGTCCTGCTCTTGGGAAGGCTTTCCCACTCCGAACCACAAAACCACTGGGTTTATCTGGGCCACTCTGATGAAAGTCACATTCCCCTGAACAAAGATCCTCACCACAAGGGCACCTGGGTCATCCTGCTCTGTGAAGCACTGAAAGAGTGAGGCAGAAAATGGAGTGACTACTTCCAGAAATGGAATCACCTCAAGTCATATCAATTCTCTTGGGAAGAGCCCCTTGGGTTTGTATAGTTCTTTAAAGTCTGAGGGACAGTGGAGAGGCAGGTCCCAAGGAGTGCTAATGCAGAAGTAACATACTATGGCAGCCTGGCATGGGTCAGATCATAAGGGGGGCCAGCCAGGGCGTGGAGGCAGGACTGGCAGGGCCTGGCAGTAAGAAGAGATATTGCTACTGCATTCACACAGTCCCAATCAGAAGTCTTAGAGATTATCTGTAGAGAGAGCTGTGGCTACCCCATATAGTACGTGACTTCCACACAGCCCAAACTACCCTAATTAATAATGACCCAGAAGCTGATTGTTTCTAGCTCTCAGATTAGCAGTGGCTCCTTATTGCCCCAGCTTAGCTCTACCAGATGTCCTGTCCCTGAAATGTACCAGTAGCCCCTCTAAAAACCCACTTGGCTCATCAGGGCCCAGTCCAGGGCCCTCCCCACCTATCCCATTCCTAATCCCATCAGCATTAGCGAGAAGCCTGCCACTGCCTCAGGGACCTCGCATCTGGAGACTCAGCCAAGATGGTGGCACCTGTGAGAGGATCCACAGGTAGCCAAGTCCAGGTAGCCAGAGGCCAGGTGGCAATGGGGAAGAGCATAAGTGACCCCTGTCCAATATGCCCTCATCAGCCAAATCTGGGGCCTCAGTTTGGGCTTTGTGGTGTGAAGGTACCACCCGCCAAATGGGCCTGGAGCCACCAGCATAGCTGCCCTCCTTCTCCCTGGGTGGCCCTGGAGGTGCCACACTTGCAGCATTCCTGGGTGGTCCTTCTGTGCATGGGCTGTAGGTGGAGGTGTGGAAAGCTGAAGACAGGGTCAGGCACAGCCCAGGGCAGCCTAGAGATATTTACATCATGATGATGGGATTAGACAGCCCACTCGCTTGTGCGGTATCTGGACGCCACTGGCTTGCAGAGCATTTGGGGGTTACTGCTTGAGAGTGTTTTCCACTGGTCTTGTCACTCCCTAGGTGAAGGAAAGTCTGGCTTTTGTAGGAACTGCCTGGGTCTCTGGTGGAGTATTTCCTTCCTCACCTCTGGATTATTCTGCCTCTTTAGAGCATTCTAGAAAAGGGGTGTTTTCTCGGTTCATTGGCCACACGGCATGGCTGCATCCTGGTGACATTTTCCCAGCATCAGATGGTTGGAGACTGCAATGAGGAGGCTCCACACAATTCATAGCCTTCAGCCAGGCCCCTTGCTGAAGTGCTGCATGGGACGGAGAAGACCAAACCAATTGGAGAGGGACTCGATGGAAGCCACACATGGAGTTTTGTGTTGTTGTCCAGTACTTACTGTGGTTGCCCTGCTCCCATTGACCTGGACGATCCATGTTACCATCTGCCCCTCCTCCCAAAAAAGGGAAGCTTCCTGTTCTTGGAGTTGGCACTAGGAGCCACCCTCAGTGGCTTAAACAGATTTCTTTTAACTATGAGGTAGTGCACTAGATGAACCAGACTACAGGAGATGCCAGCTCTGTAGCCATCATTTCACAATGCAGCCATACCTAAGAGCCTAGGACAGGCCATACCCGGTGGGCGGAGCAGGGATGGGCCACAGCTGGAGGACTGAAAGTGGGATCTCAGCCTCAGTTACAGAGGCACTCCCTGATGGCCAGGCAGCAATCCTGTGGAGGGCTTTGTCATCAGAAAATAGGAGCCCATCATCTCTGGAAGGTTGGAAGCACCATGGTGAGATGGGATGTGTGTCCAAGAGTTAAACTGGTCTGGAGTTCTCTTTTAACACCATCATCACACCCCTTCATTTAATCTATGCTGGACTTTGACCATAAAAAACCAAACTTGAAATTGGGATCCCTGCACCGACTGGTGAGGCACATAGGAGAGGGTTGGTTTGGGTTCCATATGACTGACATAAAGCAGAGCAAATATTGGCTTGGGACCCAAACCAACCCTCTCTTAGGCTTGTTAAGGCCCCATTCAGGATAGTTCCCTGGAGGTGGTTGGAGAGCTGGCAGCCTTTCTGGTGACTGGTGACCTGGTAGTACTCTCTAATAGAATATGTCAATAAGCACAGCTCATTTGACCAGAATTGTAGGCCGCCTTTCTCGATCCAACAGGTGCAGACCTGCTACTCTCAGGATTCACTTTGCTAGTCTCCCGCACTCCACACCGGATCCCACAGTCTATGTTCAAGTAATCCCCTATTTAAATGTCATAGATATATTTGGGGAGGCTCATAATTTGATTCAAGTAACAGTCTGATCTGTGCCTCTCACTGAGCTGGTGCAGGTAATACTTTCTTTAAGAGTGTGTGCAAGTGGCTCTCCTCAGCCTACTCTCACCCCCAGGGAAAGAAGCCCTCGTGGATGGAGGAAGAAGATTTATCTTTTCTCTACAAGAGCAGCCCAGGAAGAAAGCATCAGGTAAGCATAAGCTTACCAAAGCTGGGACCCATTCACTTTACAGTGGGGAAACTGAGGCCCCGAGTGTGAAAGGGACCTACAAGAGGTCACACCACAAGGTCCTTTAAGAGAGGCAGAGCCCAGGGAGAAGTGAGAAGGTTGGGCTTAAATGATCTCTGCCCGGTGGCCCTGGTGGCCTCCAACCTCGGTTCTGCCTCCACTTCTCCCTTTGCCTGTGTGATTTTGGGCTTGTTAGCCAAATTTAGGTGAAATGTAGATTAAGCTTGTGAACCTGGGTCCAGCAGAAGTGGAGTCATCTGGATTGGGACAGGGCCCTCTCCTTTGACCTTTAGCTTCTATTACAGCTACCTCAGGCAGCACCTACTTCCTCTATAGATCAACCTCACCAAATCCATCCAGATGTTTCTCTTCTCCCCACAGTAATCATCTCTATCCCACTAATGACAGAACCTGGGAATGTGTTTGGGGAAGACTGGGTGAGGATTTCTTCCTGTGAAAACAGAGTACAGGCCTCACCAGGCTTAACATGAGTGGGTGTGAGCAGCCCGTCTTGAAGGGCCCAGCAGTTCTGACGGTCTAGGAGTTAGAGGCTAGCTCTCAACAAATGCTTGTTCAATGGCAGAATACCTTGATTCTTCTCAGGAGATGGTACAATACAAATTCTGAGCTCATTAAATTCATATACATCTATAGGTTGAGGATCATCCTTAGAGCTGTCAGTTCTTCCAACTGGCATGTCTACACTACAGAAAAGGAGAAAGTAGTTCTAGAACACTGCCCACCCAGGTTTGCTCATCTCTGCCTTTGTCAGTGCACTTCCAGCCACTCCAGGCTGCTGCTCAGATAGTTCTGGCAGAAGCCTGTTGAAGCCCCAGCCCTCAGGTCAGGGTGGCTAAAGGCTGATGACTGTGGCAGCCTTCAGAGTGGCAGGTGGTGGCAAGCAGCAGGAGGCAGGAGTTTCCAGGCTCAGCCACCAAGACAGCATCCCTGGCTGTCAGGTCAGTGCTGTCAGGTCAGTGCTGTCAGGACTAAGCTGCTTGCCTCCCCCTACTTCCACTCCATCCCCCTATCCTAGTGAATGCATCCTTATTTGTAAGAAAGCAACAGAGGCCCAACACGAAGACACAGGGCCTTGAGAATGATATCAGTAGTGATTACTGCTCCCCAAGTGCTCTCCTCAGTGAGTACAATGGAACCTTTCACTAATGCTGTGAAGCACACATGGTGGGCCAAGTACCCATTTTACAGAAGAAGAAATTGAGCTTCAGGGAGGGGAGTGGCTTGCCCACAGCCACACAACAAACGGAGGAGCTAGGACTTAACTGCAGGTCTTCTCATGTGCATTCCAGGGCCCCTTCCTCCACCGCAGCCTGCATCTGCCTGCATCGAGTGCTGGTTCAGGGCGAATCAGGGACACCAATAAATCCCCGATTTGTAGGTCGAGGTTCTTGCTCCAAACCACCCATTATCAGAGATTTGCTCCTGAGACATAACTGACTCCTCTTGAAGCCAATCAGCATTAGCATTCAGGGTTCCCTGCCATTCCCAACCACCCTGGTATTCTCCAGAGCCTCATGTCTTGCAATTCTGGAAATGCTCAAAATCCTGTTTGTTCTACAGAAAGATCAGTTTCAGTTTGCTGGGACATTCTGCTGAAAATAAACATGTAAATAACACATCCCCAAATACAGGCATTGATACTATACACACGGATATTCCTTTGATCCCATGTGCAAATGCAAACATATTCATTCTGTCTTTCTCTCCTCCTCGCTCTCACTCTCTCTCTTTCTCTCCATCCCCCATCTCTTTGTCTCTTCAAACCCATTCCTGATACATTATTTTCTTATCTATTCTACAGCTACCTCCATCATGCCCCACGACATCTTCATTACTTTCTTCTGAGATAGTCTACTGGGGGCCATCCTTGTCCTCAGAGGGCTTGAAGTCTAATTTAGTTGGCCAACATCAGGTGCCTCAAAATTCATAGGGGGAAAATGTAACAATATTGAATAAAGTTGTTCATGGAGTATGGATGTAAGGGAAGAGACTAGGAGAACTGGCTAGCAAATTGGCCTGAACTGAACTGGTGAGGCACTAGTGAAGAAAGAGCAGACTAAATAAACCACAGGCGATTTTCACCTTTTTGACAATTTTGCCCAGGGCCTACAAGCCCAGTGCCCTCTGGAGGGAAAATAAGTCTCCCTGAGTTTATCTTTCCTGGTTACCTTTGACCTCCTATCTTCTTGCCCAATAGGAACAGTGCATACCCTTTGCTGACCTTTTTATTGGTGTCCATGTTAAACCTCCAACTACAGTGTCCAAAATCAAGCATTTATAACAGCCTGCCAGACTTCTTTGGATAAGTTATATTCTTTACTCTCCTTATGCTCATTTCATGGACTGTATTCGTATAATCTCTACCTTCTCTAAGAAATTTTTCCCCTTTTTTGTCATTCTGGACTAGAACTATAGAAAGGGAAGAGTTGCCATATGTCATTGTTCAGACAGAACCAGAAATAATGTTGACTTCAGAGCTGAACTTGTCTCTATCAGAAGAGAAACCTTTGTTTTCTCATTATCTAGGGGGTGGGGAGGCCATCACATGCCTTGAAATGCATTTTAATGAATGTTTATAAGGTCATGGGGATCACATTGGTGGCTTTGTCTGCCGGATTCTGAAATGGGACTCTGCAGGCATTTATGTATGGAGAGAAAGGAATTCGTTTCTAAAAGATGCCAGGGCACTGTCACTCACTCCCTCCCCCTTCCTCACCACCAAAGGCCGGGCCTGTGAGGGCTCTGGCTGGGAGTTGGGACGTCTGGGGTCCAGTGTCCTTTTAACTAATTGTCTGAAAGCAAATCGAGATATGCTCTGAGGAAATCCTGCCAGTGGCTACTGATTGTCACAGGGAGAGGCCTGAAAGAAGTAGGAGCTGTGGGACAGCTAGGACTAATACCCTGCTGTCATCAAGACCGCAGAGACTGGAGAAAAGCACATGGGTGAAGCAGGGAGATTCATTTAGAAAGGGCTGGGAGCTTGGTTGGGGACCTTCCGCCCCTACCAGGATTCTGGGAGGGGAGGTCATTCCGGAGCAGTGAGCTATCTCCTGCCCTTGATCTAAAATGGTGGCTGTGGGATTTAGTCAGAAACACCCAGTCTGGGCAGGCAAAACCTCAGCGGCATCAGCCACAGGCACAGGTGACCCAGTGAAGGCACGAGTGTGGCACTGGGCACAGGGGAAAGCCCAGCCAACTTCTCGCAGTTGAGATGAGTAACAGATCATGGGACTGTGAAAGAGAAGACACGAAAGCAAGTCTTTATCTAGGGGCAAAATTAACTGGATAATAGATTTCCACGCCTCACTGATGTCTGGTGAAGGCAGACGCTATTACAGCAAGGCTGAGCCTTCCGTGTAAACACAGCCGCCTCTCCTCGGCCTTGTTTAGGGTTGGCTGGTGTTCTTGCTGTTCAGCCAGGGCACTTCAGGCTCACTGTTGAAAGCTCATTCCATGAAATCCAAAACATGGAGCTGCATGGCCTCTGACAAAGTGAGTTCTCACTGAAGTCCATTGAAAAATGAAAGCTCAGAAGAGGCTTGCAGCTTGCCACTCTGCCAAAACAGCAGCCTCTATCGGCACCCCAAACCCCACCCCTGAGAAAAGCCAGGTGAGCCTGCCCCCTTTATTAGGCATCCTTATGAAAGTCAGTGAGTGTACATGCCAGCAGCTGTCCAGCCACAGACTTGGCATAGCAAAAGTGGCATCCGCTCCAGCAGTGGCGGCCTGCTGGGATCTACTTTGTTATTGAGTAGTCAGTTGGTTTCTAGAATTGGAATTGATCAGGGACCATTTGCTTGGGATGCAGTTGATGAGTGCTGGAAAAGGTGTGTGTATACGGGCTCTCATGTAGGAGAGGTGCAGCCTCCTTCCCTTTGCCAGTGGCCCCAGCTGGTACCTTTAGTGTCTGGTGGTCATGCCCTGCCTCCTCCATCCCTGCACCTTACTCCCAGCAGGTTAGTGGCAGACCAACAATTAAGTGAAAGCTCTGGGAGCCCATAGAAGCTGCCAGCAAATTTCAGAGGCTCACGTGGCAGGGATGCCAGACCATTGCCCCTCACAGCCCCTTCCCTCCCTTCCTTTCCCCAACCCCCACCCCCTCCTTGGCCTGCCTGGTTCTGCATTGCTTCGCCATTGTTAAAACTGTCTTGCAGTTCGAGACATCATGGACAGCACTTTGGGCCTGACTGTTGCCAGCTCAGACTCCCTGCAGGGGATCCTTATGTCAAATCCACATGCAATCATCCCTGATTGATCTATTTCATACATTTCTATTTTTAACCTATTGGATTCTTTGGGAGAATGTAGAAGAGACACAATTTCAGTTTGGGACCCAGTGGCTTGTTTGTAGGTTACTCCATAATGGATTGAGTAAATGGCTGAGCTCCCTGTGTGTTGGGTAATTTATGTTCCTTTGTCCATTGATTCGTTCAACTGCCATTTACTGAGCACCTGCTGTGGGCCAAACAGTTAGTGAGCTGCTCCATGGACCAGCTCAGGGACACTATGGGTGCTGTGCCCAGTCAGACTCCTGGGAAAGTGGGCACTGATGACTGCATGGGCCTCAGCCCTCTTATTGTGCCTGCTCTACACCTCTCCAACCCATTCCTGCCTGACCCATGGTATTCAGGCCTCAGATGAGTTTGGTGACAGAGCTGTCCCTTGAAGTGCCCTTGTTCAGATTGTGGGCATCTCAAAAGAAAAGTCAAAGAAGTGTGCAAGTCCTCTCACTCAAGTTGGCAAGCCCCTTCTGTGGGGGCGATGCAGTGTCCTACCAACAACATGGCGAAGGCAGTGGGTCTGGAGGCAGCTGAGTGGTGGTGGAGGGGCCCTGCATCTGACCTGGGCCTTGTTGCCCTCTGGCTGAGCAACTCTGGGTAAGGCCTGCCCCTCTCTGGGTCTCAGAGACCTCTCTGTCTTTAAGAAGGGTATTGGACTCCCAGAACCCTTCCATACCTGCCCTTTATAATGCCGGGTACCAGTTAGTGAGGAGCTATTAGGTGTCATACAATGTGCCCCGTTTCACTTAATAGTCAGAGCACCTTCATGAGAAAAGAACTATAATTACACTCATTTTACACATAAAGAAACTGGGGCTCTGAGAGGTTCAGTGGCAAGGCCAAGGTCAGAGCCCTATGCCACGCTGCCTCCACCCTTGCTCTGGGCCAGTGGTTTTCTGTTGAGAATCAGCCATGGAGCTGTTGGAAAAACTCCCGATGCCTGGGCCACACCCTGGATGAAGCTGTCAGTTTGTGGTGGGAGGGCCCAGGAATGTGGATGTTTCTAAGTGATTCTGATGTGCACCAAGGCCTGAGACATACAGCCCTGGGGATCTGCTTTGATGTTCACTTGGCCATGACAGTCATGCCCCTCATCGTGCTGGCAAGTGGCCCCATGCATGCCTTGAGCTCCTAGTGGGCTACAAGCTCATCAAACCAGAAGAGCCAAACTTAAGGTGACATCAGAGGATGAGCACTGTATGTCCTAGTGAAACTTCCAAAGCTGGAAAGGGGTTATTTGGGGGGTACCGGGTGGGGGAAGCTTTAAAAGAATTCTACCTGTTCACCTATCGGCATTCAGGTGATTTCCAGATCCCTCTCTTCCTTTCCTTATTTTGATCATTCCTGCACATACTCCTTTGCCCCCACTTCCTTTCCCATTTACCTGCTAACATACAGGTCATGGTCATTAACACAACAGCGATGGATGACTGTATGAAGCCATGAAGAGTAGGAAGTCTCACATTGCTAGTGACTTTGCTTTGTTCCCAAAGGCTGTGCTTCTATAAATGATGGGCAGCTCCCCCAAGGTTCAGATCCCAGATTGGGGCCTTTTCTCATTGTTTAATATCTCCCCAACCTGAGGATGCATCTTCAGAGGAAAATTTCTTATTTAGATAACTTTATACTTTTTTAAATTTTTGGATTATGAGTCGTTCTCGTTAAAGACAAACAAGCAGAAATGAAGAGAATAGAAAGGGAATTGCCAGTCATCCCAAATAAATGACCACTCCAAATTGTTGGGTATAGGTTCTTCCAAATTATTTTTGTGTACACATAGCAATGTGTGAGAGTGTGTGTGTGTGTGTGTGTGTGTGTGTAAAAATAAATGGAACAATGAATACGATGCCTACAATGACTGTTCTGAAACTTGTGCTTTCCCAAAAACAGTATTTTAAACAGCTCCCCAAGAAAACACATCCAGATCTACTTCTTTCCTGTAAGGGCTCTGTTGTATTCAATTTTACCACTGCAGCCTGATGCATTTAACCAAGACTAGAAGGCAGCCTAAAAGTTCAATTCTATACTATGGTATTCCTTCGTTAAAATCTATGTGTCTGTAGACAGGAAAGAATTAAAACTATTTAGCTACTTCTAGTTTTCTCTCCAATGCCTGCCTTTGGCAGCATGGTTCATTTAGTGACTTCTGCATAGTTTTGTTGAACTCTCCTTGAAGTGGGCAGATTACCCTTTGCATAACGTTCTATCCCGTTTTAGTATACAGACAACATAATGCCTTATTTGAAATGTAATTAGACAGTTTAGATGAAACATAATAATGAATAAATAAGCACTATGGTTCCAAAGACAGGCTGTATTTTATAGTTTTCACAACTATAAGTCTTTAAACTGAGAGGTCTGTTTTATCATGCACATTTCCTGTTCATTAGCTTTAATGTGCCAAACCTTTATAAAAATTCCTCTCTCTCTCTCTCTCTCTTTCTCTCTGTCTCTCTCTCTCTCTCTCTCTGTGTGTGTGTGTGTGTGTGTGTGTGTGTGTCACCTCTCTTCCCTTCTCCTCTCCTCTCTTCTCCTCTTCTCTTCTCTTCCATTCACAGGGAACTGTTAAGAGGAGACAAGAAGAAGACCACTTCCAGTTTCCAGACATGGCTGATGGGGGCTACCCTAATAAAATTAAGAGGCCTTGCCTTGAAGATGTCACCCTTGCAATGGGCCCAGGTGCTCATCCTAGTACTGCTTGTGCAGAACTGCAGGTCCCTCCATTGACAATAAATCCTAGCCCTGCGGCTATGGGAGTGGCTGGCCAGTCATTACTGCTGGAGAATAACCCTATGAATGGCAACATCATGGGCTCACCATTTGTAGTACCACAGACTACAGAAGTGGGACTGAAAGGGCCCACTGTTCCTTACTATGAGAAAATCAACAGCGTGCCGGCTGTAGACCAGGAGCTTCAAGAGCTGCTAGAGGAGCTCACCAAAATTCAAGACCCTTCTCCAAATGAGCTAGATCTTGAGAAGATACTGGGGACGAAGCCAGAAGAGCCACTGGTTTTAGATCATCCCCAGGCAACCCTAAGCACAACTCCCAAGCCTTCGGTTCAGATGTCACACTTGGAGAGCCTGGCTTCCAGCAAGGAGTTTGCTTCTAGTTGCAGCCAAGTTACTGGCATGTCACTTCAGATCCCATCCTCCTCCACAGGGATCAGCTATTCGATTCCTTCCACCAGTAAGCAGATAGTGTCACCGAGTTCTTCAATGGCACAGTCCAAGAGCCAGGTCCAGGCCATGCTCCCTGTCGCTCTGCCCCCCTTACCAGTGCCTCAGTGGCATCACGCCCACCAGCTGAAGGCGTTGGCAGCCAGCAAGCAGGGGTCTGCTACAAAGCAGCAAGGGCCCACCCCCAGTTGGTCTGGTCTGCCTCCTCCAGGACTCTCTCCACCTTACCGCCCAGTGCCATCACCACACCCACCACCGCTGCCACTGCCACCACCACCACCCCCATTCAGCCCCCAGAGCCTCATGGTGTCCTGCATGTCGTCCAATACCTTGTCGGGTAGCACTCTCCGAGGCTCTCCCAATGCCTTACTGTCAAGCATGACGTCCAGCAGCAATGCTGCCCTGGGGCCCGCCATGCCCTATGCTCCTGAGAAGCTCCCCAGCCCTGCTCTCACTCAACAGCCGCAGTTCGGCCCTCAGAGCTCCATTCTTGCCAACCTCATGTCCTCTACCATCAAAACCCCTCAAGGACACCTGATGTCTGCTCTGCCTGCCAGCAACCCTGGGCCGTCCCCACCCTATCGCCCAGAGAAGCTCTCTAGCCCAGGCTTGCCACAGCAGTCCTTCACCCCACAGTGTTCCCTGATCCGAAGCCTCACTCCCACCAGTAATCTTCTAAGCCAGCAACAGCAGCAGCAGCAGCAGCAGCAGCAAGCAAATGTGATCTTTAAGCCCATAAGCAGCAACTCATCCAAAACCCTGAGCATGATCATGCAGCAGGGGATGGCAAGCTCCAGCCCAGGAGCCACGGAGCCATTTACTTTTGGCAACACCAAGCCCTTGTCCCATTTTGTTTCTGAGCCGGGTCCCCAGAAGATGCCCTCCATGCCTACCACCTCTAGGCAGCCTTCCCTGCTCCACTACCTGCAGCAGCCGACACCAACGCAGGCCTCCTCAGCCACTGCCTCCTCCACGGCCACTGCCACCTTGCAGCTGCAGCAGCAGCAGCAGCAACAGCAGCAGCAGCCTGACCATTCTTCATTCCTTCTGCAGCAGATGATGCAGCAACCCCAGCGTTTTCAGCGATCAGTGGCCTCAGATTCCATGCCTGCTCTGCCCAGACAGGTAAGACAATCTCATATCTGGCTGTGTTCTTTTGTTTTGGAAGTAACAACTGTGTTTCATGTTGCCAATATCTGGCTCTGGAGGGTAAATCCAGGCTATAGTTCTCTCTGAGACTGGAAAAGACTCTGAAAAAGTCTACTGAAGTCAGCTAATCCTGTGTGGTTAAAAGCACAGTGTTAATAAGGCCAAGGTTATGGTTTCAGTGCCTGTTCAAGTCACCTAACTTCCCTAGAAGGAGAGCTGCACCCACAAGGTGCTCCCGGTGGAAGGAGCCAGGTGGGACAAGTCCGAATACAGAAATGCCTTCCCTGCACTGGGCCATGTAGAAAGACTAGTGAATCCTTCTTAAGATGTAAGGAAATTGCACTGAAGCATTTAATCTTATCCCTGCTGGCAGAAGGACAAACACTGAGCCTTCTAGAAATGCCACAGCAAACTTTTGCTGAGCAACCTCAGCATGCCATTTGTCACTGTGCTGGATACTCAGTCAGGTCGTGAAAGGAAAAAGACAGGTATTTGCAAGGTAGTCACTCTCATCATCTCCATTTTACAAATGAAGAAACTGAGGCTCAGAGAGTTGAAAGACTTGCCCAGAGTCACATAGTTCGCAAGGGACAGAGCAGGAACTTGAAGCCAGGTGGTCTCACTCCAGAGCCTGTGCTCTTCTTGAAATTACTTTTGACTTCTCACCCTCCCTCATCTCCTCCAGGCTTTTCAATCATGAAATGCAGCTGATTCCACCTGGGTCGTGTCTATCACAGTTCCCAGTTTTCATTTCTGTGACCCCTGCCTGTATTAGTTATCTGTGGCTGCATAACAAATTACCCCAAGCACCAGCTTCGAACCATATGCATACGTTACCACCACATCCTGATTTCTGGGTGTTAGGAATCCTGGCATGGTTTAACTGAGTCTTCTGGCTGAGTATCTCCTAAGGCTGCAGTCATCTCAAGGCTCAGTGGGGAAGGATCTGCTTCCAAGCCCACTCATGTGGTTGCTGGCAGGAAGCAGTTCCTTGCAGGTTGTTGGACTGAGGCCTCGGTTTCTCATGAGCTATTGGCCAGAGGCCTCCCTCAGTTCCTTGCCACACGGTCTCTTCACAGAGCATCTCACAACATGGCAGCTGGCTTCATCTGAGTGAGCATGAGAGAGTGTGCCAGTGAAGCAGGGTAATGGGGAGAGAGGGAGGAGGGATAGTGCCAGCAAGTCAGAAGTCACAGTCTCTATGACCTGGTCTAGAAAGTAACATCCCACCACTTTTGCTGTATTCTATTCATGAGATGTAAGCCAGAGGAGATTGCATGAGGGTGTAAATACCAGGAGGCAGGGTTCAGTGGGGCCAGGTCACACATGTGCCTACACAGAATACTCAGTCACCATCTACCATCCCTCCTTCCCATTCCTCTCATCCTTGCCCAAGTTCAGGTCCTCTTGATTCTTTATCTGAACTCATACAGTTGACCCTTAACTGGTCTCTCCCAATAAACCATCCATTGCTCTGAGTCGTCTTGCTAAAACAGTGACCTGATCATGTTTTACACTTGCTCAGAAGTCCCCAGAGGCCCATAAGCTGGCCCCACCAGCCTCCTGGGCCCTTCAGCATCCATCAGGCCCTGCCTTGCACTTTGTTTCTATTACCCAGAAGTGCCTGCAGCACTTGGCCCACGCCATCTGGTCTCAGCCTTTACTCTGGCCGTTCCCTGGGCCTGGTCATCCCTTCCCACATTTTCTCTCCTGTCCAACACCTGCAGCTACTTAGGGCTCAGGCACCATCCCTCCAGGAAGCTTTTCCATGACTGTCCTCAGTACTTCCATTTCCCACTGTGCCTCCCTCTTCTGGAGAGTGGTCAAGGAGGAGATTATAAAGTGCTTGGCCAGAGACCTGGCCCAAGGGAAGCACCTGTCAAGGGCTGACCTCTTATTTAAGAGCTCTGTATGAGCACACCTGTGGCAACCCCTAGAGTACAGAGGTTGTGTCTTTTCCATCCAGGTTTCCTGGAGCATAACCATGCAGAGTGCTTGACACCAGGGAGTTGGTCGTTTGATAGACCATGCGGCAAGCAGAGCTCCCATGGGGGTGGCCGGGGGAGCGGTGTGGAGATAGGCAAAGCACATAGGACACGGCAGGCCACCTGGGGCTCGGGCCCTGGTCTGCAGTTCAGGAGCACTTTGGTTTGATTTTATTATAGGGCTGTTGCCATCTGTTTGCATGGACTTCTGCAGCTAGCTCGGTGAAGCCCCAGCATCAACACGGGAACTCTTTCACTAGCAGGCAAGATCCTCAGCCTGGAGACGTGTCACCGTCTAACATTGTGAGCCTTTCTGTTTTGTTTTGTCTTCAATTGGGTACATTTTTGTAGACTGATTGTGTTGTCCCAGAGCTGGATCAGCTGGCTCAGAGGGAGAATTCTTAATTATTGGGGTCATGCAAATCATACCCAACCAATTACCTAGGTGGGGTTGGAGAAAGTGTTCAGGAGAAAGACCGAACAGTCAAGCTCCCTGGGGCTAGGAGCACAATAAAGGGGGCAAGCGACTTTTGCCAGCAGAGGCAAGAAGCTGGGTCCCCAAATTGGAAATGCTATTGCCACCAAGAGCTGCCTTTCCAGCCCATGCTGGCCTGTGCCCAGGGGCCAGGCATGGGACCTGGTGCTTCACCTGCCTCTTCTCATTTTAATCCTCAGAGGCAGGGGCTGTTACCATTCTCCTGAGAGTTGGGGGGAAAGGCACAGAGAAGTGACCGAAGTTGCCCACAGTCACACAGCAAGCTGGGGCCAGAGCAGACAATCTGGCTACAGAGCCCACACTCATACTCCCATGCATGGGGCACTGCCTCTGTAGCCTTCTGTTTCCACTGTCACCTCTTAACTGTTTCCTCCTCTACAAATCAAGGTGATGATAGGTTGTCTGAGGACTAAGTGTGTTAATACATCTAAAGCACTTTGAACAGGGCCTGGCATAAAGTATGTGCTGACAAGGGATTTGCTGTCACGATGACTCTACCTCCTGACCCTGTGCTCCCAGATCTGTTTCATGGGACTAAGATGTGGTTCTAAAAACCAGTAGCTGTGGCAGGACAGACACAAGCCACGCTATCTCCAGACCCTGTACCCACCATGAGATTGATAGGAGTTGTGCAGCCTCTGAGCCTTGTGGGCTCCTTTTGCTCTAGGCCCTGCCTCTCCTGGACAACTCCCAGCCTGATGGGAAAGGGGAAAGGGGAAAGGTCCATCCCTGCTTTGCAGACTGGGGATCTCACTTTGCTCTTTCTTGAGCTCTCCGGCACTCTCACTCCGCTCCTCTCCCTAGCACTCTGTTCTCTACCTGGTATTCTTCCAGGCCTCCAAGCTGGGGGAATCTCAACAGTCCTTCTGTTTCTTCTTATGGCCTCTCCCTATTAACTCTAAGACCTAAGAACTCAGCCCTGGTCATTCTTCCAGGGGAGAGAAAAAAATAAAGAAAAAAGCGAGTGTTTGAGGCAAGAGCTGGGACCGCTGTAGAAGGACAGATGGTGGCCCCAATGGTGGGGAAGAACATATTTCCCACTTCCAGCAGGCTAAGCAAACCTCCCAAGTTTTACTGATGGCCAAGCTGAGCCTCAGGAACACTAATTACCTATGATATGGCATTTACTAGCCTGTTACATTTGCCGTGGACGATAATGGTTACCATGGAAAAACTGGACATTCATTTGAATCTGGATCTTTGAGGTTTTGTGCGGGGGGTGGGGGCTTTTTTGGTTTTTGTCTGTTCATTTCTTTAGAGGCAGGGTCTCACTATATTGCCCAGTCTGGTCTCAAACTCCTGGGCTCAAGTGATCCTCCCACCTCAGCCTCCCAAAGCACTGAGATTACAGGCAGGAACCACCGCACCTGGTCTAGATCTTAGTTTTCTAAAGGAGTTATTTTTAAATGTGAGATGAGACACAAACGCTTGAGTAAGCTGAAAAGCCAAATCCAGCCTTCTATAGAGGAGCTCATTTTTATGTACAGACCAGCATCTCTCTATTTGGAGGATTTTGCTTTACCAGTTGAGTGAACTATTCAATTTCAATGCACCATTCATGTCCACGTAAGGTAAAAGGCAAATGCCACATGACTTTGGGGCAGCTGTTTAGCATGGGAGGTTGAGCAAGCAAGGGCACTGGAGGCAGACAGAACTGAGGCTCAAGTCTGGCTACAGATGCTGACTGATTCAGGTCCCATGAGCAATGTTACTCAACTCCTGAGCCTCAGCTGAAAATGGGGAAAGGAATAGTCCCCTTCACATAGGGCATTGGGAAGGCAAAGGAGATGCTAACCTGAAACTGCTTAGAACGGTGCCCAGCACACACTACAGGCTCAATCAGGGCTAGGGCAGCCTTGTGGGCTTGGACCTGAAACCTCCGGGGCCTGATGAATTTCCAAATTCAGAACATTTGGGACTTTGGGAAGGTAATGTGGTGCAAATACCAAATGTCACACAACCCTCCAGTGTAATCTGAAGCAGTGTTTCATTACTTTTGCAGAGAAATATGAATATTTAAGGAAGTCCAGAGTCAACTTTTGCCCCCACATAAAATTTGGCACCAAATTTACAAAAGTAAAATTGGCTTTCAGAGCTTCTTGGACTTTAAATTACAGATAAGGGATGTGGACCTGGAATTATTAAGGGAGGGATCTTTAACTCTTTATGGAGTTGCAACACCCAGCACTGGTTTGTCAGATTTTAATGACCCCAAATTGCGTCACTGAATTCCCCACCCTCCCTCCAGGCTGGGTGATATATCTTGATGTTTAATCAGACTGAGGCAAAATGAATTTTGTTTGCATCATCTGATGTCCCTTCTCCCTGCAGATTACTGGAGATACCTTGGCGTGTTGCAAAAATCGCGGTTAGGACTTACTTCAGTTTCACTATTCACGACTGCAGAACAGATCTTACATTTACTCAAAGACACAAACAAGTATGTCAAGGAGATGGGAGTTGGACTGTGGAAGACTGGGGATAGCAAGAGGCAGCCTCTGGCCAGAGTGCCCTCAGTGCACGTGCATTTGAGCCCCACTCAGATCTGCAGAGCTGGGAGTGTGGTTTCATGGGGAGGAGGGATGTGGATGGAGGCCAGTTGGAATAAGAACAAAAAAAAGCCTGGAATCTGATCCTTGAGGCAGGCTGTGCAGCACAGAGGGAAGAGGGCAGCTGTGGAGAAATAGACCAAGGAGGCACATGATGTTGTTTTGACAAATATGGAGAGGGTAGAGAAGGGGGAATCAAACCTGCCTTGGAGAAGGCTGGATTAAGCCCCTACTGGGTCTGATATGCTTTCTATCTTAAGGATAAGCTTTAGCTTAGGCAGTCGTGAGCACCAGGCAATTGCAGAGGCAGTGAACTCACCATCTTCCCTTTCTGAGGGGTTGGGCCTATGAAGAGGATCTGGGCAGCTCCCTCTAAAGTGGGGCCTTGGGGAAGCCCCCACTATCCCCACCTGTGGCCTCTCTCACCCCTGGTAGACTGAACCCTCCGAAGTGCAGTACTTCCAGCACCCAGGGCCTGAAGATAGATGGCACAGGGCGGGGGACACAGGGGCCTTACCCTGGGGCCTTGGCAGGGGACAGGCCCTGGGGCTGGGCTCAAGGCCAAGTTCAAGAAAGCTCAGACTTTGGATCACTTGGGTCCAAATCCCAGTTCTGCCACCTTTTCCGCGGGGCAAGCGATTTACCCTCTCCAGGCTTCAGTCTGTAAAATGGAGATTAGCATACCTTTCTCATGGGGCTGCTGTGAGGATTAAATGAGATGAGGTAACAGCGCTTGGCATAGGGCCTGGTACACAATTATGCTCCATTGATATTAGCTGTCACTCTCAGGAAAGTTCCCGAAACCCAGAACACCAGTAACCCAATGGAATGAATTTAGTCAGCCTCGGCTCAGCATCCAGGCTCCTCTCTGACCCCCAGGGGTGGACGGTGACTTGGAGAGAAAGGGCAGGGGAGAGCTCAGTCCCTCTGGGGCTGCGTGCTCACGGACAGTCCCTTAGGGGCGTTAAGGAAGACTTTTGCCAGGTGGCTGAGGAGCAGCCAAGGCAGCAGACACAGGTTGGTGACTCCAGAAGGAAGTAGAGCCGCCAAGCCAGGCTGTGGTTTCCTGAGTGCCCCTGACCGTGGGTAGGGGAGAATGTTGTCTTCTCTTCCCTCTAAGCACGGCCAGCTGAACTTCTAGGAGTTACGTGGATGCTGAATAACAAATGCAACCACAGGACGACTTTAGGTGGGCAGAGAGGAGGGGGAAGGAGGAGCTAAGTTCCACCTGCAGCCAGCGTGGATCTGACCCCACCTGCTTGCAGCAGGCTCAGGGGTGCCTGACATTTCAAGACTCAGGCAGAGGGCTTACTGATACACAGTGACAATGAACAGGGCGGAAAGCGTGTACATGAGTGGCCAGGAAGGAAAGCTGGTCCTGCATAGTCATGGCGCACAGAGCACGCATCCTGAGGGGATACCTCCCCTCTCTCCTCTCGTTTCCGTCCTTCTTCTGCACCACTGACTCTCACTCCTAAAGCCTCCAAAAAGAATCTTTGCAGAAACCCAAGATTCCTTTTGGTTTGAACTTCCAAGGCTACACTAGCCCACTCAGTAGGGCATAACCTTTAATTACTGCTGTCTCAATTAGCTCTGCAAATTAAATTCTTTATATTTGAACCATGACTTTTCATGGAAAACAAAAAGGAACAAACCAGGTTAGTGAGGCCAAGAGAATTTCCGATTCTGATCAAAGTTACATCTGCTCCATTTACAACTAGAGTCAGGAGAGGCAGAGACAGCAAGTGAGCCTTTTCCTAGTCTCAGAATCACTCATTAACATTTTCAAAAAGTAATTATTATATTACTAAAATACATGACCTCCACCCCAAAATCAGATCCACCACATATTTTCAAGGAAGGGCCTGTCACCTTGGACTTACAGGTCTTCTCCCTCACTTCCCTGCATTCCTCTCTCGTTTTGAGAGTAAGGCTTGCGGGAGAGCAATACTGCTGTCTGTGTTCTCAGAGAAATTTTGTCTTTTACTAATTCTGGCGAGAAACATCACAGATTTTATTTCAAAGGTTAGTCCTGCTAAAATGCAAGAACAGAAGCCTCTAGAGGAATCTCTGTGTTGTCCACCAGTCAAATGATAAGTAAGGAAGTGCCTCCACTTGCCAGATAAAGGACTGGGGACCAGGCAGATTTCAAAGAGCCCGTGGGTCAGAGCCGGGGCCTGCCCTGTGCGTATTCTCTGGCAGACAAGGAAATGTTTTCCTGAATGAGCATTCTTATTTTGTATTTAAACATGATGGTACATACAAGCTTAGTTTTACCATTCTTTCTAAATTAAGCTGCAAAGAGCTGTTTGGTTTCGGGAAACTTTTTCTTAGCTGTTTTGTGTGGAACTATGATTAGACACCGTGTAACATGCATTTTGAAAATTCGGGGACCGATATCTCAGTGTTGAAAATGTTTTGTTTTAACCTCTCTAAATTGCCAGGAAATGAAACCACATGGGCTGTTGAATTTGGGAAACACAGGCTTAGAACTTGGTATTAATCTTACCAAGAATCAAAAAAAAGTTTTTTTTTCAGTTTCTTTTTCGGTTTCTAAGGGCCATTAGTGATCCTCCACCTCAAAGCTATTTTTCTTTTTCAAAAAGCGGAAATTTAAAATGAGCTGCTTGTTAAATGCTAACCTTTTAAATGTCAACATTTTTTTTCTATTAAAAGTTAAAGAATAAGTGAGACGACACTTTCAAATGAAGGTGACTTTACATTGTTCCCCTGGAGGAATGAGCCATCAGTTAGTGTGGTCAACCCCAAAACTTACGGGGATGCACAAGGCCGCCTACTTAAGATGCATCAGTAGTAGAGATCAATAGATACAATTTTTTTCATTGCTTAGTAACTGGCTTATGAAAGCTGAAGAGGCAATCATTTTCAGAAACCTCCTGTCAAGTTTTTTGTTTTGTTTTTTGTTTGTTTTGTCTTAACATATCTGAAGAGAAACAAGGAAACTTGCTGAAGTTAGGACACCCAAAATGAGCCCTTTTAAAAATGAAGTGCACAAATTATTTTATGCTAAGTTAATTAAGACAACCTACTTATTTGTCACTGTAAAGCAAGGCAAGGAATCTCATTGCGCTTTTCAAAGAACGTAAGAGGACAGAAATAAATCATTGTGTCGTGCTGCTTTAAGCTGTATCTCCTTATGAATACCTACAAACCCAAAACACAGAACACCATATGGAGCGAGCAGTCCAGTTTTGCGCACACAACAAACATGAAAGAGAAGTGCTGTCGCTCTACTACTACTATGTCCCCAGGTGAAAAGTTCGCAAAATGTAAACAAGATCTAGAGCAGATGAAACTCACGGTAGACTTGCTCCATTCAGCTGTGGCCCTAACACCTACAGCCAGCACTGTCACTGAGTGCAGGAGTGGATGGTGCAGAGCGCCAAGGGGAATCAAAGACGTGACCCTTCCATCCAGGTGAGCAAAGGATGAGTACTCAGAGGGCTGGACTGCACCCTCCCCTCCCCATCCTGTGCTTCTGACTCTCAGATCCACTTCTGACTCTCACTTCCAGCTTCTGACTCTCAGATCCACTCATGGTCCCATATCGTGGATTTATGGAATCCTTTCCCGAGTCTATTTGTACTTTTAGCCTGTTCTGTCCCTTAGGGATTGACAAATCCCACGATCTGGGCCTGCCCTGTAAAACAACTATGTGGGGCCTGACCTGGCTGCTTTTTAGCTTGAAGGGGATAGCAGAGGGTAGAATGCTGGTTACATTTAAAGCACCCTGCTCCCAGATCCAAAAGAAAGTTTCTGCTTTTTCCTAAGGAGTTGAAACAGTCTGGGATTTTATCTGATTTTGTTATTTTGCCTACAATGACAAACACTGCTTTTGTTTGTTTTATCATGTTGTGTTTTTTGCTAGATGAGTGTTTATCATGCCGGCTGCACCCATCCAAAGCAGTAAGGTTGTTGAAAGCCAAAAGCAGCAGAAAGGCCCAAAGAGATCACCCCACCTCACCCACAGGCTCACCTCTGCAGGTGTCTTCAGACAGCTGACTCTTAACTCTCATCTCAGCAACAGTTTCTAAGATAGAGAGTGGAATAAAGAGTCAGCATTCATCCATTTCTTCGATGTTTTCTCCTTTACCCCATGTGAACCAAGTTTCTTGGTAACGTGCAGCTAGGACTCACACAGACGAAAAGCACAGAGCCACAGGCCTTGGCTGGGTTATTGGAGCTAGGTGCACAGGAAAAATAAAAGTGGGTGCTCCAGGACATTATATATATAGTCCTGGGCTAAAGGTGGCCTTCAGGGCCTGAAAGATGGATAGCTGTACCTCACTAGGAATTATCCCACCTCTTGCTTTGCTTGTGGGAGCTTTCAGTTTGCAGCTAAAGGCTCAGGTTCCGGCCAGCTTTTTCCCCTGTAGCATGCTACCAAATCCGGCCATCTTCCAGTTTTGAGCAGAGGAGGTGAGCGTAGCTGTGGAGACACATATTCTTCTGCAGGCCCATGTCGGGGTGGCCCATGAAGAGAATTTGCCAAAGCCAGCTGGCTCAGCAGACCAACAGATGAAGGTGGACTACTCATTTGCAATTGTGATTAATGATCATTTATTTCCATGTGACAAAGCTTTGAACGATGTGGGAGGCCCTCACCCATCCCTGAGTGGGAATAACTGGGAATGATTCCATGACCCTTTCCCTTTATCTGGCAATCCTTTCAAAGATGAGCTCTGGAAAATGTGAACAGACAATGCACTCCACTATAGCTTTCTAGTTTCACATCTTCAAACACCAAAATGTTGACACCCATTGGGATGGTTATTATAAACACATACACACAGAGAGAGAAAATAACAAGTGATGGTGAGGATGTGGAGAAATTGGAACCCTTGTGCATTGTTGGTGGGAATGTGAAATAGTGCAGCCACTGTGGAAAAAAGTACGGCAGTTCCTCAAAAAATTACACAGAGAAATACCGTATGATCCAGTGATTCCACTTCTGGGTATATGCCTAAAAGAATCGAAAGCAAGGCTGGACACAGTGGCTCACACCTGTAATCGCAGCACTTTGAGAAGCCGAGGTGGGAGGATCGCTTGAGGCCAGGAGTTCAATGCCAGCCTGGGCAACATAGTGAGATCCCACCTTTACAAAAAATTACAAAAATTAACCAGGCATGGTGGCGTTGCCTGCAGTTTCAGCTACTCCGGAGGCTGAGGTGGGAGGATTGCTTGAGACCAGGAGGTTGAAGCTGCAGTGAGCTGTGATCACTGCCCTGCACTCCAGCCTGGGTGACATAGAGAGACCCCATCTCAAAAAATAAAAAAAAAGAAAGAAAGAAAGAGAGAAAGAAAGAAAGAAAAAGAAAGAGAGAAAGAAAGAAAGAAAGAGAGACAGAGACAGAGACAGAGAAAGTAAGAAAGAAAGAAAAAAGAAAGAAAGAAAGAAAAAAGAAAGAAAGAAAGAAAGAAAGAAAGAAAGAAAGAAAGAAAGAAAGAAAGAAAGAAAGAAAGAAAGAATTGAAAGCAGGGGCTCAACCAGTTATCTGTTCATAGCAGTTTTGTTCACAATAGTCAAAAGAGAGAGACAACCCAAATGTCCATCAGCTGGTAAATAAATTAAAAAAATGCAGCATGCCCATACAATAGAATATTATTCAGCCTTAAAAAGGAAGGAAATTCTGACATGTGCTATAACATGGATGATCACTGAAGGCATTAAGCTAAGTGAAACAAGCCAGCCACCAAAGGACAAATATTGTATCATTCCACTCATGTGAGGTCCCTAGAGTAGTCCAATTCATGGAGAAAGGCAGATAGAACTGTGAGTGACAGGGGCTAGGGGAGGGAGGAAATTAGGAGTGCATGTTTAATGGGGACAGAGTTTCAGTACAGGAAAATGAAAAAGTTCTGGAGATGGATGGTGGTGATAGTTGCACAACACTGTGAGTGCACTTAATGCCACTGAATTGCACACTTAAAAATTGTTAAAATGGTACATTTTATACATATTTTTACCACAATGAAAAAGTAAAGGCTGCAATTTTAAAACACTTGCTAGTCCTCTCCTAATCAAAAGCAGTCTTTTCTTTTGCAATAATATTAGTGTACAATCTAAAAGAAGCAGCAAGCTGAACTGCTCATTTTCCATCCCTGGTAAGAGCAGTATTTACTGCACATCCACTCATCATGTTGTATGGGCCATCTGGGTTTTTTGTATGTCTTACTGAGGTGCATGTTTGTTAAATGCACAGGCATAACCAGAAATAACTTTCCTGGAAAATTGAGCATAATGGCTGTCCCTCTCTTGACATTTTGGAGAAATGATAATACGTAGGTGGGGGAAACAAAGAAGTGACTGTAAACAAGAACGGACATTATCTCTGCTTCTGAATGAGATGAGAAACCCACTTGCTTCATTAGCTCTCTGGTATATCTGCAAGTCTGGAAACACCGGGATGACTCACAGTTTGCTGAGTAATACAGGAGCCGACAGAATGCTGCTAGTGACTCGCCATCTCTGACTGGCTTTCTGTGCAAACTGTCACTCTAGAGCAAGTGCTAGGCCTTGGAATAGAGTTCTGAAAAAGGTTACGGTTCTCAACTACAGGGAGAACCAGCTCCTAAGGCCTTGACACTGGTACACAAAGTAGGACACCTCTGACCAATGCCAAAATGACTTTTAGAAAGTTCACACCTGGTCATTGTGTCCCTGCTCATGCTCCAGCTCACAAGATCTCTGGTTTCTGCCTTTCAGGGTGTGGTGATGTCCACTTCTTCATCAGAGTTCTTTGTGACTTGTCTGCTTCTCCACTTGGTAGTAAACTCCTCAGGCATAGGAAGACGTCTTCGCTAGCTCTGTAATGTAAGCTGAATGATCCTTGGAATGAATGAGTAGAATATAGAGGGGAATGAACCAATGAATGAGCTGTATCTGCTAGCCATTGCGGAATGCTAAGTTTTGGAAACTGTTTTGAGCATTTTAGAGGAAGTATTGATAGACACTCTCAGTCTTCAAGGCTTGGAGGCCGATGAACCCATATTCTTGCACTGGGCAGAAAGGAGAACTTTGCATCTGCATGTAGGGCCCATTTACCCACTGACCATGATGCATTTCTCTGGTCCAGTTAAGCTCCTTATCCTTCTATAGCACTTGTGCAATGTCTGAAAACATGTGATTTCTTCAACTTCCAACAAGTACACAATTTTATACCGCCAGTGGTAATTTGTCCTGGTGGTTCTGTTGTTTCTGCTGTTGTTGTTGTTGTCGTCATTTAATGCAATTTACAAGGACAAAACAAAACTTCTGGCTGCCATTTCACATACCACAGTGACAGCTTCACATGGTAAGAAAAGCCAAAAACAGCTAGTTTCGAAATTCAGGCCACTCATTTTATTACTTTTCCCTGATTAAGATTCATTCATACCACTTTGGGGTGGTGCTGATATTCCTAACATAAGCCAATCGATTTTGGTCAGTTCTGAGAGCAGTGAGTGGTCTTCACTTACACACAGTGTGTTTGTAACTCTGCTATTTCTTTATGACTAGCACAGTATAAAGTGAACGTTTTTGGAAGGCTGTTAAGCATATGTTCTCCTGGTAGGCTTAAATGTGACTTATAAAAATACTTGATAGTATATGAACAAGCTCCCACTACTGGTTTAAACCAAAAAAAAGAGGTTTATTTTACTAGTTCATAAGCACAGATTCTACATTCTTTGTGAGAATTATCTTTTTAGGTTTTTGTTTTTATTTGTTCTTATCATTTTGATAGCCATTTTAATCATTTCTTTTATTCTTTTGTTTGCTTTGTTGACTTTTAATTTGGAAATGTCTGCTTTGGCAGAATAATTACATCACAAGGAGGCCCTTTCCCCACCCACCTACCCAGAAAGGTCTCCTGACTCCCTTATGCTCTATGAATTGCCCTAGTTCAAGATTGATACAGATCAAAGCAGCAGAATGGGGTTGAAAGAGCAGCCTCTGGCAATGGCCTTGACCATGTCAATTCCCTGTGCATTCATATAGATCTGGAATCATGTAGATCTATTCTGCCCAGCTTGTTCCACAGCAGCTGGTGGGCAGAACCACTCTTCCAAGCCGTGTAGTTATTCTGCACTGCAAGAGGCAAGATTACAACCGAGGACTCATTCATTAATAAAATTGTTTAAGTTGGCTTTCTGAATGACAACGTGGTCTCAGGAACTTAAAAGACTTCACCAAGTCCCTGCTGCAAACAAAAAGTCTGCATTGTGATTTGTCAGAGCTAGATTGACATCCAGTTTAGAGTTTAGAATCCTTCTCCATGCCCCACTTTTGAGACAAATTACAAATCTTGAGGTTCATCAACATTCTAGTACAATATGACCCCCCAAGGTTTAAGAGCCCTTTAGAGATTTGAAGACAACTGTGATGTTCCCACTAACTCTCCCTCCTTCCCCCAGTTCTTTGCCCCTATCTTGGCTGCTGGCCTCTGAACTCATCACAGAGCACTGGAGTGAGGGCCTCTGGGTAAGTAAGGCTCTGCTAAACTGATCAAATGCTCCACGTACATTTGTCCCAGTAGAGAGGAAAGCTCCTCTTTTCCAAACAATCTACTTTATTCCTGCTCCCCTACATCCCACTTGCAAGGGTAGCAGCCACATCCCCCATCTGTCCTGCCCGAGCTCATTGTCCAAGCCAACTCCAGCTCAGAAATTTCCCCCAGAGAAGAGGTTCCTGAAGGCTAAGCATTGCTCTGTAACCCTGAACTTGATTTATGTCTATTTCTCACTCTCTCATTATATAAAGTTTTTCAAATAATATTAGACTAGGAATTGAGAAAGAGAATGAGCTCTCACAATTGTTTCTAGAGCCATCACAATCCTACCCAGCAACACCTTTTACGGGCTTTTAATTTTTTTGTTTACAGTTATTACCTTTGAAACCAAATCTTGACTTTCTGGTATGCTCTTGGACTTTTTAAGGGATTTAAAAATTCAGGAGTTTGATGCCAATAATTGCTTTTATGAGCTAGCATTGCTTCTTTTCTATAGATGAATCCCATTTTAAATCATCAATTATTTTCTTCACAGAAACCCACAAAGTACATATTCTAGTTTGCATCAGAATTGAATATGACCCAGAAATTCTTAATGTTATTAAGCTAGACTATTGTATCTAAAATGTGTATCACATTCAACTAATGCATATTGAAGATCTTGAGTACCACACTTGAGATCTGAATGAAGAGCCCAGGATTGTGATATTTGATCCATACTGAATGTATTTGCTAGAGTGCATTGTACAGATGGTTCAGGTGTGTTAGATTTGTCTCTGTAAATGAATTGGTCAGTAGATAAAAGAACATGACTCAAGGCTGAGCAGGGTTCAGCAGGCCCCAAGCTTCATCATTAAAAATCGGGTGTTTTTTAATATGAGGCTGGCTGTGTAAAGCAGACCTCATGAACTCAGGGGTCTGAGAGGCCAGGCCAGATTATCAGTTGGGATGTTTTCAGTCCCAATTAGCAGACAGCGCAGTTCACACTGGCTTAAACAATAAAGGGGACTTACTGATTCCTGAAAGTTAAAGTCCAGCGGTTGGGTGGACTTCAGGGTTGGTTTGAATCAACAGTTCCTCAGTGTCATCAAAGATGCTGTTTCTTTCTGGCTGTCTACTCTGCCTTCAGTGGCATGAGCCTCATCCTAAGGCTGGCTCCCCCTTGTGGGCACAAGATAGTGCCAGCAACTCCAGAGGCTACAAATTTCCTCCTGCCCCATTCAGAGAGCAGGAGAATGGCTTCTAGAATCTCTGTCAGAAGAGCCAGGAAGCTTCTTTCCCAGAAGCCCCCCCAGATTTCATGCTTTTTAGTCTGAATGGATCCAACGCCTACTAGCCTACTGTGCTGCTTCATGTCAGCTGTGTCCCCCGCTAGAACCTTGTGTGGAGCCAGGTTCCTCCTAAGCACAGAGGTGGTATGGGCCAAACGAAGCTGCCTAAATGAAAATGGGGAAAGGTGTCAAGAGAAGGAAGACTTAGTGCTGGCAACCAACAGTATTTGTTGCAATCAATCTCTTGGCCATCCTCATTCATACACACCTTCCTTCCCACGCATACACCTCCCAAAATGCCCACACTTAGGGAAAACCTATTTACCCCTTTCCCAAAGGGATCCAACTCCAATCCGGAAACCCTAGGTGATGTGTCATCCTCTGAATTTGGTCAGTATATAGCTCTTCATGTTTCAGGGACCACTGGTCACCATGCTCACCTTGGCATAGAAAGTAAGAGTGCAATAAAAAGAAAAAAAAATTTCAATTGGGAAAGAGGAAGTTGGAAAGCAGCACACGGTGGTCACTGATCCATCATCCATATCACATCCTGCTGGACAGCAGTAGCAAGGCTTGACCAGGGGTCAGACTCAGTTTCCTATTCTGTATAATGAGAGGATTGGATTAAATTAGTGGTTCTCACATTGGAATGTGGCCTGGAGAGCTTGTTAAAATGCAGATTACTGGGTTCCATCCCCAGAGTTTCTGACTCCACAGATACAGGTGGGGCCCTGGAATTTGCATTTGTAATAGATTTCCAGGGGCTGCTGCTGCTGCTGCTGCTGCTAGTACAAGGACACCCCTGCCCTTCCACTTTGAGAACCTCTGATTTAGATTATCCTTATGGGCCCTTCTGATTCTGACATTTAGGACTCAGGGATTTTTCTTAGCTATCTCTTCTGCTCTATACTGACTTATGATGGATTGTTTTATAAATGGGACACACCCAACTCTACTGTGTGAACAACTTAAAAACATATCATGGAATTCCTGCTTTGGTTTGTAATCTAATTTTCAACAATTGAGGCTGAAAATGAAGGACACCTTACAGCTTCAGGAAAGTAAATTTTCTGGAATTGAAGAAATTAGAAACAGAAAGATAAAGGCTTTCCCATCCTCCCCAACCCCATCTACTACAGCACAGCGGTCTGTGGGATGATTCCACGTGACTGCAGAAAGCAGCTCTTTTCCCAAGGACATCCAACATTTTGCAAGCATTCTCCCTATGTGACCCGGGTATTCATTGGGTCTTAGAATAGGAGTAGCACTGGGTGAAGCTGTGACATAGATCAAGTTGGTTTAGGAATTTTGCCAACTTTCTTCCCCAGGGCCCCTCACCTGGCCAACATCTATTCATCCTCAGGTCACAGCTTAAACCTCATGTCCTCCAAGGAGCCTCCTCTAACCAACGCCCCACCCCAGCCTAAGTCAGGTTCTCCTGTTCTTTGTTCTCTAGTGTCCTACAATGTTCCTTTATAGCACTTACCAGCCTTTGTTAAAAATCCTCACTGACGTGCTCCACCATCTGCCTTGTCCATCAATGTTTTCACAACACAGGTCCTGGATCACTGTAAATGCTCAGTAAATGTGTGTTGCACAAGTGCTATCAAAGGCAGACTGGGAGCAGATTCCAGTCACAGTATTTTATTACAGTGGTGAACTATCAAGCAATCTATATAACACATCCCACAGTGTATGATTATGCATGCTCCAAAGGAATGAAACATAAGTCTTCAGAAGACACAAACACACAGCTGGAGAGTCCCAGTGTCCCTGGCATCTACAGCCAACTTTTTCATGGCCCTCCCCCTTCTCTCTGGGAAGCTGGTGCCTTCCAGTGCCCAAGGTATCTCTCTACCAGGCACCCTGGGCATTGGCCCAGCTCCCTCTTCCCCCATGCCCATTTGGGTTGTTGATTGACACTTAGGTGAAGACAATAGAAGACCCTCCAGCTTACAGAGTGCCCAACTCAGCAGGGCCTGGAGAGCTAATCTGGGTCAACACCACATTTTTCCCCTGAGAAAGTGGGAGTCCAGCAAGGCTGTAAAATGATGAGCTCCAAATAACAGCCTGAGTCTCCTGACTTCTGGCTGCATCTTGAATGCATCTGCAGGCAGCTTCAAATGTGAGAATAAGATATGAACTTATGACACTCTATAGTTTATCACCATTGCTATAATTCTCTGCCACTAAATATAATTTTACCATTAAATCAAACCAAACCAAACACTTAAAATAATTTCTTTAGAGAAGCCAGATTATTTATTACAAATAACGTCTACAAACTGACTAAAAGTATATCCCACATATATTGAATTTGAAGACTGTGCCTAAGTTTAAGGTAATTGATGGATTCCATTCTCATTAGATATTCACACATCAAAAAAGTTGTCTGCTTTCCCAGGCACAGTGGTAGGTTATGCTTATGCTCATCGTTTTTCTTCCCAGAGCTGGCTCTTCCTTTGAAACAGACCCATATAAGCCACCCATTTGCTGGGTCGCAAGCCCTTCATGAGGGAGAGAGAAGTATGGTGGGACACCAGCACCTTCTCTACAGAAACGAGCAGCATGTTTGCTAAGGGCTGCTGGACTTTGGCAGGTAGAGACCATCAGAGGACTCAACTGAATCCCCTTTTATCAGGAACCCTAGGAGAGTAGAGTTGTCAGGAGTTTCCCCATGACTTACATTGTCTTTTTTAAAACAACCAATTCATGACTGAGGTGAAGAAGGAAAATAACAGAAAAATATATCTAGCCCAAGAAATCTACAGAATAACAATAAAACTCAGGCAGAAATGAACCCACTGATCTGTGAGCCAAGTGCTTAAGGGAGGGGTTGGGGCACTTCTCATGTGGCTCACTGTCTTAGTCAGTTCAGGCTGCTATGACAAAATACCATAGGCTGGGTGGCTTAGAGACAATGGAAATGCATTATGCATAGTTCTGGAGGCTGGGAACTTCAAGATCAAGACACTGGCAGATTCAGTGTCTGGTGAGAGCTCTCTTCCTGATTAGTAGATGGTGCCTTCTTGCTGCATTCTCATGTGATGGAAGAGTCAAGGTAGCTTCCTTGGGCTTCTTCTTATAAGGGCACTAATCTCATTCAGGAGAGCTCCACCCCATCATCTAATCACCTCCTCAAGGTCTTGCCTCCTAATGACATCATATTGTGGGTTAGGTTTCAACATATGAATTTGGGGGGACACAAATACTAGGTAGGTGCAAAAGTAATTGCGGTTTTTACCATTAAAAGTAATGGCAAAAACCGCAATTACTTTTGCACCAGCCTAATATTATACCACAGCTCTCTCTGTGGTTGTTCACTGGGGCAGTGGGGGTGTGGCAGAGGGGTGAGGGAAAAAGGGTTCCCTCGATGTTTGTGGTAGAAAGAAGAGCTAGGTAACCAAGTACTCCTTTTTGTCTGCTTAGGTCTGCCAAAAGTCAGGCACCCGTATCGGGTTAGACATTCAAGGAATGTACTGGGGGAAATGCCTGTGAAAGATAAACAGGGAAGAGCAAGAGAAGGTGGGGAGAGACTCAGACCACAATGCAGGTGGTCTGTGACAATTGGGGCGAGAAAGAGGATTGGGTAAGAAGAGTCTCAGACAGTAGCACAGTTCAGGAAAAGTTCAACCAGGCCAATAGAGAGTCCTTGAGCCAAAGTCACCTACTGGAGGAGTCCTGCTCCTCACAGAAATGGGCCTGCATTACTATGCTCACCATGTTCAGTCATTGGCCGGGAGTACAGCCCAGGCCAAGTGCAGCAAAAATGATGGATCTAAGGGGGAGGCTGCTGGAGGCAATTATGTTTCCCATGGCAGGAGATGTCAGCAGCCACTGGTATGGTCACCACATCCTTCCATTGGTAGTTGTGGGTGGGAAGGCAGAGTCCCTGGCAGGCAGTAGACAGCTACAGGAACAGAAACTGGTGGTAGAATTAGACTGACTACTTTGGATAACAAAGCCAAGGCTGGCTTGACTGGCTGATAGCTAGACTATTTCTTTGTTACTTTGTCACTCAGTGTTTAGATTGTTGTTTTTCCCCCTTTCCATTGTTTGTCAAATTCCCCATCTGAACCCAGGTCTGGAAAAATAAAACCCTATGCATTTGGAAGAACTTTAAAATGAATTAGCTTTTAGGCTTTAGTTGCCATCATAAGCATCTAGAGATATTCAGGCCTCGGAGTTGGGGCAGACTGGAGAAACTAAGGTTATTTGAGAAATAAGCACACTGAATATTTGGCTTCCTAATTATTCTACAAGGAGTCTAAGTTTTGCCTGCCTTGTGCCTATGAATCACTATTTCTTAATTTTCTTAGTTTCACAGAATCAGAGGACATGAATACTGAAAGATATTGGAGGTTGTCTAGTTCGACTACATCATTGTAGGGAAACTGTGGCCATAAAAGGGGAAGGTACACCAATATTCCTTATGAATCAAGACATAAAAATCTTCAACAAAATACTAGCAAACTCAACCCAGCAACATTTGTATAAAGGATTATACACCATGACCAAGTGAGATTTATCCCTGGAATACAAGGCTGGTTCAGTCTATGAAAAGCAATCAATGTAACACACTATATTAACAGAGTAAAGGACAAAAAATGCATGATCATCTCAATAGATGTAAAAAGGAAAGGGACTTTCTCAAGTTCACACGGCTAATGGCAAAGCTGAGATTAAAACTCAGGTCATCTGACTTGTAGGCCAGAGTTCTTTATACTGGTGAGGGTAGGGGTGGAGGGCTGAACCGGACCTTGCAAGACTGTCCACTGCACTGAATCCTGTACTGAGGGATTTCTGTTTGTTTTTTCATCCTGTCCTCACAACACCCCCAAGCAGTGGGCTCCGTTGTTATTCCCCCTCCTTTTGCATGAGGAAACTGAGGCTTAGAGAGGTAACACTGGTTGTCTGAGGTCATACAGCTGCCAAGTATATGAGGAGCTAAGCCTAGATTTCAGGTCTCCTGCCTTGTCTCTGATATTTTCCAGTGCCCGCCACTGCTCTCCTCACTCAACAGTGCCACAGGATTAACCTGGTTCCATTGGTTCTCAGATCACCTACTGCCAAGCACAGTGGATGGGCTTTTTGTTGTAAGTGGATGGGAGTGCCCTCCAAATTCTCTGGAAGAATAGCCTCCTCTCCTGTGCCAGTGTGTGACAATTCTCAGAGCCCCAGCTGTTGACCTCACTGTAATCTGGGCTAAGTGGCCATTTATATACACTAATGACTAGAAGGTCTTTTCAAGGAATGGAGGACCACAAAGAAGCAGGCAGCTCTGGGGAAGCCAGAAGCTGAATGGCTGGGAGGTGGGGCAGGGGCAGGGGACAGTGGGGATAAGATAGAAACAAGGCTGTTCTTTGCTCCTTGAGAAGCTGGGTAACAAGCTGGCTTGGCTTCTGGTGGAGTCTGGCCCAGTGATAGCTCTTGCCTCCTGATGGGACAAAAAAGGGGAGACAGGCATCTCAGAGAATGAGGTGGAGAGAGACACAACTGGGCCAGGACCCAGAAAAGAGAGTTACCTTTTTCGTCTCAGACCTGGGCATCCCAGATGGAACCGTGCTGAGCTTCTGGTTAGTCTAGCTTCCTCCAGGTGTGCAACACAGGGGTCCTGCTAGGGAGCCTTCCCAGTTGAGATTAAGGAGGTTGCTTTCAAAATGGCCAGCTGCCCAAGATTGCACCTCTGTCACTGTTGAGGACAGTGGGGGTAAACATGCCTGATGTTCTGCCCTGGAAGGGCTCCAGAGCCTTTGGATTGAAGCCACAAAGGAGGCCTGGCATTTGGCTACCATTCCTTCATCTGGTTCACTATCAAGGATCCCTCATCTCACCCATTCTGCTCCCCCGTTCTAATGTGGGCTTCCATAAGCCTCTGTCCCATCTTCCAAAATGCAGTCTGGAGAGCGAGGCACCAAGGCTGCAGGCCATTTGCAGGGCACAGCCCTGGAGGCTAAAGTGGAGGTGCAGTGGCTTTCCTAACACTGGTCTGCATGTTGAACTCAGAAATACACGGTACCCTTTTCAGCAAGAATCAAAGCAAGGTTGAAACAGGCCAGCAACGTATGGGACACTTTCTTCTCTTCCCTTTCGTGAAATTTGCTTCTTGTATAGATCTGTTTTCACCAGGAAATGAATCAAAGCCGCATACTCTGCCTTCCATCCTTCTCTTCTCTTCTCTCTTCAGGTCTTTCAGACCAGGGAAAGTGGCTGCCTTTGGGATAGTCACAACAAGGTGCCCTGGACTGAAAATTGAGAGTGATGAGTTACACTCTGCCCTGGCTTGGGGCAAGGCCCTTTCCTGCCATGAGTTTCAGTGTCCCCACCTACCAAGTGGGGAGTTGGTGTCAGACAATGTTTCTTAGTGGGTGGCATTCCAGGAGTCCACACACAAAGGCTAAGTCCCTGCAAAACAGTGCAGATAGATGCTTTCTGTAGGTCTTGCTGACTCTCATACTCTCTGTCTTTAACTCGCTTGGCAATTCTTGAGCAAACCATTGGGCCTCTTCATCTACAGAGAATGATGACCTGACTAGGTGATCTCTCATTTCTCCTCAAGTTACAAAAGCGTTAGGGTGGTAAGGAGAGGAGGTGGCCCCAGGAAAACCAGATGGGTCAGAAGAAGACAGAAGGTGGAGCCTTCAGTGACAGGAGAGCAGAGAATGATGTCCCCCTCCCATAAATGTAGGGAAGGAAGGATACCAGAAAGGTTACCATGAAAGAGAGGAGTAATAGGAAAGTACAGGTCATTTGTAGTTGAAATACATACTTGAGTGTCTGTGTGGACCAAATCTGGGGTGGGAAGGCAGGCTTCAAATCCTGAACCTCGGAAGGGTCGGCATTCCTGACAAGAGCTCAGAGAGCCAACACCAGACAAACTCTAAGTCCCCTGAAGAGAGTGTGCTGAGCTAGGTACTTGCAGCCTTGAACCCACCCTAATCCCCTCTGCCTGGAGCACGTCCAGAAGGAGCGTGGTTTGCTGCAGAAAAGACAAGTCAGTTAGACCAAAATTCCAAAGCAACTTTTTAAGCCTATAAATGATGATGATTTTATATAAACTTGAGTTGTTCCTTCAACATAGCACCATATTTTCTACTTATGTGATTCTGGTTTTCTCTAAAGGAAATCTTTTTTTGGAATCCACACCATACATACGGAAGAGTATATAAAACATATAATAATAAAACCAACAGTCATGTACCCACCAACCAGGTTCAGAAATAGAACATTCAGAATGTTTTAGAAGCCCCTTGTGTGCCCCTCCCTCTTCCCAGAGATAACAACTATCCTGGCTTCCAAGAGCCAACCCTAGAAATAGACCCTAGGCTCTGGCAAGCTTTGTGCTCATCCTAGTGAGATCATGCACGTCACCAATCTCTTTAGGTAGTATTCTGTGCGGATTTCCACAGATGGCTCATCTGTTTTGTGTTGATCCTTATTAGTTTCAATTTTGTCTTTTTAAATATATTTTATGACTTTCTGATTATAAGAGTAATATGTGCTCTTTGTAGTAAACTTGGAAAATGCAGAAAAGTGGAGAGAAAACACAAACCTCATGGCATAATACAATATATAAACATTTAATATATAAATAATCCAGAAACAACTACTGTGTGAACACATTGGAGTGCAGTATTTCAGTCATTTTTTTTTCTATGTAGAAATATATGTTTCACATTACTGGTATCAAGTTGTGTATATACCTTTTCCCTTTATTGTGGAATATAACATTGATGCAGAAAAGTGTGCAAGGCCTATATGTACAGTTTAATAAGGAAGTAAAAAATGGGCCGGGCACGGTGGCTCAAGCCTGTAATCCCAGCACTTTGGGAGGCCAAGGAGGGCGGATCACGAGATCAGAAGTTCGAGACCAGCCTGGCCAAGATGGTGAAACCCAGTCTCTACTAAAAATACAAAAATTAGCTGGTCGTGGTGGTGCCTGCCTGTAATCCCAGCTACTGGGGAGGCTGAGGCAGGAGAACAGCTTGAACCCAGGAGGCGGAGGTTGCAGTGAGCCGAGATCATACCACTGCACTCCAGCCTGGGAGACAGAGCAAGACTCCGTCTCAAAAACAAACAAACAAAAAGAAGTAAAAAATTAAAACCTGCTGTCAACACTGATCAGGTCAAGAAATAGAATATTGACAACCCCCAAGTAGATCCTCATGTGACCTTCCTGATCCAAGATAATTATTCTGCTTTTCTACATAGCTTCATCACTTATTAATAGACTTAAACTTGTAATTGCTTCATTTTCAAAACCTTAGTGGCGGGGCCGGGTACGGTGGCTTACACCTGTAATCCCAGCACTTTGGGAGGCTGAGGCAGGCAGATCGCTTGAGCCCAGAGTTTGAGACCAACCTGGGCAACATGGGGAAACCCTGTCTCTACTAAAAACGCAAAAATTAGCTGGGAGTGGTGGTACAAGCCTGTAGTCCCAGCTACCTGGGAAGCTGAGGTGGCAGGATCACCTGAGCCCGCCAGGGAGGTGGAGGTTTCAGTGAGCCGTGATTGCACTACTGCACTCCAGCCTGGGTGACCAGAGTGATACCCTGCCTCAATACAAAACAAACAAACAAACAAACAAACAAAAACCTTGGCCGGGTGTGGTGGCTCACACCTGTAATCCCAGCACTTTGGGAGACCAAGGTAGGCAGATCACCTGAGGTCAGGAGTTCAAGACCAGCCTGGCCAACATGGCGAAATCCTGTCTCTACTAAAAATACAAAAATTAGCCAGGCATGGTGGCATGTGCCTGTAATCCTAGCTACTCAGGAGGCTGAGGCAGGAGAATCCCTTCAACCTAGGAGGTGAAGGTTGTGGTGAGCTGAGATTGTGCCACTACACTCCAGCCTGGGCGACAGAGTGAGATTCCGTCTCAAAACAAACAAACAAACAAACAAACAAACAACAGCAACAGCAAAAAACCTTAGTGGAAGACACAATCTAAGCATTTAAGGGAAGAGTCCCAGGCCATTAGTAGATGAAGGCTTTCAGAAGAAGAGAGGTTGACCTGTCCTGGTCATTATCTGCCTTCAGCTTCCCGGGAATGTGTAGAGCCCACCACCATCAGGACACTAGCAGAGTTGTGGACATGGTATTGGATATGCAGAAGAAATATGGCCAAAGAGATTGGACTGCCCTCTGTGTTTTGCTTTCAAGCTCACCACAGCCTGCCTCCAGTACCTCCAGTTCCCAGGTGTAGGGCAACACAGAACATCCCTGTGGGGTGAAGTGAGTGGCCTCCACTGATCCGGCCAGCAGGACCAGGAAAGCAGAGCAGGAAATTCACCAGACAAAGGGTCAAGCCAGACCTCTTCCAGGGTGGGGGACAGGCAGATGCCTGGGGACACAGAGTCAGAGAGGGGATTCAGAGATCTGCCTGCTCCTTAACCAGCTTCCAGCCCAACCCCATTACGCTGACCATGTCCCCCCATTCCACTTTACCTCCCAGATCTGGGAACATCTAGAGCTCCTCCTCCTGAGGCTTGGGAAGATTCTGCCGTATAGACCACGATCCTTTCCAGTTTTCTCCTCTGCTGTCTTGTGATTCAGCTTCCTTGGTGCTGTGTAGTCAGTTAATCCTGGTCTATCTGCATTTTAGTTTCATAAATTATGATGCTGTTATCTCCTCTCCTATTCTCTCTATCCTGGTGGGATTTTGTCTTTAAAAACAAAACAAAACACAAACTCTTACTGTAGTTTTAATGAGACTCTGGGAGGAAGAGAATTTAGATGCTTGCATTAAACTGCTGTCTAATTCCAGAAGTCTCCAAAGGAAATCCTGCCACTCCCTTCTTCGGTTGCCCGAACATGACGGTTAGTTGGATGGCTCCCTTGGAAGCCCAAGGTGCCATCAGGGAGATACTGAGAGAATTTGAGGCTGGGAAGGCAGGTGGGGGTTGGGGTGAGGGTTATGTTTTGAATATTGCTTCATATTGAAGCATTTGTAGTATTTGCGGTTAAGAGCCTGGATTTTCATGTAAGTCAACTCCAGGTTCAGCTTCCAGCTCTGCCAGTTACATATGGTGTGACTTTGAGCAAGTTACTTTGCTTTTCTGAACCTTATTTTCCCCACCTGTTAAGTGGGGATCATAATGGTACCCATCTTTCAGGCTTGCCATGGGTATTGAATGTTTCACTTAGTAAACATTTACAGCGTTTCACTCAGTGCCTGGCACATTGTATGTGTTCAATACATGGTAGCTATTGTCATCATCATTATCGTCATCATCATGAGAAAATAGAAACCTTCCAGAAACTGTCAGGGCAACGATTGCCACAGGCCGTTGTTGGCTACTAAAACTCTAGACTCTGGAGAGCCTTGATGCCCTTCCTCTTTTACCCCGTCCCTGATGCTCCCCCAAGTAGCATGATGCCCAGTGGCCCACCAACCTCATTACCCAGCATTGCTGACAACAGGCACAGCCTTGGTCACTGTGAAAATGCCCCACAGCCTCAACCTCAGAAGTGGGAAGTATACTGCAGATTCACTCTATGCCAAGCACTATGGGATATCCACAGGAATGTGCCACAGTGAGGTAACTGCCCAGGGGATAGTAATTCCTTCATTTCTTTATACATTATGGATTCTACCATTTTGTTATTGGGTTATTTTTCCCCTTGTCAAAGTAGCAATTTATCAGTTGAACTTAATTCTCTAATTAAATTTCAAATCTGAGAATTTACATGATGAAGTGAATTTGATTTTGGACCCAGTCAATTTCAGTCAGCCCTAAACATATTTTGAAATGTTAAAGTTAAATTATATACGTTTGTGGAGGAAAAACTCCAGGAAAGCCTAAATTTTTCCAGGTCTTGCTTAGGGGATACCCTGCTCCAAGAAAACTTTTACAAAATGCAAATTTACAGAACAGATCCACCAAATGGGTGGGATTGGTGCTACCCTAGAGTTTTCTGTAGAATTTCTTTTTTAAAAAATTTTTTTCTTTTTTTTCTTTTTTTTTTTTTTTTTTGAGATGGAGTCTCACTTTGTCGCCCAGGCTGGAGTGCAGTGGCGTGATCTTGGCTCATTGCAAACTCCACCTCCTGGGTTCAAGTGATTCTCGTGCCTCAGCCTCCCAAGTAGCTGGGACTACAGGCACGCACCACCATGCCCGGCTAACTTTTTGTATTTTTAGTAGAGACGGGGTTTCACCATGTCAGCCAGGCTGGTCTTGAACTCCTGTCTTCAGGTGATCCACCCACCTCAGCCTCCCAAAATGCTGGGATTACAGGTATGAGCCACTGCGCCCAGCCAGAATTTCTTTAGTGAGATTTATCTACCCCCTCCACCCACCATACCACACGTATCATAACAGAGGTCCCCCAACTTGGAGTTCTCCTCATTTCAAGGTACAGTTATTATAAAAAGAAGAGGACACCTGGGTCTCACAGCAGCCAGCTCTGCGGCCATTGCACAGTAGAACCTCAGTGGCCTTACAAAATATTCTTGCTGTTAGTCTACTTACTGCAATAACAAAAGTTTCACTTGGGCACTTTGATCACACAAAGCTTGGCACAGGCTTTGAAATCAGACAATACCTAGGTTCTAGTCTAGGCTCTGGCACTTAACTAATGGGTGATCATGGGCAGGTCGCTTAACCTTTTTGTGCCTCAGTTTCCTTATCTTTACAATGGGATTATAATAGTACCTCCTTCATAGGATTGTCCTGAGGATTCATTAATTGAAATGACCCTAGGAAAGGGTCAGTGCCTTACACTGAGTAAGTTCTCAGTAAATATTTATAATATCATCATCATCATCAATTATTATTATTATTAATTTACTTTACCAAAACACAGGTCCTGCTGAGCCATGTTGGCCAGACCACACCTAGAACAGCATGTCCAGTTTTAGGCTAATCTGTGTAAAATTCAGTGCCTGGACCATTGAAAGGGGCTCGATATATGGTGGAGGTATTATTGTTAATTAATGCTGCTGCTAACCTTCCTGGAGTGCATACAACATGCCAGGCACTGCATACGTGCTAATTCTATTAGTCCTCTTAACCTTTACCACTCTATGAATAATATACAATTATTAATCCCTTTTGCAGATGAGAAAATTAAGGCACAGAAACGTTAAGTAACTCTCCCACAATTACAAAGCATGGAAGTGGCAAACCCATAATTCAAGTCTAGACTCTCTTTTTCCAGAGCCTGGACTCTTAGCCACCATGCCAAAGAGCTGTGCTGTCCACTGCTGTAGCCAGCAGTCACATGTAACTATTTAAATTAATAAAAAATTTAAAAAACAAGAATTCAGTTCTTCATTTTTACTAGCCACATTTCAAGTGCTACACACTTCATGTGGCCAGTGGCTACCATATTGAACAGCACAGCTCTAGAGCATTCTATTCTTTCTGGGATGATTCAGCATCAACTCAGGAAGTTCTGTTGGATGGTGATGCTTACAGAGATTCTGTTTCTTACAAAATCTCAGACTTCAGTTGTACAGCTTTCTTGCATTGTTATTAATAGATGCATACTTATGATATATTGAAATCCCATTTGCACTTGGCCAAGTAGGGTAATGGCAAGAAAAAAGCCAAGAAGCGTGACTTACATTACGTTTTCCTGTTTCCCCGGTGCATTATTTCAAATTCACAAAGTTGTCTCCTATCACCTCTCTTTGATATGGGGCAGGAGGCATTCATCAACTTGCCCAAAAATCCAGGTTCTTCCACATGTCTGCCTTCACCTCTTTGGGCTATCTGGATAATATTTAGTGCTCTAGCATAGTAACCTCACAAGTGACTTGAACAACGGAGGTTGGCTTCTGAAGTCAGTGAGCCACAGAGGACCTTGGACTCTGAGCATCTTTGACACACTCATCAAGTCTCCAGTTCGCTTTCTTGGGTTTTCTCTGCTCATTTCTGTTACATGGTTAGTAAAGGCCAGGGAAAGAAAAGGTGTTGAGGATCCATTACCTTAATTCCAGAATGATTAAGTCAAGAAACCTACAAGCTCTCAGAAGCCAGTGGAATTAGAGTGCACTACTATAACCTTGCAAATGTGCATATGCCTCCTTCCGAATCACCAGAGTGGAGATTGGGCCAATATCCAATCTCGTCAATAATTTATAAAGCCAGAGCATTCATCCACTTCTTGCAAAGCAGCTGAATATCTATGGGGGTTAGTCATAATCTGAGCTCCTTGCACCAGAGCCATTTGAGCTACAGAATAGCACAGAGTGTCACAGAATAGCCAAAAGTGCAGAGTTATTTCAGTATGAAAGAAGGAGGAGCACCTGACTGCTCCTCGCCATGTGCAGAGGAGGAGCCCATGCATTTCCAAACCCAGGGGTTGCTTGGTTTCTAGCTTGGTTTCTGTCTGTACCCCATCTTGCTATTGTGTGACTTGAGTAAGCCCATCTCCACTTCCTCATCTTATTAGCTAGGAACAATCTATCTCAAATTCACATGTGCACAGAGTTCAGTGCCCAGCACACTAAAGCATGTTCAGTAAATATGTTAGCTGATGTTATTTTCACCATATGATTATGATCACTCTCTGTTCTACTGATGGGTTTTATAAACCCACCAGCATTGAAAAGAGATGAGTAGATGTGCTAAAATGAGAGTAAAGGCTCAGTTTATCATTGGTGTTTATCCCAAAAAAAAGACTAGCACAATGCTCACCAGATTATAATCTCCCAAGTGCCTAGAACATCATGCCAAGCTAGTAACATAGTAAAGTTTATTGAATTTTGCAAGTATTTGCTGAGCCCTTTGCCTGGGCTAGATACTGTCGGGGCACCAGAGGGATTTAGAGATGATTAAGACTTGGCCCAGCAAGAATGTTCAGTCAGCCAAGGGTATTCAGCCACAGGAGCTGGACCTGGAAAGAGAGGCAGAATTTCCAGGGTGGAGGAGCTTCATCTCGAAAGACACACAGAATTCCCAGAGTACAATCATGGAGAAAGGGCATTCCAGGCTTGGCAAACCAAGGAGCACAAGCACAGAGGGCCGACCACACATGGCAGCCTGTCTGGAGAGCTCCAAGGAGATTGGTATGACTGGGGGTACGTGACATTATGGAACGCAAAACCTGGCTGCTGAGAGGGTGGATGTGCTTGCACTTGCATCTCTAGTCTTGGTGCGAGCCATTGGAGGATTTTTCAGGGGAAGGGAAACTGGGCTGACCTGGTTCCAGCAAACTCTCTGACAATCATGAGAAGCCCAGGGTCCAGGGGGATGAGTAAGTGTGACCTCCAGGAAACGGGGCACCACTATCAGACTCTATCTGTCCCATGGCTTACTTCTGTGAGATTCGAAATAGTGTAGACCTTGTCAGTCCATGAGCTAGTAATTATGCCCACCAATTACTGATTTATTTGCCTTTCTGAGATGTGCAGTGATCCCAAGGACAAAGATGGATTTACCTTATGTTTAGAAACTTCTAGAAGTTGAAATGTTCCTAACAACCTTTCCTGTGGAGGTTGTACCTCACACTTAGAGTGTGTGATAAGCAGTTTCTTTTCCTAATTAAATAAAATGGAGAAAAGACACAAGCATCAGCTATAAAGCTCCCAGTCAGTCACAGTCAAGAGACTGAATCTCATCTCTTTTATTTATTTTTTGTGTTAACTGGGGATTGCATTGGTCTGCACAGTGCTTGCTCCCATCCTGCTCCACTTGATTGAGTGGCTCCAGGCCCCCTCTTGATTGCTGCTGAAATAGAACTGCCCACACTGTCGGGGTATCTTCCGCCGCTGGTCATTTCCATGTGCCATCTGCAGTTTTTTCTGCCTGATGGACTACTGAGGCACTGCGTATGTTATGCTGATGGGGGGTCCTGTTTCTTGACCCATCACTAATATCTTGCAAGTCACAGGAAGCTACCAGGGATTCCTGAGCAAAAGCTTAAAATGCTTCAGTTCTCTACAAATAAGCCCCATTCATTGCTTTTAGAGTGTGTTATCATGGAGCAGACAAGTAATCAGAACCTGAGTAATATTTGCATATTGAGGTCTTCAAAACTCCAGTGTGGCTATAAAATGGTATTTAAAGTTATCAAGGAGCTAGGTATGCAGGCAGAAAGAACTGTCCATTGTAGAAAGCAATGCCTCTGCTCATGTCCCAGATAACCTTGCTCCAAGGACAAACTGGAGCTTGATAACATGAAGCTGCAGATGGCCGGTGAGCTCAGCTCTGTACTCACTAACCACCCCATGGGAGGGGCACTGAGCCCTCTATGGTTGGCATAAATCCCATTAGAATGGTAAAGAAATCCTTTTCACAAGTACATAGAAATCGCTTGCTAAGATTTCATGGGTTTTCTTGACTTTGTTGTTTTTGTTTGGGTTTTAGAGGGTGGGCATGAGTCATCTCTAAAACTGTTCAGGTAGTTAGGTTGTCTTCTTATTCCCATTTTTAAGTATTTATAATTTGTTCTTAAAAATTTGTCCGGAGGTCCACACCTCCCCTTGGAAAACCTTGCCTGTACTTTTCTTAATGGCACATTTTAAGTTTCTATGTTTCAAAACTTGCTTATCATATAACATGCTAATGACTAAACACATGCACACCTCCACACCAATGCAAACGACATGTGGGCTTGGGAACGAGGCAAGCCTGGGTTTGCATCCTGCTCTGCCACTAGTGGGCTGTATGATTTTGGGCAACTTAGTTAACCTCTCTGGGCCTCATTGGCCTCATTTGTAAAATAAGGGCAATAATAGTCCCTTTCTCATAGATGGCTATTTATACAGATCGAATAAGACCAAATATTTAAAGAACCTGGGTTAGTGCCTAAAGCACAGCAAATGCTCAATAAATTCAGTGGTGGCAATTTTTATTGTTATTTCAAATATTACATCAAAATATCTACTGAACTATTATCCATTGCAAAGACTTGCCCACAATAGGTGCTTAGTAAGTGTTTATTGCAATAAGTTGAAGTGATTCCAACTATGTAGCTTAGATTTCGGGTATGAGTGTTTCCTTCTCCACTGGGATGTTTGCTAATGGACATAGATGATCACTCACAGCTCAGGTATTAAAAGCAGGAGAGTAGAGGTGTTCCTTCATGTAGAAAGAAGAGCAACTTCTCATCAAGGCAGGCTTCCAGCTGGTCCTTTGGACACCACTGTTGCTAAGCACTTGGTGTGCTCGTCAGGGTACCAGGGCTCTTAGCAGCCACCCATTTGCGTTTTGCAGCTTTTGCTGACATGGATATCAAGTATGAAGTTATTTTAATTGCCTTTGGCTGAAAAAAATGGGTCATATGTTCAATATGTTCAATTCTGGTGAAATCCCTGTCTTCTAAAGCATGATAGAAAGGGGAGGTCCCACCCACACACAAGTCCTAAAATCTTGGGGCCCTAGTGGGGTATAGTTCAACAAGGGCTGCAGCTCAGGACGTGGTTGTTGTGAGATTTACTCGTGACTGTTTGGTTTTGCACTCACCATTTGGTTTTGCAGATTCCTCAGCGTGTTCACACACACATACCTACAAACCAGTTTAGAGTTGTGTGCTCCATTGTGGGGGGTGGTCACTGGGGTGGGGTGGGGTAGGGTGGGATCAGGCTTGGTCAAAGTCATTGCTGATGAACCAGCTATCTGACTTAGCTTTGTTCCCATTTTCAACAAGACAGTGATTTCTCAAGCCAGGGGAGTCTTCACATGAGATCCATGGATGGGTATTAAGTGGTCCAGAAAACCCCCCCAAATTAGATGTAAAATGTTGGTGGGCTGGAAAGGGGGAGACACCATAAGTGCTTTTTCTGTGGAGAGAAACCATAGCTTATAACTGGTTCTCAAAGAAGTCTATGACCCAAGACAAGCTAAGATCACAAAGCTGTTTGGTTTCGTTCCACCAAAGCAGTTGGTGGGTATAACCACAACACCCAGATGACCCAGCTAGACACTCAGGGCAGTGACAAGATCAGTCAGAACCATTTTGTGGCCAAGCAGCTGATGGATTGTTCAATCGGTTGTTGTAGACTCATGTAGACAAAGCCTGCAAGCTTGGGGAAGCCAGGCACCCCCAGGTCAGCCTCGGGCGACAGCCCCCGTCCTGCCAGGCCCTGGGGAGTGAGTCCTTCCTGCCCGGCAGCTCCTTTGCTCATGAGCTGGCCCGAGTCACCTCCTCGTACAGCACCTCAGAGGCAGCGCCCTGGGGCAGCTGGGATCCGAAGGCCTGGAGGCAGGTGCCCGCTCCACTACTGCCTAGCTGCGACGCCACAGGTAAGTCACTTCCCCCTGAGCCTCGCTTTCCTCATCTGTCAACGGGGCACAGTCCCCTGCTCAGCCTGCCCGCCTGCCTCACAGGGTTGTTGGGAGGAACACAGGAGGTGACAGCTCCGAAGGTAAAGCTCTGTCCACCCATGAGGGACTTCTAGTGCTTCCTGGGCCTGCTTGTTCTCTACTTTCTGCCCGGCATTCTTTGGCAAAGGGACAACCCAAGCAAGCAGAGTGCTCCAGGTGCCTCAGCCCCACCTCCAGGGAAATGAGTGGGGGATTGACCAGGGTGCAGCTGCTCTCTCCCTCAGCTGTATGCCTTCCAGTACCCCGTTTCCATACCTACCTGCCTGTCTGTCCCTGAGGCCAGACTGGGAACCTGAGGGGGACAGGGGCTGTGCTTCTGCACCTCCGAAGCCCTGCACCTGATACCTGCCTGCTTGGCACCTAGTGGGTGCTCGGGAACTGCCTCTCCTGCCAGCCATCTGCTGTGGATTCCAAACCCCGCCCAGGACTCCCACACCCTAGAGGCAGGAAGTTGGATTGCCCTGCTGGAGGACTGGCAGTCTGGGTAGTACAGGCAGAAGGAATCCAAAGCAAGCTTGTCCAAGAGGCCTGTGAGTTGGGATCATCCTCTAGATTCTAGAGTCTAGAAGGAATGGCTTGACTTGCCCCCAGAGTCGCATCAGTGGTCATGAGAGCAAGCGGATGGACACCAGCCAGAGGGGACCTTTGCAGAGAATTGCATCTGGTGCATAAAATATCAATGTGCACAGGATGTCTGCACTATCTGCAGAGAAAACTGGAGACATGAACATTTTCTAAGTGATAGTGATCAGAAGATGGTCATTAAGCTGAAAGGGCCTCCCAGGATTCTGGCCTTTAATGGAAATTCGGCTTTGGTATGTACAGCCTTGTTCTCTTTATCCTGCCTGCCCTGGCCTGGAAGAACAAGCAGTGCTTTCCTTTCAAGGGCTATTGATTTCTCTCTCTCTCAGAGTCACAGAGCTCCTCAGCTGTTCACTCTTCAGCTGAAACCAGAGAAATCTTGTCCAGCACAAAGCTGCCAGGGAAACAGAATTAGCAAAACGGACGTCGTCCCCTCAGGATGTCGCTGTTTCCACCCTGGTCTGCCTTGCCTTTCCCTGTCTTTGGAAGCCACAGATGAAAGGATATCAGCTAGCTTGCCTTGAGAATTATTGTCCCTCACCTATTCTCTCTCTTCTCAAGCCAACAGCTTTCACCCAGCAGTGAAGTGGCAGAGCAGATTTGTGGCCCCAAATCTTCTCTAAGAACCTTGGAAATTGGCCCCACCTGAGGGCCTTTGAGGGTCAGGCCTGGCATCCACTAAATCCTCCCTGTCAACACAGCCACTTTGTCAGTCCAGCCTGTGAGTCAGTGCGAGACAGAGGATGCAGGCACCACAGGGGAAGAAGAAAAGCAAGCTGGAAATATATTTGTTTCCTTTGCCCGGGATCATTCCCAGCATCTAAACCAAGTTCTTCCCAGACCGGCCAAGACTGAGGAGGAGTCAGAATAGAGTTTGCAGCAGTCATAGATCATGTGGGAAGACAGAAAACAAAGGGTAAAAAGAATTTCATATACAGATCTCTGCCGTTTGCTTTCAGTGGCATTCATTTTGTGAAGCCCCCAGTGACAGCTTCAGACCAGTTCAAACCTGAGGGCAGCATCATTACCATGGGTGAGGTCTCTAGAAGGGCAAGGAAAGACCCCTAACATAGAAAATGGTGTGGCAGTTTCCAGTTCCCCATTGGGGTCCCATGACTTGACCTTAGGTTTCTGCCAGCACCTGCCCACCCTCCATCCCTTCACCCTACTGGGTGGTCATTAGAACATTATCTGCTTTGATTGATTTACTTGTGTCCATAAGAGTAGAGACACACGGTGTTATCCCCATGCCCGGAACAGAGCCTGGCCCATAGTAGACCCATGACCATGTTTGTTAACTGAGTGACAGAGGGACTGACTGGACTGTCATGTAAGCAATACCTTCCCGTCAGGGTCTTGGGAAGGTAGGTTCAGGGGCCCCAGAGTTACTGTGGCCCGTATCCCTCTGGCTGCATTCTGGGCAACGCAAAAGGGCAGGTGTTCAGTGGGTTCCACCCCAGATCTCGGCGTTAACAGTCCACTGGGAGAAGTGGCCCAATTCGTGCTCATTACTCCCAGTGGTCCTGCCTCCCTGCAGGCATTCTGGAGAAGCTGAGTCACAGGCTCTGAGAGTTAGGGGGAACTTAGGAAACAATCAAAACTTGCCTGCCATTCATTTTAGGAAGCCGTTGTAGTTTCTGAGGGACGACTAAAGGGAATTTTTTCCTAAAAGCATCCATCCGTCCTCCAACTAGGCTTCAGATAGCAGTGTGTATGTTGTCACTATCTATGGGCCATGGCCAGTCAGAGCCCACGGGTCTCAGGGGGCTCCACCCATGTGGGGGTGGGGGTCCCCACAACTCAGATCTTGAATGTGTGGTGGTCCCATGCAGTATACTATCTTCCTGTCATTGCAAAGGGAAAGTCAGAAGGGTGAACGAGTTGTTTCTAATTCTGGCTTCCAAACAGTACAAAAGAAGGTTTTTTTCCTTGTGGAATACACTAGTGCTCAACCTTTGGGACAGATAGCTGAGCACCTTCTGCTGTGTGGCAGGCTGGCTCTCTGTGGGGGCACTCATGGAGCAGTGTCTGCTGGAAAAGGAGACAGGAGTTCCCTAGCATGGAGGGGTAGATAATCTCCCCGCTCCCTCCCCTCTTCTGTCCTCCCTTCCCCTTCTCCCTCCTCCTCTACCCTCCCCTTTTTCCTCTCCCCTCCCCTTCCTCCTCCTCCTCTTCCTTCTCTTCCTCTTCTTTATTCTCTCTCCCTCTCAGTCTCCCCTTCCCTCCCTTCCTTCCTCCCTTCCTCCACATTCTTTATAAAACAAGGCTTTGGATCCATTCACTGCCATCCCCCAGAAGTCTTGTCATTTGAATTCTTGTCTGAGTCAGGATGCTCTCCTCCAAGGGCTCATAGGGCAAGGAACTTCAGCCCGAATCCGGCTAAAATCCAGGAACATTTTGTGGGCATCTGTCTCAGTCCCCGAATCGTTTGTCCTCTGCCTTTCCCCCGTTGGAGTCCTTTTGCCTGCTTAAGTGGTTGAATTGGTAATGAGATCATTCTTCCCATGCAGTGGTGAGAAAGCAGCACTCAGGTGATTGCACCTGGGTAAACAGGAGACATTAGCATGTGGTAGCTGGTGAGTGAAGCTGGTGCAGTGCCTGGCGTGGGCTCAGTTGTGCCAGCAGGCAGTGGTGGAGTTTGGGCTCTTTCCCCTCTCTCCTGCCCAGCACACAACCCCCAGGGACAGGTGGGGGCTTTACAGCTCCCTGGCGTCAGCCTAAAGCTTCTAGAAAGGCATCCCCAGGACTTCCAAGGTTGCCATCTTGGCTGAGACTGTCTGTGAATGTGGTCCCTTGTCTGACAGTGGGGGCTGGGAGGGGTGTGACAGAGGAAGAGCTGGGCCTTAGTTCTCTGGGGGTCACCATGAGAGAAGCACACCTGGGCTTGCATAGAACTCAGTGCTGCTTGTCAGTGTCACCTGGCACAACAGGACGTAGTGCCACAGTTGCAGCCCTAGAAAATTTGACGACCCCTTCATAGCTTTGTTTATAAAAGGCCACACGGCCTAGGCTGTCCTTCATAAGAGAGCAGAAAGCGAGTGTCCCAGTCACTAAGCAGCAACTTTCAGGCACGGTTTCCTCCTGGTCACTGAAACCATTTGTCATTTCCTGTTTTCTCCATTTTCCAACGATTCTAATTGTCAGTGTCAAAAGGCAACAACTGTTTTCTTGGGGCTTATCTTTGGAGCACATTGATTCAGAACAAAGGATGGGAGCCTCCATCTGCAAAACAAAGGAAGCAGCCTCCTCGGGAGGCCTGGAGAGAATGCTCTGGCTCCTTTGGCCAGGGACAGCAGGACCAGCATAGGAGCAGAGGACTGGCGGTGCCTCTGGACACTGCCGTAAGGTGAAGAGACCATGGAGGACCGTCGCTTGCTGGTGGCACCCCAGACTTGAAGATCCTGCAGAGCTGGCCACCGGCACCCAGGCTGGGTGTCAGCAGCGCTGTGTGGCCTTGGCAGTTTCCATAGTGATAGGCTGGCCAGCTTTTCCATTAGACTCCGGGGTCCTCTGGAATGTGTGCTTCCCGGGATGAAGACGCCCCAGCACCCGCTGAAGCCTGCCCTGCCCCGGCGTGGCCTTTCCTTTTGTCTGGCACGCCCCTGGGCTTGGCTTTCTCTTTCCGTCCCTCCCTTCGGACTTTACCGCACTTCCCCTGCTGTTTCCTTAGTCACACTCTCCAGCCTCCATCTGCCCCTGCCCCTGAACCCCTACCTCTGTACAACTGTGTTATTTGATGAAACTAATGCAGCAACCGGTGGGGATGGAGTTAAGGACCGTTTAGACCTAGCCAGCCACGCAGGAATCTGTCCCCAGAAGCAGCGGAAGCACCTGGTCTGCAGTTAGGAGATACTGTACTTCTTAGCCGTGTCACCTTGGGCAAGTCATTTAACCTCTCTGAGCCTCTGCTGTCACATCAGTAAGCTGGGGACTGTAGATCTTCTGCCCTGATGTCCTGAGACTGGTACAAGAAGAGCCAAAGCGAAAGGACTGCCTTCAGAAATGGCTGCCAACCCTGACCATCTCAGGCAGATCCGGATGGTGTGGCCTTGGGCAGTGGTCATGTGACCCCCATGCTCCTCAGTGTCCACATGGGGTGTTGCTAGATGACATAAAATAATGGGTGAGACGTGCTCAGTATAATGAGAGCTTGAGAAGGCAGATCCCACCCCCCATCCCCACCCCCACCCCTTGCCGCCTTGCCAATGCTTTGGCAGGGAGAGGGCAGCTCCATAGGGCAGCTGAGAAACAGCCCCTCACTGCCCACACGGCAGCTCCAGTGGAGGGGGAGGCAGGGACCAGGACAGGAAGCAGGCTAAGGGCGGGATAGAAAAGCAAACCCCAGTCTGGTGGAATCGCTTCTGGTGTAGTCTTCCCGGTGCCATGTGTTTGTCCTCTCTGCCTTGGCAGGAACCAAGGCCAGGAACTGCTGCCAGGCCTGAGAGCCGGGCACAGTCCCAAGCACTGGGTCGCTACCCCGCCCCACTCCCACCAGCCCCACTGAGTGCAGAGAAGGGTTCCCAGAAGCCCTTTGCTGGAAAAGCAGGCACTGCACGGGCAGCCCGTGTTGTAGAGGCAAGTCCTCTGGCATCTTCGGGGGGACACAGACCAGAAAGTGGACTTGGAGCTTGTGCTCCCAGACAGAGCTGCCTTGGTGGTTGAGAAGGGGAGAGAGATGGCAGCAGTTGAGCAGAGATGGCCGGGCTCCCCTCACTGTGTGGGGTGAGGCTTCAAGCACTGGACTGGGAGTCAGACCTGGATCCGAGTCACAACCTGACACCAACTGGCTGAGGGTCTCAGAGCAAGTCATGCCTTTTCTGGGTCTGGGGGCCTTCATGTTATTCCCTCCTGGCTATGTTCTTCCCCTTTGCTCCTTGAGCCGATCCCAGACTGAGTGCTGAAACTGCGGCCTTGAAACTTGGCTCGCTCCTCCCCCTGCCCACCCAGCCAGCTTTCAGATGGAGACAGGAAGCTCCTCCCAATTGCCTATGCTGCAACTAGTCAGGAGAAGGGCGGGAGGTTGGCAGTAAGTGTTTGGCTACTCCCAGTGTTGGAGACTGTGTCCACCTGACCATGTGATCATCTGGCCGTTCATGCCAGGACCACCAGGAACAAGCCTCAGTCCTCTTCTCAATGTCCTTTCCCTATGACAGCCCTGCAGAGGCTAGGTATCCACCACTACATAGCCCACAGTCTGCTCTGCCCCAGCCACAGCATCCTTGGCTTGCTCAGCCATTCTTTGTCTGGGTAGTTTGAAGTCCAATCCCCACTCTCATTACTTACCATCCTCTGAATGCAGCCAGTCTGTCTGGGTCTCCCTGAGACTGGCATGCCCAGACTCCTGTGGGTATAGTCTGGCCAAGGCAGAGTTAGCATAGGACTGTCACCTCCCTCCTTCTACATACTCTGCTTCTATTAATGCAGCCTAATGTTACATTTGTTCTTTTGGTGACCGCATCTCACTGCTGACCCATCCTGAGCAGATGGACATCCAAAATGCCTAAAACTTTTTTCTGTGTGCTCTTGCTATTAAGTTCTGTCTCTCCTGCCCCATTCTATGCTGTTGCAGTTGTGTTTTTAACCCAGGTGCAGAATCTTACTTTATTTATACCTGTGGAATTTTGCTCGAGAGGGTGGGGCATGCATGCGAGTGTATGCTGGTGTGTTTATTCATGCTTTCTGCTGCACCAAAGCCAAGTCCTAGGTCCCCACGCAGCGATCCTAAGGCTAATTATTAATTGGTAGCTGTAATCTAATTTGTCTTTTTCATCTTCTGTTTAGCAAGAGGAACAGAGATCAGGTCTTATGGCAATGACCCCTGAACGGCAGAATGCATATATCTCCCAACAGATGAGTCCATTTGAAGGTAAGCAGTTAAGGCCAGTGTTCCCAAAGGGGTGGGCAAGGGGTGCATATGTGGAAGTGGGGTGAGAATTCATTTCAGAGTAAGCAGTTACTGTGCTTCTGAAAGCATTGAGAAAGAGGAGATCTGAAAATCAGTTAAATAATTCATCCAACTCTAAGAGCAGGATCCCAATTGAAGGCCTGGTCTAAATGACTCCAAAATCACCACTTAATTCAAGAGACTGATTTCCCTGAGTCAGGCCCCTTAAAGCAGCTATTTCAATGGGACAGGGAAACAACCCTAGGATCTGGATTAGAATCACTTGGGGGCTGCCACACCCCCAGGGCTCTGATCCTGCCCTTCTCCCACACGCACATTCACATACTGCTGCAGTGACCTTCCATTTCTAATGGGTTCCTGGGCCATCTGTCAGGTATAGGGAATGGAAAAGGGGTTGGGGAGGCTCTGCTTCAGAAAGTTTGTGTCAGGGGCTCCCAGAGCCTCCACAGATAGATAGCAGGGGTCCCCACCCTACCATGGCAGCTATAAATGTGATCAACATTTATTGGCCTAGGATACAGCAGTTAGCAAAATGCCTGATGTAGTTCCCACTCCGTGGAGGTTGCAGGCTAGCCAAGAAGTCATGAGTTCAGCAACCCTTACGCACCAGTGGGATGAGATTGGACCAGGCCGAGGGTAGTCTTGGGAACACTCAGCATTTGTCTGAGGGCCAGAAGAGGCTGCTTGCCCTCAGACAGGAGGTCAGCATCTTTATTGTAGCCCATGACACCTCTACACCATTGCTCTTCTGGTCTTATGGAAGACATCTTTGGGCCTGATAACAGCGGAGTCTGTGTCCCACTTGTCCAGGCTGGAGTGCCACATCAGGCACACTCCAGTTGCAGGGACAGCACAGACAAGTTTCAGGAAGGCTGGTGGCCTCCAGGAGGTTAACCTTATAAGGCCAGATTGTAACCTAGTTGAAAAACATACACATGCCATGATAATAAAAGAACCTAGGCACCATTACAAGAGAAAAAATCATTTTTGTAGATACGAGCATGGATTCTTGGGTGGGTCAGACACACTGGGCTTGTGCTCTGACTGCACTGTCTCCCCTACCTGACCTTGGGTAAACCATAAGACTGCTGCATGACTCAGTGTCCACCCCAAAAAAGTACCGGTAGATATTGGCCACAGTAGATATCAGCTAGAGTGGACTCTCATGACAATGAGGGGAGATGTATTCCCCATCTTAGGCACCTGGGACTCTACCTTCCATCTTCTGCTCCGTGTCTCTCCATCCCCAGGCTCTTCAGAACTCAGGGAGTCCAGAATGTCAGCTCCCAGATTTCAGCCTTCAGAAAGGAAACCCATTACCGTTCAGTTGAACAAATGTTGTCTGAGCCCCAGATCTGGGCTCAGAGGCCATCTAGGCTATGAGACAAGAGGGGAACAAAGCACCGTCTGCACTCACTCACCACACTCACTTGCTGTCCCAGGTCACATCCATCGGGTAGAGAATCTAAGAGGCTGAGCTAGCTCCCGCCACCAGCCCAGCCCACCCCACCTGGCCCCTTCCTTCCTTCTACAAAATATGCACCACCTGTCAAAGGGTGGGCAGTGCCAGGCCTGCATACAGAGCACTGAGTGTAAAAGCAGACATGGACCCTGACCTCCAGGAGCTTCCAATTTTCTTGAAGAGACAAATCAGCTGGCATTTCAGTCCAGTGTGATCTGCTCTTGGTGAGCACAGACCTAGGGAGTTGGGGCAGCTTCCCAGAAGAACTGCAGTCCAGGCTGAGGGCAGAGAAATGAGGGGAATGGCGAGGAACTGGGGAGCAGGGGGGAGCTCAGTAGAGAGCCAAGGGCGGGAGGTGAGAAGTCCGTGTTGGGCCAGGAGCTACCCTCCGGTGGCCACAGCCCAAGTCGAGGATGCCTTTGGAACTCATCCCCACTTCTCTCTTTCTGTATGTAGCCGTCCAAGAACAAGTCACCTCCAAGTGTAGCCGGATCAAGGCAAGCCCCCCATCTAGCAAGCACTTGATGCCACCCAGAACTGGGCTTCTTCAGAACAATCTGAGTCCAGGAATGATCCCACTCACCAGGCACCAGAGCTGCGAGGGCATGGGAGTGATCTCACCAACTCTGGGGAAGCGGCAAGGAATTTTCACCTCCAGCCCCCAGTGTCCCATCCTCTCACACTCAGGCCAGACTCCCCTGGGCAGACTTGACTCTGTCTGCCAGCATATGCAGAGTCCCAAGGCCACCCCACCAGAAGTGCCCCTGCCTGGGTTCTGTCCCAGCTCCCTGGGCACCCAGTCCTTGAGTCCCCACCAGCTCAGACGGCCTAGTGTGCCAAGAATGCCCACTGCGTTCAACAATGCTGCATGGGTCACAGCGGCAGCAGCTGTGACCACAGCAGTTTCGGGGAAAACACCCCTCAGCCAAGTGGATAATAGCGTTCAGCAGCACTCACCTTCTGGCCAGGCCTGCCTTCAGAGGCCATCTGATTGGGAGGCACAAGTGCCCGCTGCGATGGGAACACAAGTGCCCCTGGCCAACAACCCCAGCTTCAGCCTGCTGGGCAGCCAGAGCCTCAGGCAGAGCCCGGTACAGGGCCCGGTGCCTGTAGCAAACACCACCAAGTTCCTCCAGCAGGGTATGGCCAGCTTTAGTCCCCTGAGCCCCATACAGGGCATCGAGCCACCAAGCTATGTGGCTGCTGCTGCCACCGCTGCTGCTGCTTCTGCCGTTGCTGCCAGCCAGTTCCCAGGTCCGTTCGACAGAACGGATATTCCCCCTGAGCTGCCACCTGCCGACTTTTTGCGCCAGCCCCAACCCCCACTAAATGATCTGATTTCGTCACCTGACTGCAATGAGGTAGATTTCATTGAAGCTCTCTTGAAAGGCTCCTGTGTGAGCCCAGATGAAGACTGGGTGTGCAACTTGAGGCTGATCGACGACATTTTGGAACAGCATGCTGCTGCTCAAAATGCCACAGCCCAGAATTCTGGGCAAGTCACCCAGGATGCTGGGGCACTTTAAATCTGAGCAGGATGCCCATAGAAACCCCCATGGTGACATCACTCTAGGAAGTGGTGTCGATCCATACCCGCAGTTGTCTCCCGTTACAATTTGAGTGGTGTTGTCAGCCCATGCTTATCCCTCTCTCTACCTGTGACAAAATGGAAAGCTGGTGATTTTTCAAGCTACGTGTACATATTTGAAAATTTTGTAAATGGTTTTCCTAAACATTAATGACAGAAGTATTTATACTTCATTTTGTGACTTTGTAAATAAAGCGACGGCTTTTGTTTCAGTAGAGTTGTGTTTACTATGCATTGTTTTGTGTTTATTATACAATGTTACAAATATGCAGACCGTGTTGTTTGCTCCAGTGATACCTTGTTAAGCTAGGTGGCTGAGTCGCTTATGGTTTTAATGCAATGAGCAATGTGGATATGACCAAGAGTTGTTGTGCAAGTTGACAAATGCCAAATAGAAAACCACTTGGCCATTTATTTCTATGTTCACTAAAAATCCTATTGCCTTGTGTGATTCTTAATCTCTTTTGCGAACCTTTCAGTCTCCGCTAGCTCTTTCCTAATGAGCTTTACAGCAGAAGCCGTTTTATCGTTAAGTGCCCCACAGAGACACTTTACCAGGAGGCTGGGAGAGTTCTCCAGATTTGGGAGAGGCGCAGAGACAGTGTGTGAGCCGAGCCCTGTCTCAGCAATCCACCTGGAGGAGCTAGAGTATCCTCCTCCCTTTACCATTCAGACCGAGAGAAAAAGCCCAGCTTGTGTGCACCCTCGTGGGGTTAAGGCGAGCTGTTCCTGGTTTAAAGCCTTTCAGTATTTGTTTTGATGTAAGGCTCTGTGGTTTGGGGGGGAACATCTGTAAACATTATTAGTTGATTTGGGGTTTGTCTTTGATGGTTTCTATCTGCAATTATCGTCATGTATATTTAAGTGTCTGTTATAGAAAACCCACACCCACTGTCCTGTAAACTTTTCTCAGTGTCCAGACTTTCTGTAATCACATTTTAATTGCCACCTCGTATTTCACCTCTACATTTGAAATCTGGCGTCTGTTTCAAGCCAGTGTGTTTTTTCTTCGTTCTGTAATAAACAGCCAGGAGAAAAGTGCCTCTATGTTTTTATTTTTCAAGGGAGTATTCAGTACCTACAAACCCAAGTCAGGAAGCCTGCTAGTGGCTTTGGTTCTTTCAGAGGCTGCTCGATGCCTTGTGTGTCAGAAAGAAAGATTCAGCAGTTTTGCATCATGGCAAAGAAGCCTGTTATTTTGGGGCTCAGCCCCTCATTTTATAGAGGATGAAACAGAGGGGGATGGGAGGTCACAAAGACAACTGCCTCGGGAGCAGGTGTGGGGGAGACTTGCCCTGAGGGTCTAGACTCTCTGCACCACCGTCCTGTCTCCCTTGCTGAAGACCACACATGCCCTTCTTTGACCAGACCCTGCCACCTGATAGGCCAGGACCTGGTAGGCGGGTACCCAGGTTTCATGGATGGAACCACATCTCCCCAAAAGTGGGGAGGTAGCTACTGGGATGCACGCCTCCCGCCATGTGCTATAGGAGAGCAGCTGAAGCAACAGTTGGGATCAGATGTAGTCACAATTGAATGCATCATCACATTTATCCCTCTAAGTGGCTGGGAGAGTTGATATCCTCATCCCTAAGGTACAAAATGTTCCAATTTGATCAGTGGCTTTCAGGAGCTGAGAAAGGCATGTGCTCTGAGGCAGAGCTGTTATGTCCCGCAGAGCCTAAAAATGCTCTAAGAACATGCTCCCTGCCAAAATTCTCAATGGCTGTGACAAGGGACAACGATCGACCAATGGGGGTGGAAGCAGACCTCCGCAGTCCAGGGGCCAGAGCTAGGACAGAGGGGTCGGAGAAAGAGTCATTTTCCCAACACTCCAGCTCTTGGCCAGTCCTCACACAGTCCCCTCCTGCTTCCTGCTGAGAGAGATATCCTCATAGGTCTGGGTAAAGTCCTTCAGTCAGCTTTCATTCCCTGTCACCAACTTTGTCTCTGTTCTCCCTGCCCGTCTCAGGCAGCACTCCTCAGGAAACCTCTCCAAGAGCCAGCCTCACTGCAGCGCCCACTATTGTCCCTCTGCCTCAAGTGTCCCATCCATGCCAGGCCCCAGGCAGGCTGCAGCTTTCCCTCAGGGCCACACCAAAGCACTTGGGCTCAGCTGTGCTGTCCCCCTCCATCACTGAGCTCAGGGGCAGCAGGGGTGGGGTGCCAGGAGGCCCATTCACCCTTCTCTGGCTCTGTGTTGGACCCACCTGCCCAGCCACTGCTGCTTAGAACCTACCCGCTGGGAAAATGAAGCCCTCCCGGAGGGGCCACCTCAACCTGAGAGCCTCACGGATCACAGTTGTCCCCACTCAGCTCTGCCAGCCCTCAGAGACCCACAGATAAAAGCTGAGCTTGGCTCGCAGAGCTGGTTCCATCTTCCATTCCCAGAGGGTTCAACTTCCTACCCCAACCACACAGGGAACCTCAAGGCTGAGCCAGTGTGGGCTGCAGTGCAGACCAGCTTCCTGGACACGTCCTGCCACCTGACCCCAGGCTGGCCTCACTGCCCCTGGCACTCCTGACCCTATCCTCATTCCTCCTGGCAGTGCGTGTTCTGCCATTCTGCTTTCCCTTAGCTGTCCTCTCACTGTACTGTCAGCTTCTCCTTTTCCAGGTGCCCCCCAGGGGCTTTCCACATGACCCTGTCACCCCACAGCCCATCCAGCACCAATTCCAGCTCTCTGCCACCCTTCAAAGGAGTGACAGTGCCCTGCTTCACCTCCCACTCACCCCTCAACCCAGAGCAATCTGGCTCCAGTCTTGCCTCCTTCCCCCTAAGTACTCTAGTCACAGTTCCAAATTCCTCCTGGTCATAAAGCCAAATGAAGCTTCCTGGTCCTCAGCGGACTTGCCACTTCAGCAGTACTGGACTCTCTCCTCCCAGAAACCTGTTTCCCCTTGGCTCCTGGAGCCCACACTCTGCTGGAATCCTTCTGCCTCTCTGGCCTGTAGCCTGGCCCTCTCTCCCAACCTGAGGTCCATTCTCTCCTGCTCCTCCACAAGATGTTGCTCCTTCCATTACTTCCTCCCTCTCAACCAAAGCTCCTTCATTAGCTCTTTATCTTCTGGTTTCTTCCCCTGGGCAGACGAATGGATTCAAGAGCCTGTGGCCCAGCAGCCCAGCACTCCAGGATCTCAGCACTTCAGCATCCCAGTACCCTAGCATCTCAATACCCCAGCACCCCAGCACCATAGTATTCCAGCACCCCATTGTCCAAGCATCTCAGCACTCCAGCATCCCAGCACCCCAACACTCCAGCAGCCCAGAATCTCAGCACCCTAGCACTGCAGCATCTCAGGACCCCAGCACTTCAGCATCCCAGCACACTAGTACTCCAGCATCTCGGCACCCCAGCACCTAGGCATCCCAACACCCAGCACCCCAGCACTTAAGCATCCCACCACTACAGTATCTCAACACTCCAGCACCCCAGCACCATAGTGTTCCAGCACCCCAGCATCCCAACACCCCAGCACTTAAGCATCCCAACACCTCGGCATCCCAACACCCCAGCACTGCAGCATCTCAGCACCTTAGCATCCCAGTGCCCTAGCATCTCAACGCTCCAGCACACCAGTACTACAGTATTCCAGCACCCCAGCACTCCAGCATCTCAGCACTGCAGCACTGCAGCACTCCAGCATCCCAAAATCCCAGCATCCCAACACCCCAGCAGACCAGCAGACCAGCATCTCAGCACCGCAGCATCCAAGGACTATCCCAGCATCCCAGCAACCCAGCACCTCAGCATCCCAACACCCCAGCATTTCAGCATGGCAACACCCCAGTACCCCAGCACTTCAGCACCCCAGTATCCCAGCATCTCAGCGACCCAGTATCACAAAACCTCAGCATCCTAGCACCCCAGCACCCCAGCACCTTAGCACCTTAGCATCCCAGCATCTCAGCGCCTCAGCATCTTGATATTCTGGCTGAGGTCAGCGTGGTGTATCTAGTCAGGGTCCTAACTTTCACTTCGCAGGGAAATGCTGCTGGACTGGGTCTCATGTTGGGCTGAAGCTCTCTAGACCCCTTGAAGACAGCATAAAAGAGCTTGGAGACGCTGGGTGTCCCCCATGGAAGAGTTCACTCTCATCCTGCTTTGACAACAGCCTTCTCTGGGGTCCCTCACGGGCCCCTCTTTCTTACTGCAAGTTTGTCTCTGAGAAGACTGTGATGCAGAAGTCACTCAGCTGCCTGTGGCTCCTGAAGAGCTGAAGGTGGAGGCCTGTAGGCCTCCCTATGAGAGGCGCAGAAAAAACCATGATTGCTAGTGGGGAGGTGCTCCCTCTACAACCCACTCCATAATCTGCCCCCGCCCAGCTCTGAGGCCAGCCCCAGGGGAAAATGCCAGATCCCCAGGGAGGTGTGTGAGACCTCAGGGGCTCCCTCCTCCCTTACAGCAGGCTCAGGCCCCTGGGGGCCTCAGGGCCAAGGTCTGTGGGTAAGCTACTATCTCTCACTTGTCCTCTAGCCACAAAAGCCAGGGGGATCTGGCAATGGACATGAGGTTCTGAAGAAGCACATATGACTGGCTTCCTAATGCGTGGTTGTTCAGTGATTCAATAAACACGCATGGGCCAGGCATGGGGAAATAGACAAACATGATCCCCAACCTCTCCCAGAGTGAACTGGGAGGGAGGAGTGTTCATCCCTCAGGATTACACCAGAGAAACAAACCAGCAGGAGATATATATGGTTTTGGGGGGTCAACAAAGAGGAAAAACCTGGCAAGGCAAGTCCAAAATCATAGGACAGGCTGTCAGGAAGGGCAGCCTGGAACCTCTCAAGCAGGAGCTGATGCTGCAGTCCACAGGCAGAATTTCTTCTTCCTCGGGGAAATCTCAGCTTTGTTCTTAAGGCCTTTCAACTGATTGGCTGAGGTCTGCCCCTTCCCCCACATTCTCCAGGATAATCTTCCTTACTTAAAGTCAACTATTAATCACAGCTACAAAATCCCTTCACAGCTACACATAGATCAGTGTTTGATTGACGAACAGCCCCTACAGCCTAGCCAAGTTGACACATAAAACTAACCATCACAGGGGGACAAATGATGTAAACACATCAACAAATAAAACAGTAACAAGTTAAGGTCTATGGAAAAAACACAGAAGGGGCAGAGAGAAAGAAAGCAAGAAGGAGAGTCCCAGTTTGCTAGGGCTTGTGGGAAGTGGGGAGCAGTTCTCTTTAGCTAGGATATTTGGGAAAGGCATATCTGAAGGAGTGATATTTGAGCTTAGATTAAAAGATGGGAAGGAGCAAGCCATGCAAAGAGCTAGGATGTTCCAAGCAGAGACGGAACAGCAAGTGCAAATGTCAGGAGGAATAGAAGGAGGCTGGTGGGTGGGGTCCAGTGAGCAAGAGGAGGGCAGGCAGGAGAGGGGATGGGGAGGTGGGCAGGCCCAGACCACCCAGGGCCCTGGAGACTATCCTGATCCAACAAGGGAAGCCTTGAGTCACTTCAGTGTCCATGTGGAGAATGGACCTCAGACTGAATGAGGGAGGCAGTAAGGAGGGCCTCTACCTCCAGGGCTTCGCCCTGTGGACTGCGCATAGACATCTCCAACTCAGAAAGTCTGAACCAAACTTTCCATAGTTCCCCCAAGTCTGGGCATCCTCCTACTCAGTGAAAGGCAGCCATCACACCTCCCTGCCCTGCTCCCGGATGCCCCAAATCCTCTTGGTCTCCAAGTCCAGAACCTGAGACTTGTCCTTGATGTTTGTCTTTCCCTCACCCTTTCTGTATTCTGGGAAGATGGGGTTTTTTCCCCCAGATGAATCTGTAAAACTTCTGTGATCACAATAAAAATTCTGGCAGTATTATTTTCTGGAACATGACAAAGTGATTCAAAATTATTTATCTGGAAGACTACAAAACAAGAATAGCCAGGAAATTTCTAAAAAGAAAGAAGAAGGAGGAGGAGAAAGAAGGAGGAGGAAAAGGAGGAGAAGAAGAAAAGAAAAAGAACCAAGAAAGGGTTCTAGCTCTACCAAATATTAAAACATATCATGAAGCTATTTAAAACAATATGGTTGTGGATACTGAAAAAGATGTGAATAAAGTGGAAGGAAAATAAATAGAAATGCACATGGGGATTGAGACTGTGAAAAAGGCAGCATCTCACATCAGTGAGGGATGTTCAACACCTGGTGTTGGGAAAACTGGCTAGTCATTTAAACCAAACAACTGGGTCCTCTACCTCACTCCTGACATTAAGATACATTTAGATGATTCAAAGAGTAAGACAGAAAAAATAACACGTGAAAACACTATCAGAAAACAACGTGGGCCAGGTGTGGTGGGTCACGCCTGTAATCCCAGCACTTTGGGAGGCCGAGGCAGACAGATCACCTGAGGTGGGGAGTTCAAGACCAGCCTGACCAACATGGTGAAATCCTGTCTCTACTAAAAATACAAAATTAGCTGAGCGTGGTGGCGCATGCCTGTAATCCCAGCTACTCAGGAGGCCGAGGCAGGAGAATCACTTGAACCTGGGAGGCAGAGGTTGTGGTGAGCCGAGATCACGCCATTGCACTCCAGCCTGGGCAACAAGAGTGAAAATCCATCTAAAAAAAAAAAAAAAGCCAAGGTGGATATTTTTATAGTATCAGGGTAGATCAAGCTTCTCCAATCATGACATGAAACCCAGAAACCATAAAAGAAAAGAATGATAAAATTGCCCACGTAAAGTAAAAAGCTTGCACACAGAAAAACACCATACAGGTTACAAGATGAGCAGCAAAATCAGAGAAAAAACATTGCAATTCAGGACACACAGAGGCTATTGTTCCTAATATTTAAAAATAAAAGTAGTGGATTGTCTACAAAAAGATGAAGACAAGAATTTCAGAAAACCAAATACTGCATGTTTTCACTTACAAGTGGAAGCTAAACACTGAGTACACGTGTACACAAAGAATGGAACCATAGGCCAGGCACCGTGGCTCACGCCTGTAATCCCAGTACTTTGCGAGGCCGAAGCGGGCGGATCACCTGAGGTGAGGAGTTCGAGACCATCCTGGCCAACATGGTGAAACCCAGTCTCTACTAAAAATACAAAAATTAGCCGGGCGTGGTGGTGGGTGCCTGTAATCCCAGCTACTCGGGAGGCTGCGGCAGTAGAATCGCTTGAACCCTGGAGGTGGACCTTGCAGTGAGCCGAGATCGCACCACTGCACTCCAGCCTGGGCAACAGAGTGAGACTCCATCTCAAAAAAAAAAAAAAGGAATAGAACAATAGACACTGGGGCCTACTTGAGGGAGGAGGGTGAGGATCAAAAACCTGCCTATCAGGTACTATGCTTATTACCTGGGTGGTGAAATAATCTGTACACCAAACCCCAGTGACATGCAATTTACCGATGTAACAAACCTGCCCATGTACCCGCTGAACCTAAAATAAAAGTTGGAAAAAAATATAGAAATTTTCTTTGTAATAGCCAAAAACTGCAAACAGCCCAGGTGTCTATTAGTAGAATGCATAAACAAACTCGGGCATGTTCATACAATGTAAAACTACTCATCAATAAAAAGTGATACTTCTCAGCAATGAAAAGAAACTAGCTACTGATACCAGCTACAACATGGATGGATTTCAAGTGCTTTATGATGAGAGCAAGAAGCCAGACACAAAAGTGTCTATATATATATACATATATACAGTATATATATACAGTGTATATACTGTATATATACACATATACAGTATATATATACAGTGTATATACTGTATATATACACATATATACAGTATATATTGTATATATATACACAGTATATATACACATATATACAGTATATATATATACAAGTATATACTGTATATATACATATATACAGTATATATGTAAATATACATATATACATGTATATATATACACTATATATATACATATATACATGTATATATTTACTATATGATTCCATTTATATAAAGTGCCAAAACAGTCAAAAATAATCTATGTGGAAAAAATCAACAAAGGGATCCTCTGGGTGACAATGGGGTTGACCGGAAAGGGGCTAAAGGGAAGTTTCTGGGGTAATAGTAGGGTCTATATCTTGATAGGGTTATGGGCTACCCAGGTGCATGTATGTGTTTGCCAAAACTCAGAGAATGGTTTCCTTAAGAGCTGAGCATCTGCTTGTAAGTAAATTTTACCTACAATAGAAAAATCTGAAATGAATATTGAACTCTAGTTAATGATCTGCTGGAGTGCTTAGGGATGAAGTGTACTGATGCCTGCAACTTACTTTCATTAAATAAACAAAGATGGTTGATGAATGGATAGAGGGATAGGTAGAGAAATAGGTGATAAAGCAAGTAGAGTAACATCTTAATTGTAGACTCTAGGAGCAGGGTCTATGGGGATCCACTGTACCTTTCTTCACACTGTTCTAAATATTTGGAGATTTTCATAATAAAATATTGGGGGAAGATAATTTTTAAATACAGAGGTACTTTTCAAGTACAAATCCAGCAATTTGAGGTGGAAGAAAACAGCCAGAGACCAAGTTTGTATTTGGGAGAAGAAAGAGGGATGGCATTTAATTTTCCTACAACCGCTTTTCTGAAGCCAGTATAACTTAGCATGAAACCAGGGGAAGAATTCAACAGCTACTTGTGAATGGATAGAGGGATAGGTAGATAAATAGATGAAATGAAACAACCAAACAGAATAGTTCACCTATTCTGACAACATTTTACAGAAACTGACTCAACCCGTTGTTCAGCTGTTTTGCTCACCTGAATTAACCCTGTATTTTTCATATTTTCAAAATTGTTCTGTTTAAAATTGTTTCCATTTTTATCTTCTTAGTTAAATTACCTCAATAAACATTTATTCATTTGTATGTACTACATAAGAAACGGAGGCAGAGCTCTTTCAAAACAATAAGAAAAAGATGAATCACCCAATAAGGAGGAAATGAACAAATGACATGAACCATCACTTAATAGGAGAAATACAAATTGCCAACGAATCATAGAGGACCTTAAACCTCCCTCATAATGAAAAGAATGCCAGTAAGACCAATGATGCCCTGTCATGTCATTTCTATCAGATTAGTCCCCAAAGTAACAACTGATAATAGCCAATGTAGATGAAGCATGAGAACACAGGCCCTCCCTCTCCTTCACTGTTGATTGGAGGGCAAACACATGTAACTGTTGTAGGGGCAGTCTGGTAATTCTTGGGACACCTACAACTTTGGTGGTTGTGCCTCAGAGTCACCTGTGGAGCTTTTGATAATACACCTGCCCTGGGTCCTAACCTCGAAGAGAATCTATTTTTCCCTACTGCCTGTATAATTGCAGTATAATTTTAAGCTCCAGGATAGAGGTAAACTGATTTGGCTTTTGACATGATAAAAATGTGTTATAGAGAAAACTTGCATGGGCATTCGAAGATGCATGCACAAAGTTGTGGATTACAGCATCGTTTGACCTAGCCAAAAATTAGAAAATTCCCATGTCCAAAACAGGGACTGGTTAATGCCATTCAGTGGAGTATTATGCAGCTGTTAAAAAGCATGCAGGACTTACCATGTGTTGGAAGTCTGGTTTCCACTCCCCAAACTAGGCTGGAATTCTTTCCAGGCCAACCTGTACCAATTTGAGAGCCTCAAGCATCACCTTTGTATGAGTCTGTTCTCACATTGCTATAAAGAACTACCTGAGACTGGGTAATTTATGAATAAAAGAGGTTTAATTGACTCACAGTATTCCACAGGCTGTACAGGAAGCATGGCTGGGAGGCCTCAGAAAACTTACAATCACGGTGGAAGGTGAAGGGGAAGCAAGCACGTCTTATGATGGTGGAGTAGGAGAGAGAGAGCAAAGGGGGAAATGCTACACACTTTCTTTCTTTCTTTCTTTCTTTCTTTTTTTTGAGATGGAGTCTCGCTCTTGCTGCTCAGGCTGGAGTGCAATGGCCCCCGATCTCGGCTCACTGCAACCTCCGCCTCCCGGGTTCAAGCGATTCTCCTGCCTCAGCCTCCCAAGTAGCTGGGATTATGGTGGTGTGCGCCACCATGCCCGGCTAATTTTGTATTTTTAGTAGAGACGGGGTTTTGCCATGTTGGCCAGGCTGGTTTCAAACCCCTGACCTCATGTGATCTGCCTGCCTCGGCCTCCCAAAGTGCTGGGATTATAGGCATGAGCCACCACGCCTGGCCCAGTGCCACACACTTTCAAACAACCAGATATCATGAGAACTCACTATCTCGAGAACAGCAAGGGAGAAATCTGCGCCCATATTCCAATCACTTCCCACCAGGTCCCTCCTACAATATCAGGAATTACAATTCAACATGACATTTGGGTGGGGACACAAAGCCAAACCATATCAACCTTCCTGTTCACATCTAAAGGTCCAAAAGGAGTCTCAGGCTGTGACTGGATCTCCACTGATTCACCACGGAAGCTTAACCCAATCTTGGCTCCTGAATATTCCCAGATACCCTCAAAAGAAAACTCTCAGGAAAACACCACACCTCCTCATTCATCCTCCTCAGAAATGCTGAGAGAGGGCCTCAGTAACTTGACCCTCCAACAGAAAGTCTGTCCCCAGAGCAGGACAGTGAAGATAAAATCCAACAAAAGAGGCCATTAGATGAAACATTGTTACTTTGAATCCTTACTCAGCATTTATATTATCAGAATCAATTGATATTTAATTTTGAATATCATCATTTTATGAATTGTTCTTTGAACCTTAGAGTGAGGAAACCACCCTCTCATCCTTCCTCCTCAGGAATGCCAGTTAAGGGCTTCAGTAACTTGACCATCAGCCCTACTACTAACTAACTACAGTTTCCCTGTACTAGAAGAGCTATTTCAACAGCAGGACTTAGAAAAGATCCAACGAAAAAGGCAGCAGAAATGGGACTTGCTGTTTCTCCCCAAAAGAGAACTCTGAGGGGGCCTGAGATTTGGAGTTAAAGATTTGTCTTGCTCATAAGATGGAGATCAGACTGTATACAGGTATGGGTGTCCATATCCCATTGCAAAAATAACTTCCCAGGTACTGAAAATGATGAAGAATCCGCAAGGAGCAACAAGATGCAGAATTATGCCAAGGAATCTTACTGGCAGCAGGTTTGAGTCAACATCAGTGCCAGTACCAAAACTTTCCACTAGCAATCTTAGGATCACTATGGGGAAAGCTGCTAGGTTTCTGAAATTGAAGCTTTTTCTCTCCTCAGATGTCTTTCTCCCTTCCATGTTATCTACAATTTAAAGTTATCTACAGAGCTCGGATGCCTCTTGGATTGTAATGTGCTTTTTTCCATTTCATGGATTGACCATCCTTTGGCACATCACATGTGTATATTCAGATCGTAAACTCAATAATGAGATGAAACCGAGCATTATGAGTATGAAGCAGAAGATTGTTGGGGCAAAGGGATGTGGAAATCGATGTTAGTGATTTTACACTGTATCGTTAGGTGACACACAATTGCAATAAGGTAAATCTTCTGCTCCATACCAGTCATCTTTCCATTTTCAGCACCAAATGGATGTGTTTAAAGGAACGTGTCATTAAAGTTCAGTTTTGCTAAAAAAGAAAGTGGCGGGAGCCCTGCACACATACCTGAGACCCACCAAAGTGCAAGCCCCCTCCTCCTTGTTGCTTCTCCCTGCCCAGGGTTCCTGCCTTGCCCACCCCAGCACTCATTGCATTGCTTCAATGTGCTTTTCCAGTGATAAGAAGGAAAGTGGCACTATTGCTTGTTCTCCAAATCATCCCTGAGGCAAGGGTGCCTGAAGAAGCCAGGCTAGGCTCCTTGCTTGAAGAAATTGGAGGTGAAGATAACGTGGCAAGACACAAGCACACACACACACACACACACACACACAGAATGATATCTTTATAAGAGTTCTTGCCACCTGTGGTAACACAGTCTGCCCATCAGGAAGAGGGTACCCAAGGCTGTTACCAGAGGTTGTCCCTGGGTGGGGGAAGTGGGGTCCCAATTTACTGGCGTGCGTTCCTGAAATTGGGGCACTCTGCCCTTCCCCGCCCCGGCCCTGCACCCAGAAGGTTTTATTTGTCCCAGAGTTAGCTGACCTGGCCCATATCTGAAAGGAGCCCAGGCTGGGCCTTCATGGGGTTATTGATTTCGGCACAAGGCTTTCCAAATCCCAGACTGCAGGAGGCTTTTACCTACCCTGACCCCATATGCCTGGCTTCAGCTCCAGCCCACAGGCCACCTCCACAAGGACAGGCCAGGTCCGTTTCTTTCCTTCTAAAGTGGATTTTTCTCCTCTCTCCACCTCTCTTCCTCTGTAGGGCCACAGGTGGAGGCTTTCCCATTAGAAGATCTGGGAGCCTTGCCATGACTGCTGAAGCATCTGCTGGTTTTCTGTAAATTGAAATCTTCTGGCCACTGAAGATGTGAGGCACGTGGCACAAAGCCTTCTGTGGAAATGCAGCACCACACTCAATAATGTGGCCCATGGTCAGCAACAAATGAGGAAATGTGTGGCCCTTTCAAAGTGTCATGCAGAGCGCTGGCCTGCCCTGCATGCTGCCTGCCCAGAGCCCTGCCTCCTTCTGAGTGGCTGTGGCTGCAAAGCTCCTTTGGGGACAAAGGGAACAGACTTGGCACACTGGCCACTCTGGCCTGCAGACAGCAATGGGAAGACTCGGCAGAGACCCAGCTGCCCCAGGGCCTCATGGGACTTGGATGCAGTCTGTGAGTCAAGGGACAGCACAGGGCAGCTGTTAAGCACTGGAGCTCTGGCACCAGAGCCCCCGGGGTTCACATTATGGAGCCACCACTTGTTAGCTGTGGGACCTTGGGCAGGTCAGCAAACCACTTAGCCTCTCTGTGCCTCGGTTTCTCCATCTGCCAAATGGAAATAAAAATAGTATTATCTCATAGGGCTGTCGTGAGGAGTAAAAGAATACCTACATTCTTCAAAGGATTAAGCATAGAATTACCACAGGAGGTTCCGGAGTATATAGCCCAGAGAAATCAAAATAAATGTCTGCAGAGACATGTGCAGGAATGTTCACAGCAGAATGTTCATAAGAGCCAAAAGGTGGAACCCACCCAAATGTCCATCGACCGGTGGCTAAATGAACAAAATGTGGTCTATGCATATAATGGAATATTATTCAGCCATTAAAAGGAAGGAAAATCTGACACATGCTACAACTTTGATGAACCTCGAAAACGTTATGTTAATTGAAAGAAGCCAGACGTGAAAGTCCACACATTTTCAATTTAATTCATTTGAAAGTCCAGAATAGGCAAATCCATAGAGACAGAAAGGAGATAAGTGGTTACCAGCGGCTGTGGGGCTTGGAGGTACAGGGAGTGATAGCTAAAGTGTACGGGGTTTCTTTTAAAGATGACAAATATGTTCTAAGATTGTGGCGGTGGTTGCACAACTCTGTGAATAGACTAAAGACCATTCAATTGTACACTTCAAATGGGTGAATTGTATGTTATGTGACTTCTATCTCAACAAAACTGTTTCTAAAAAATGGAAAATGTTATGTTGCTTTAAATAAGCTGATCATCAAAAAAATAAAATGAAAGTCCTTTCCCATCGAATTACATTTTAAATAGAGGAATCAGTACGTGTAAAGCCTGAAGAACAGTGCTCAATAACACTAGCTGTTCTCCTCCCCTGTAACACTCACCATTATGTGTTGGGCATGTCGTGCAAGTTCACCCACGAGAGGATGTGAATGCAGAGCCCAGGCACCTGGTTCCCCAGCTCTGGGCATGGCCTGGCGCTGGCTGGGCTGCAAGGAACAAGGTATCAGATGGGAATCTTGGCTCAGAGGGAGCCCCTGGTTTGAGGGGCAGAGGCCCACAAGAGAAGGGAGGGAAATGTGGGTCAAGGGAGGTTCACCCGAGCACCTGGTTTAGAAACCTTCTCCACATTGGCTAGCATCGAAACCAACTTTTCTGTGCATAGATGACCACATTGACCTCTTTTCCCCTTGCTTCCTTCTCCAGCTTTCCAGGACCACACCGAGGTTTGTCTGACCCTGGAAGCAGAACTCCCCAAGAGAAGCTGGAGGCCAATGCCAACCCCTCTCTGCCTCACCATTTTGTTTCCCAGTGACCATGTCCACCTGGTGATGCAAGCGGGACCCTTTGCAGCGTGAGATCATCTCTTGGATAAGAAGCAAAACAGGAATTGAGTAGTTCCTCCCAACTCTGGCTGTCAGTCATATGAAACCTGCCTCCTTAAGCAACAGGTCCATTCCTTCTGGGGTCACCAAGTGCCAAGCAGGGCTGACAGCATGGCCCTTGCTCTTCATCTTCCACTCCCCTTATCTGTTTCTCAGCTTTTGCCTTCCAGACATGGCCTTCCTGGCACCTTTCCAATAGTCTGTCCCCACCATGCCCAGGGACAAGCCCCACCACCCTCATGCTGTTTTCAGCATGCTGTTTTCAAATATGAGTTCAATGCTTTCATTAGTTGCCTCTTCTTTTTCTTCTTCACTGGAATAATTTGTAATTGTAAAAACAAAATGTCCTTCCTTGGGCAAAACGTCCCTCTAAAAATTTATTAATGTGTTTTTCTCATTTGCATTTCCTTGTGGGTGATATTCTATCCACAACATTCCAGAGGCAATATCCCCTGAAATCTTCCAAAAATAACTAGAAGACTAATAACAGTTACAGGAAGAACATAACAACAAAGATAGAATCAGCTTTTGATACCTAAAATAGGATTTGTGTCCACAACCAGAAAAGAGTCTTGAAAGCTAGGCTTTATCTACAGATAAAAGATAAAAGGTTTTTCTTCTAAATTCCACTGGTTCCTGCAATGGTCAGGTTTATGTGTCACCTGGGCCAGGCTCTAGTCCCTGGTGATTTCATCAAACACCTGTCTAGGTGTTGCTGTGGAGGCATTTCATAGCTGTGGACTTGAAGTGAAGTAGAGACTCATCCTCGATGATGTGGGTGGGCCTCACACAATCAACTGAGAGGCCTAAAGAGCAAAGACTGAGGTTTCCCAGAGAAGAGGCAATTCTATCCCAAGACTGCAGTGTCAGCTCCTGCCTGAGTCTTGGGCCTGCTCGCCTGCCCTCCAGATTTCAGACTTGCCAGCCCCACAGTCACATAAACCAGTTTCTTAAAATCTGTCTATCTACCCATCTATCTCTATATTAATATCTATCTATCTAATCTCCAGTTGATTCTATTCTTTTCTTCTGGGGAACTCTGACTGATGAGATAGGATTTATTTAATGCTTCGATCTTGAGGCTGAGTTTCCAGCCTGCCTGCCTGCAAATATTGAACTTGCCTAGCTAGCAATCACATAAGCCACATCACCCAAAACCAGATAAGCTCTTTCTTGTTTTTATATATATTTAACACATATATACACACACATATATGCATACACATACACATGTGTGTATATGTGTGTGTAATATGTGTGCATGTGTGTATATATATATGTCTGTGTGTGTGTGCGTGTGTGCTTTTCTCTGGTAGAATCCTGACTGGTACATTTCCCATTATCACATCAAGAACCAAGCCTACTTATTTATATGTTAGGGTAGCAGAAACTCAGAATATGATGAAAAAGAGGTGGAAAGCACTCCCTTTCTCCCCGTCCCTCCCATGCCACTTCAGGCCAAAGGAATAGTAGCAAAAGGGAAAAGTCCCCTGAAGGCTATATGTGGATGAGGTGCACATCAGGAAAGTGGTTTCTTCCATCTGAAAACCTAGGAAGAGCCCTGCTTTTGGCTCGGTGCCATGTCCAGGACTGTGAGGATGTTAAGGCCCAGTGTATTGGTCCATTCTCACACTGCTACAAAGAAATACCTGAGACTGGGTAATTTATCAAGAAAACGGGTCTAATAGGCTCATCGTTCCGCAGGCCGTACAGGAAGCAGAAGCAGCTCCTGCTTCTGAGGAGACCTCAGGAAACTTACAATCATGACGGAAGGTGAAGGGGAAGCAGGCACATCTTACATGACTCGAGCAGGAGCAAGAGAGAGGTAGGGAGGTGCCATACACTTTTAAACAACCAGGTCTTGTGAGAACTCACTTACTATACAGTACCAAGGTGTGGGGAGGTGACAAAACACTCATGAGAACTCCACCCCCATGATCCAATCACCTGCCACCAGGCCCCACCTCCAACACTGGGTATTACAATTCAACGTGAGACTTGGATGAGGACACAGAGCCAAACCATATCACCCAGCAATGGCTGGGGAGGGGCTGCAGAACTAGGTGTGCAGAGAAGCCCCCTGGGGAAGCAGTGCAGGGAAGGGGCACAATGACATCCAGGTATGACTTTTTTAAAAAATTTTATTTATTTTCTTTTTTTTAACTTTTATTTTAAGTTCAGGGGTACATGGGCAAGTTTGTAACATAGGTAAACTTGTGTCGTGGGGGTTTGTTGTACAGATAATTTCATCACCCAGGTATTAAGCCTAGTACCCATTAGTTATTTTTCCTGATCCTCTCCCTCCTCCCACCCTCCACCCTCTGAAACACCCCAGTGTCTGTGGTTCCCCTCTATGTGTCCATGTGTTCTCATCGTTTAGCTCCCATTTATAAGTGAGAACACGCGATATTTGGTTTTCTGTTCCTGTGTTAGTTTGCTGAGGATAATGGCCTCCAGCTCCATCCATGTCCCTGCAGAGGACACAATCTCATTCTTTTTTATGGCTGCATAGTATTCCAAGGTGAGACTTTTAAAAGGATACCATGGAATTGTCAGTCAGCTTGATTCCTCCAGCAGAGTAGAGACTCCTGAGCAAGAAGAGAGCCATCATGGGACATACTGAAGCAAATTTTTTCTTTGTACAGGTGAAGAGTTTCATGGGTGAAAATGTACAATCCCACTTAGATACTTGATATATCACAGCTACCAAACTCAGAGCCTCATGAGTATATGGTCTTCTTTACTTCTCTTGCTAACACTCAAGGGGCAGTACTATGGTGTCTTTTTCACACAGGAGGAAGTTGGCACTCAGGGATGCAGATCGGCTTGCCCAAGGTCATGTCACTGATAAAGGTGGAGTAGGCTCCCATCCCCCAACTCTTAACTGCTGGGCAGTTTAGCTGTGGAATAGCCAAAGACGACACCCAGATCCTCTGCTCCCTGAGGCGTAGGCGCTACCACTCAGGATGTCTACCTCCGGGTGTTGCTCAAGAGGCAGAAGAGATACAGCTACAATGGTGACCACCACTCCCTCATTTAACGATAAAGAAACTGCAAAATGAAGATGCAGGGCCTCAGCAAGAGGACCTTTACATGATCCATGACAGGCAGAGACTGCCCCTCCAAGGGAGGGCAACTTCTCTGCCAGGATGTGCTAGATGGGGAGTCGGCAGAAGCACTGCCAAGTGGTCCACCAAACACGCTGAGCTGCTGCCAGCCCTTGGCCAGGTCAGTCTCTGCCTTGCTCCACCCTGAGATGAATGAGTAGCATCACTAGGCCTGGACCTTCAGAGGCCAGTGCAGATCCCACCACAGCCTGCCAGGCCTACTGTAGGGACAGCGTTTCCGGGATCATTAGCGTGGGGCCACCAGCTCAATTGGAAGGGGGCTATACAGAAGGCCCTCAGTAACTTTGACCTATCAGTGGGACAGCCCCAGTTGTCTGCATTCCCGTAGGAGGCTCCACAGATAGAACACACGATAAAGTGCAGCAGGGACTTTACCAAGCCCCAGCAGGCCTACTGGCTCCTTACTGTTAAATGCCCTTGCTCAAGGACATCCCAGTTGGACAGAAACTAAGCTGGTATGCACGACCAGTGTGGGTGGCTCTTTGACTCCTGTTCTAACCCTAACAGGCAATTCTGATGGTGCCTGGCACGCACCCACACAATCACAGTGCAGTGTGGGGAGCGTGCTCGTAAATGACAGTAGAGCAGAATGCTGTCAATCAAAAGGGTCGGCTGCAAACCCAGATAGTAGGCAGCACTAGAACATCAGAAACACTCCAGAAAGTCTCCAAAAATGCTTCTTTAAGAAGCAGATGTCTGATTTGCCCACAGAGTGGACTGGACCCCTCTGCGATTCTTCCAGGTCCCATTCCTGAATGCCTGGAAGATATGGTGGCCACACGCTCCAAACCACCAAAGAGATTTGTGTTCTGCTGGGATGAAGCTATGATGAGGACAAAGGCCTCAAACACTTGATGTTGTATTTTTCATTTTAATCATTGCCAACATTTTTAAGCATGTAAAATATCACCTGGAAATTCTGAGTGATTTGCCTTTGGACTAAAGTATGTTTTCCCCTGAATTTTCTCTTGATGCCAGTCCTAGTGCTTGCTGTTTTCTGTGTGCACACCAGGCACTGGGCCACGCATTTTTAATAAGTGCCTGGTAAGGGGGAGGGGGAACTTAGAATACCTTGCCCCTCTGCCAGCCTCTTGAAGATCCTCAGAGCAGTTTTTTGATCATGGAGGAGTCCCAGGCTTGGCCTTTCTTAGTTCTGGGAAAGCGAGGGGAGAATCCCACAGAGTCTGACAAAGGCTGCCTGTCTTCAAAACTCCTGATGCACAAAGCTGAGCTGGGCTAGGCTGGGCTCCAGGTCCCAAGAGAGAGGCTCATAGGTGCCAGGGACAAGCCACTCAAGGCTTGGGGAGAGGAGAGAAGTAGAGCCTGGGAACCCAGCAGGGGCAGCCCAGGGAGCATTCCGTAATCTCTCTGGAATAACCAGAAACAAGCGTGCAGCCAACTGCGGGGCCCCAAAGTCACATTTTCCAAAACAACATCTTCAAGACAGAAGTGTTTTGGCTACTTCTTGATATTTTACATCTTCTCTGGTGAACAGAGGCCCTGTGGTCCAGTAGAAAGGCTAGAGACTGGGTTTCAATCACAGTTCAGTCCCTTTCTGGCTACGTGATCCTGGGCAACTTAAGTGACTCGATCAAGGCTTTCCAACTAGGAAGGATCAATCCAACAAGGAAATGTTTGAAACCAGTGCTCTTAATCATGATCCTACATTGCCAAGCAGTGACACCAGGCTGCTGTGAATGTCCAGTATCCAACTGTGGAGAAGGAACCACTTCTTACACTACATGCCCAGGTCTGGGCTCCTCATCTGGCCAGTATTATCTCATTTAATCCCTCAACAGATCTCATTTTACAGAGGAGACACTGGAGCACAGAGATATTAGGCGAATTGGCAAGGTCACACAGCTGAGAAGGAGCAGAGCCTGGACTCAAAACTGGATCTATCTGGCTCCAGAGCCTATAAGGCAATAACGATAGAGGAGGTGAAGATACATGCTGTAGGTTTCAGCAAACATTTGTTCATTTGTTTATTCATTCACTCATCAGCAAAATGAGATTATGGAATCAAAAAAGTGTGAGTGCCTACTCTGTTCCAGGAGCAGAGAACAGGCCCCTGGAGGTCTCAAAACAGAAGAGGAAAGAAAAAAGAAGGTGATCCCACCAATATCTTGGCAGAAACAGGGAGATGGGGTTCAGAGATTTCTGTAAGACAAGAAATTGCTGGCCAGACGTCTCTCTATGGGAGCAACGCAGAGGCCTAGAGAGAAGCTGGTGATATTGGGGCACTGTTATCTTCCTGATCTCAAGTCTTCAAGAATAAGCAATAGCAGTGACAGCAAGGCCATCCTCAAACCCCTTGGAAAATAGAAACCCAATATCCCTCATAAATCTACCATTAAGGCACTCAAAAATGAAGTCTGTGGTGCTAGGATGAGGCCCCGGGGGTAGGACTTGTCTGAAATGCTCTGTGAACCAGGCTTTGCACGGAGAGCAGGATAATCAGACCTTCCTGGCCTTCTTTCCTGGCCTCATTATCCAGAGTTAACAGTTCTAACAGAGAGGGGAGCAACCCAGAGAGCTGACCCAGGTCAAAAGTAACAAGAGAAATGGAGGAAAAACAGGTAGAATCTTCTCAAGGGTAGAGTATAGCCCATTTCTTTAGGCTGAGTTGTCTAAGGTGCTCTTCTTTACCTTTCTTTTCTTTCAGTTTGATGGTAATTGACTCAGATGTTTAAAATATAGGTATTAGGGGGCCAGGTGTGGTGGTTCATGCCTGTAATCCTAGCACTTTGGGAGGCTGAGGCGGGCAGATCACCTGAGGTCAGGAGATCGAGACCAGCCTGGCCAACATGATGAAACTCTGTCTCTACTAAAAATACACACACACACACACACACACACACACACACACACACACACACACACAAAATTAGCTGGGTGTGGTGGCAGGTACCTGTAATCCCAGCTACTCGGGAGGCTGAGGCAGGAGAATGGCGTGAACCCAGGAGGCGGAGGTTGCAGTGAGCTGAGATCACACCATTGCACTCCAGCCTGGGCAACAGGGCGAGACTCCGTTTCAAAAAAAAAAAAAAATATATATATATATATATATATATATATATATATATATATATATTAGGTAGTGTGTGTGCACATATACATCTGTGTCTGTACTTGGGTCTGTGTGATTATGTGTACATGTAAAATTCTGTACTTGGGTCTGTGTGATTATGTGCACATGTAAAATTCCAGGACTTCGTATAAAACCACACACAATAGTGAGTGCCTATTTTGGACCAGGTCAGCACCAAAATGTAGTAGGTGTTGGAGTAACATTGTAGGCAAGCAAACACGGCCTCAGCCCTCATGGAGGTGATAGTCTGCTGGGGAGATAGGCATTAAACTAAACACTCCCCAGAATGAGTTTGACAGTACAAGTTTGAACAGTGCTGCAAAGTTGAAATGAGGATACTCTGATGGCATACGACAGAGGTACCTGGCCAGAAGGCAGGGGGAGGTCCGAGAAGATTTTCCTGGGGAGATGGCCATCTGAGATATAATCTAAAGGATAAGGAGGAATAATCTAGGAGATGAGAGGGACAAGTGTTTCATAACTCTTTCTGGAACAGCATGTGCAAAGGCCCTGTGGTGGGAAGGACTATGGAAAGTGTAGGTGAGTGAAAAAGGAGAAGTGTGGCTGGAGCAGATAAAGTGAGGTTAAATACGGTGCAAGGTGAGTCAGCATTAGGTCATGCATGGCCTTGAAGACCATGGTAGGAAGTTGTTTGGGTTTTATCATAAGAGCAACTGGAAGCCTCTGAAGGATTTTAAGCAAGAAGGGATTATATAATCAGATTTGCTTATAAAAAACAGCATTATCTCTATAGTATGAAAAAAACAGAGGGAGGGGGCCAAAGTTGAAGAAGAGTTCAGTTAAAGAGCTCTGGTATAGTCCTAGATAAAGACACTGGTGTCTTGGATTTGAAGGGTGGAGATGAAGAGAAGTGGATAGATTTGACAGAAATCGATGAGTGAAATGAACAATGTAGTCAAGAGTTGTGTAAGTGGATGACGAAGAAAATATATAATGGCTCCATTTGTAAAAGTGGCTAGGTGTTTGTGCCCGTTCACCCAGACAGAACCAGGTATGAGGGAGAAGATCATGAGTTTGGTTTTGGCCCTATTGCGTTTGAGGTGCCTGTGAAAAAATCACAGATAAGTTATCAGAGAAGCAGTTTGATTCATGGGCCTTGTTCCTGGAAGCATGGTTCAGACTGGAGATAGGAATATGGGAGTCATCAGCATATAGGTGGTAGTTAAATCCCAGTGATGGTGAGATTACCTAGAGAGGAAGTAAGAAGAAAATGGAGTCTAGGAAGGAGCCTTGAACTTCCAAAATCTAATGGCCCACTAGAGAAGAAAGCAGCAGAGGAGAGGGAGAAACGCGGCTGGAGAGGAAAGGAGGAAATAAGGAGAGTGCTATATTATGGAAACAAAGGGAAGGGGACATTGGATTCAAATGCTCTCCAGAGGTTAAGTAAGATGAGGACTGCAAATGTCCACTGGACTTTATGACACAAATGTAATATGAGCTATTTGAGTACTAGATTGGAGATGATTCCACACAGGATCTTGGAGCCTGTTGGTCTCTCTGCCTGGAATGCTTTTCTGTATTCTCACGTTGTTGAATTCTTGGCATTAAGACAGTTTGCCTGGCACCTCGTTGAGGCCTTTCCTGACTCCCCAATCTACGTGTTCTCCACCACATGACACCGTGTTCATCTTCATTTGGGACATTTTCCCCCAGCTCCTGGTTGTCTCCCCACTAGCATCTAAACCCCATAAGGGTGATGCTTTATGTCTGTCTTGATCCCTGATACTTCCCCAGCATGTACAACAGCTCCTGGCATATATTAGATTCGCAAACATCATGTTAGGGGTGAACCAATGCATAGGTGTAAAGATTGGGCATGACCTCCATTCCTGAGTAAGCACATGATTAATTTTCTGGGGTTCCTCCCTTGCAAAGAAACCAAAACATTCAAGAAATGATTTAAAAGACTTACAAATGCTTAAAGTAGAGATGATTATGAAAGCAAACGGCCTCTCCTTTAACTCTCTGAGGGGCTTTCATGGGGCAGAAAGTACAGACTTTGTGTGGCTCTAACATGCAGAAGTAGGACCAGCGGAGAACATTTTCCCAGGAGGACTTCCTAACGATAAGAGATTCCTGAAAATGGCAATCCCTGCTTCTGCTCCCAGACAAGTTTCAAAAGAGAAGAGAGAGCACCACAACAAAAAACAACCAGCCCACTTAGCAATTGGACAAAGGATTTGATTAAACATTGCTCCAAAGAGGATATACAAATGGCCAACAAGCACATGAAAAGATGTATAACGCTATTAGTCATTAGGGAAATGCAATTCAAAACCACAATGAGATACCATTTCACACCCATTTGGATGACTTATTTAAAAAAAAAAAAAGAAAAAGAAAAAGAAAAGCAAGTGTTGGCAAGGATGTACATGAATTAGAATGCTTGTACATTCCTGGCAGGAATGCAAAATGGTGCAGCCATTGTAGGAAAACCGTTTGGTGATTCCTCAATAAGTTTAACAGAATTAACTTATGACCTAATATTTCCACTCTTAGGTATATACCCAATAGAATCACAAACAAGTATATCAACAAAAACTTGTATATGAATGTTCATAGCAGCATTATTCACAACAGCCAAAAGGTAGAAACAACCCAAATGTTCAACAGATGAATGCATGAACAAAATGTGCTATATCCACACATAAAAAGGAATGAAGTACTAGTATGTGC